>NC_000002.12:9403939-9706969 GCF_000001405.40 Homo sapiens | reverse complement strand
GGGCTGCTGTATGCATTAAACTGGAAGAGATCATGCTTGTGAGGCCTGGCCCAGATGGCAGTGAGTGAATGCCTGGTATGTTTATCCTCCTTTGGGAAATTGATCAGCTATTCTTCTTTTGGTTTGGGAATACATTTTGGAAAATGTTGGCCTAAATGTAAAAGTCATTCCTCCATCATGCATGCATTCAGGACAGGAAGCACTGATCCATCACCTACTGAGTGATTGGTCACAACCTTGGAAGGTCATGACCAACATGACCTTTCCATGTTGAGGAAACAAGAAAGGCACTGTCTTACCTTTTGGGGCTTCAAGGTGTAGTGGGGGCAGAAGACGAATGACCAGCCTTTGCCCAGCCCCCTCAGTTAGCCTCACACTGCTCCAGTGCAACAGTCCTGAAATGCAAAGCTCACCCACCAGCTTGGCTTACACTCTGCATGGCTCCCTAGGACCTCACAGTCAAGCCTTTGCTGACCTCAAGCCGTCGGGGCTCTGGCCCCCACTGGCCCTCCAGACCCAAATCCTCCTTGCCCTTCACCCTCCTGCAGAACCTCGCCTCTAGAACACACCCTCTGTGTCCTTGCGTGTAAATCCCCTTGAACTGCCTGTGGGCCTCTGACCACCCAGCTTGGATTCCTCCTCCCTTCCTGCACAATCTCACCCTTTCCTACGTGTCCCTTAGACCCATCACAGGCCCTGATGTTTGTTAGGGACATGTCTCTTGCTGGGGACCCCTTGAGGGCAGGGCCTATGTTTTATTCATTTTGATTCCCCAGGGCAAAGCCCAGGGCCTGGCACAGGTGCTCAATCAATTCATTTGAATTGTACATTTGCTTTAAGAAACCGCCTTCTTACTTTATTTTATTTTGTTTTATTTATTTTTCTGAGACAGAGTCTCACTCTGTCGGCCAGGCTGGAGTGCAGTGGTGCAATCTTGGCTCACTGCAAACTCCACCTCCCAGGTTCAAGTGATTCTCCTGCCTCAGCCTCCTGAGTAACTGGGATTACAGGTGCCCACCACCACACCCAGCTAATTTTTGTATTTTTAGTAGAGACGAGGTCTCGATCTCTAGACCTTGTGATCTGCCCACCTCGGCCTCCCGAATTGCTGGGATTACAGGCGTGAGCCACCGCACCCGGCCAATATAAATTTTTTTTAAAGCGATTCTTACCTGGGGATAGTACTGCCCTTACCTTAGGAGGCATTTGGAGCTATGTGAGGGCATTTAATTTTTTAGTTTTGGTGTCATAGTGACCGGGGGTGTTACTGATATTTAGTACCCATGCTAAATATTTCGAAATGGGTAAGATGCACAATTTTAAAATTATCCCACTCAAAATGCCAAATAGCACCTGTATTAGTCTGTTCTCACACTGCTAATAAAGACATACCCGAGACTGGGTAATTTATTAAGGAAAGAGATTTAATGGACTCACAGTTCCACATGGCTGGGGAGGCCTCACACTCATGGCAGAAGGCAAAGGAGAAGCAAAGGCATGCTTTACATTGCGGCAGGCAAGACGCATGTGCAGAGGAACTGCTCTTTATAAAACCACCAGATCTTGTGAGATCTATTCACTATCACGAGAACAGCACAGGAAAGACTCGCCCCCCTGATTCAATCACTTTCCATTGGGTATTTCCCACGACATATGGGAATTATGTGAGCTACAATTCCAGATGAGATTTGGGTGGGGACACAGCTAAACCATATCAGCACCCCACCGAGTTAGCCTGTTGGCCTGACCATCATCCCCGTTTGACATCTGGTGAAGCTGAGGCTGGTGAACTCATTCGGCTAAAAAGTGGAGGAAGTAAACTGTTGCTCTCTGCATCCCATGGCTATGGGGTGTCCTCATGGAAAGAGGCTCTAGATGTAAGGACGTGGAAAAAGCGGTTTTCTCCCTTGCTTTATCCCTACCTGCTGCCCCCATCAGAAGAGCCAGGCTCTGTCCTATGCCACAGAAGGTTGCATTACAGCCTCGCTCCTCCCTGACCTTTGTTTCCTTAACAGCCTGAATGAGCTGGGGAGCCCATGTGCTATGTCTTCTGGAGCGGAGGGGAGGGGGCTTCAGGCGCCTAGGGAGCAGGTGAAGAGCCAATCAGGCCATATGACTGGCAGGTCCTCAACCTGCCTGATGACAATGATGCTGAGGAGGGGAGGCTGGGCTCAGGGTCCAGGGTCTCTGGTCATCAATCACCCCCAGGCCCCAGGCTACAGGCTCAGAAGCAGCAAGTTCTCCTCAGGGCCTGAGGTTGGAGCTGGGGCAGTGGGTGTCTTAGCAGGAACCAGCTTGGATTTTGCACATTACAGGGGGTATAGGGAAGGGAAGAACCAAGGAATAACTGATACTACAAGTCCCCCAAATGGCAGGATGTAGGGGGCAGGAATTTGATTTTTTTTTTTTTTTTTTTTGGTTTTTGAGACGGAGTCTCGCTCTGTTGCCCAGGCTGGAGTGCATTGGTGTGATCTCGGCTCACTGCAAGCTCCGCCTCCCGGGTTCACGCCATTCTCCTGCCTCAGCCTCCTGAGTAGCTGGGACTCCAGGCGCCCACCACTACGCCTGGCTTTTTTTTGTATTTTTAGTAGAGACAGGGTTTCACAGTGTTAGCCAGGACAGTCTCGATCTCCTGACCTCGTGATCCACCTGCCTTGGCCTCCCAAAGTGCTGGGATTACAGGCGTGAACCCCTGCACCCAGCCGGGAATGGGATTTAATTTGATTTAGGAATATACATAGCCATGTACCCTAGAGAGTCACACATGAGCCTGCTACTGGACAGACAGGGAGCACGGGCAGGGAGTAGGGGGCCTTGCCCAGGCCACAGCCAGAGAAAGCTGGGGTCTCATCTCCCTCCCCACTTTCCAGCCACCATCCCCCACAACAGCAAGGCAGGCCCACATTTCTGAGGTCTGATTTTGTCGAAGCCTCAGATATTCTCTAGAAATGTCAACAAATGCCCCTGGAAAACCACCCTCCCTCTCCTGTCTCCAGGAACCCAGGGCTTACCAAGAGGAAGTTACATGCGCTCACTCATTGACCTCACCTACTCCAGCAGGGGGTGGAGATTAAGACCAGAGAAGTTCCTCAGCTTGCCCAAGCCTCCAAAGGTCAAAGGCTAGCAGTGAGTCAGACTCAGATCCAGGCTTCTGGGCTCCCAGGTCTGGCCCCTCTGCTGCCCCAGCCTCCACTGCTGGGCAGCTGAGGTCTCCCAGAGTCCAGGGTGAGCAGAGCCAAGTGGGAGGGTTTCAAGCTCTCTAGCTGTCAATTGCCATTTGTACTTCCCCACCTGATCACCGCACTCTAGATAGGTAAACTGCATCCCTGCATCCCTAGAGGGTGACAGTAACTGCCAAAATAGGGAGCAGTGGGGTGGCGGGGGATGCTCAGGGACCATGACACATGGGTGGTGACCATCAACCACCAAATATCCCCTGGAACAAGTTGTAAGAACTCAGTGCCAAGAGACATCAGTGGGTGGCACTGAGGAACCAGAGGTGATGAGCTCACCCCAGGCAGTACCTCCCACCCAGATGAGCAAAGCCACACTGTAAAAGTGGCGAGTGCATCCGAGGGTTTCTCAAGCTGACTAGGACACAAGGGAAACCAGCCAAAACCCCCAAGCCGGGCGTGGTAGGTGTTGGCAGCCCGGAGGTGGGGAGTGGTGGTGGCAGGATGCCTCGTTTCCCAGGCAACACAGTGGAAACTGTCCCACAAACACCAACCAGGGGGGTGGGGGGGCACAGAAGGGTGGGCAGGGCTGACATCTGAGACGGGAATCTGCTTAGCTACTGCCAGAGGCCTGCCTCCTCTGAGTGCCTGGGGCCCTGGCCCCACCTCCGGGGATGCTCTCTGTTGGCTGGGTTCTGCACGTATTTATTCTTTCACTCAGTAAATGTTTACTGAGCCCCAGTGTAGACTGTAGTGGGAGAGCATGGGCTCTAAAGTCAGAAAGACTGGGGTCTGGATCTCAGCTGTGATGCTTCCAGTTATGTGCCCTTGCAGGCTACATCGCCGCTCTGAGCCTCAATGTTCTCATCTGAAGAATGGGAATTATTCTACCACATTCAAAGGTTGCCATAAGTATGAAATAGGAGAGTAGATGGCAGATAGTCAGTATTCAGTGGATGCAGCTATTATTGCCTGGCTCCATGCCAGACACAAGTTAGGTCAACTGGGGTGGGTGACTAGGGGAAGGCAGACATGGAAATGTATTAGATGCACTCCTGCCCTTGGGAAGCTCTCCTAGCCTATCGGGTGGAGGAGCCTGACTAGAGTCCTAAATTAGGTGAGTAGAACATCTGGAGAGCCATGGTAGAGATGAGCAAAGTGCTGGGGAGCACCTAGGAGAACCCCAACTGGGGGGTTGGGAAAGGTGTTGAAAAAGCATTTCGGTTAAACTTCATCAGACAAGAAATGAGTAGGAAAGGCATTCCAGGCAGAGAGAACAATGTGTACAAAGGCAGGAAGGCAAAACCTCAGCATGGGTTGGAAGGACAGCAAGTAGATCAACTGAGATAAAGCCTAGGGTAAATGATTTTGATAGTGCCACAGGGACTTGGGGAAAGACAGGAGAGAGAAGATGGCCAAAAATAGGCAGGGATTAGATGATAAAGGACCATTTGACTGAACACTTTGATAACTTTTTAACAGAGGAGTTACACAGGATTGAATTTAGAAAGACCACTCTCTTAAACCAGAAGTGTATTGATCGTGCATATATAGACCTACAGAGCAGTAAAACAGAATCGAGTTCAGGAAAATACGCATGCATATATAGGAACTGGATTTATGACAGAATGGCGTCATACATCAGAGAGGAAAGGACATACTATTCAATAAATGGTATTGAAGCAATTAGTTATCTATATGAAATAATGTATAATTATATCCCTCCCTCACACCATATCCAAAAATAAATTCAAGACCTAAATGTGACAAAAATACTGTAAAATAATTAGAAGAAAATTTAAATCAAGCATAGACTTGTAGTTTCACTACAAGGCTTTTTCTCTGACCTGAGCTGTCTTCTATTTTGGGGGAATCACTACATCCATTGAAGACAATATTTATGACATTGGCATAGACAAAATATACTTAAATCAGACACCAGAAGCAAAAATTATAGGCTAAAAAAATTATCAAATTTGACCACATCAGAATTTAAAACTTCATATAAATAGCTAATTGCTTCAATACCATTTATCAAATAGTATGTCCTTTCCTCTCTGATGTATGATGCCATTCTATCGTAAACTCAGTTCCCATATATGCACAGGTCTTTTCTCTGTTTTATTGCTCTGTGGATCTATATATGCTCTATCAATACACTTCTGGTTTAAGAGAGAGGTCTTTCAAAATTCAACCCTGTGTAACTCCCCTGTTCAAAAGTCACCGATAAAAGACACCATAGACAAAATTAAAACATAAGTATTGATTGGAGGAAAATATATGCAAAACATGATAGACAAAGGATTGGTATCAAGGATGTTTAAAGAACTCCCATAAAATAACAAGGAACAGACAAATGGGCAAAATATATGACTAGGTAATTTACAGTAGAAGAAACCCAAATGGGTTTACTCAACAGAATTAGGAATCAGAAACAGGCAAATTACAACAAGATACCACGGTCACCCATCAGATTAGCAAAACAAAGTCTAACAACATCAAGTGTTGGAAAGGTTGAGGGAAATGGGTCTTCCCATATACAATGGATGGGAGTGTAAATTGACACCATCATTTTGGAGGGCAATTCAGCAGTATCTAGGGAAACTGCAAGTGTAACCCAGCAAGGCTCCTTCTAGGTGTTTAGATAAATGCTTGTACCTGAGTACACAAGGCAACAGGTATGAGGGGGTGATCACAGTGTTGTCTGTAATAGGGAAGAACTGGAAACCATGTACATAACCATCAATAGGAGAAGGCATAAATAAATTGTGAAATGGTCCTGCAGAGGGATTCCAGACAGTAGTTCGGGGGATAGACTAGGGTTATGCGAGCACAAATAAGAGTAGATCTCAAGATGTAACAAAGAATGGATGCGCATGAAACACACTAATCTCACAGCACCAGTCTGTCACATAGGTAGTAATGAAGAGAAAGGAATAAACTGGAAATGGAAGCTGGGAGTTGACAAACAGAGGAGGTGATGTGAACTAGCACAGTGGAATCAGTTCCCTCAGTGGAAACTAGAGTCTCAGGATTCCAGACTGGGAAGGAGCCTCTGAGGGTCCATGATCCAAAACTCTCCTTTTCCAGACTCCCTATTTCCCACTCATCCTCATAGATGCCCAGGCTTTTTCTCTGACCTGAGCTGTCTTCTATTTTGGGGGAATCACTACACATATTGAAGACAAGAGGACTGACCCTCGAAGAAACCAAGATGGCAGCAAAGGTAGTTCCCAGTCTAGGCAGCGAGTTGTAGTAATCAAGGACATATTGAGGCCCTACCATTAGCCCAGCATTGAGATTTTAGATTGAGTTATAAAGATGGGCAAGGTAGATAAGATGTAAAACAGAACAGAGATTGCCAAGCATGAGGAAGCACAAGGGAAGTGCAAGTTTCAGCAGGTCTGGAGAGGAACCCAGGAATCTGTGTTTTTAAAACACACTTAAAGTTATTCTGTTCTAAGTAGTCCACAAACCTTATTTTAGAAAAAATGTCATAGCATACTGGCGCTGAGAGGAACTTAGAGAATGTCCAATCCGATGTCCTAATTACAAGTGAGAAAACGGAGAACTAGAGAACTGACTTGTCAAAGAAAGCTAAAAAGCTACCTTAGTGGAATACGAAGAGGAACACTGATATTAAACCCTATCCTACCTCAAGTATAGACCCAGAAGGCACTTCACCTACATTGTCTCAATTCTCCCAACAATTGAGGCTCAGAAAAGTTAAGTAAGTTGTCCAAGATCTCTTAGCCAGACAGCAGTGGGGCCAAACTCATACCTAGCTTCATCAGACTCCAAAGGCTAAAAAGTCTTTCCAAAGGAAGCACAAAGGCAAGAAATTGACTTATTTTCATAAGGTTTCACCAAAAGAGAAGTGCTAGAGTTTCCATTTCCTCTCCTAGTCTTTTTACTTTTTCATGTTGGAGGGGTGGGTAGAAGAAGGTTTGGAGTTGTTCTCACTCTTCGGTGAACCTTTCCAATCGCCCGTGTTCCAGCAGGGTTCAGCCCAACCTCAGGCCAAAGCCCACAGAACCATCTGGAAAAGTGCAGGTCTGGAAACCTCCTCAGTCAGCCTTTTTTAAAAAAACTTAAGACCTGATGAGTCACTGTGGAACCAGTCACAGATAGGCATGTGCCTTCTTCAGATGCCTTGGTCCGTGGCTGTAGGGAACGTTCTCTGCAGAAGTGTAGATCAGAAGTCCCCCCAGGTGGGCCCATGATGATGCATACAGCTCGAGAACACACGGTTCTGCCCCGGGCCACTCAGTGTGTCACTCGGGATGCTGAACAATGTGAGATCCTGGCTCCAAGGTAGTTATGTTCCCCAAACATACTGTTCGTTATCTCCTCACTTCTGTGCACACCTTTGAACACCTTCTGCTGCAGATGTCCTTTCTCCTCCAGTTGGTGAACGCCTGCCCCTCCCCTATGGTCCATATAGAATAGCTCCTTGTATAGTCACGTGACCATACTGACGTATGCTTGGGGCAACTGGTGAAAATAAGCTTTAGCTAAATAACTTTGATGAAGATCTAGACAAACAGAGCAGGACAGACAGAACCGGGTCAGTCCAAGGATAGGACTCCTGGATGAGTAAACCATTACTCTATCAACCCTCTTCAGGGACATCGCAAAAAGAACAGTGTCTTGCACTGACTAAGCAGCCTGGGACAAGTCTCTTTCCCTCTCTGAACCCCCGAATCCCCTCTTTAAAATGGGGACACTGGGGCCGGGCGCAGTGGCTCATGCCTGTTGTAATCCCAGCACTTTGGGAGGCCAAGGTGGGTGGATCACCTGAGGTCAGGAGTTCGAGACCGGCCTGGCCAACATGGTGAAACCCCTTCTCTACTAAAAATACAGAAATTAGCTAGGCGTGGTGGCGGGTGATACCAGCTACTTGGGAGGCTGAGACAGTAGAATCGCTTGAACCTGGGAGGCAGAGGTTGCGATGAGCCAAGATTGTGCCACTGCACTCCAGCCTGGGCAACAAGAGTGAAATTCCATCCCAATAAATAAATAAATAAATAAATAAATAAATAAATAAAAATTGGGATACTGGATGTTTCTTACAGGTCCCCCAGCTCTGACAACTTTATGGCTTCATGACTCTGGGTCCCCTTTCTCTTCTCCTGAGGGTCATCTGGTGCCCTGGAGAGTGTATGTCCCCACCTGTTGATGCCGGCACTGGCCTCTGCCCTCACTGGCCTCAGCCTAAGGTGGGGCTCACTCTGCTTGGTTTTCTAGTTTCTCCTCTTGGTGTCCCCTCCCTCGGTCTTCTGGAACACTCAGCTGTGGAACGCTCGGCAAGCAGGGATCTCTCAGGCCCTTATCTTGCTGTTCCTACCATGCCACCCTGTCTCCCTGCCATCCTGCTCCATGACAGCACAGAGGCCCTGCACAGCCCTCTCCTCCCAGAGTCCCAGACAGCGTGCAGAGCACCTGCTCAACCTACCTGGGGTCTGTGCTGCTCCCACCCTCACCCTCGCCAGCCTTCTGACCCTTCTCTCAGGGACTCACAATAGCAACCCACTTACTTCCTTTTCAGACTCTCTCTAAACTCTTTCCCCCAGCCTGAAAAGGCGCTCACCATCTCTCTGTGATGGAAAAACCACTGGGTGGTTCGTGGCGTGAACTCTGTGCTCTGAGGCCTTTGGACTTTGTTCATAATATTGAAACCAGGCTGCTGGGGAAGGTGGCAGACAGAACATCTCATTTCACTCCCTCCCAAAAGTCCACCAGAATGATAGTAAACAGATTCACACACACACACACATATGCACAGACATACATCCAACCACACACATGCACACACATACGTGCACACACACAAATAACAGGAGAGCAGACCACGATGTTTGCAAGCAGATGGAAGAATGGTAACAGACTTAGCAGGCCCCAGAAAGCAAAATCTCCAACCCACACTAGAGAAAATTGAGAACCAACTAGATGCACACCTTGGAATTCTCAAGAAATCAACAGTATCAAGAACCTCTGGCACTCAAGTAAACGGGTTACTAAAATAAGGAGGATTGACTCAAAGGATCCAGAAAAGTAGTTGAGTCCCAAGGTCCCCTCTTCACTCATGAGCACCTGCCCTTTCCCTCCCCAGGAGAAGATTGGAGGTCTCTTCTCAGGAGAAGAGTAAAAGTGGTTCTTGGGATTGGGGGATGCAGGCACAGTTGAGGACATACACTCTCACCACAGATGGCAGGTTTAAGCGAATACATGAATGCTGAATGCTCAGACCACTGCCCCCATAGCAGACCTGAGGTCTGAAGCTGGGTCTTTGCCTCGGTGAAGAGACTGGAAATGTCTTCTCTAGAGAACTGAGCCACGGAGTGCACCTTTCCTCATTAGGCATTCAGACACACACCAGACCTCATCTCTGGGACATTTCAGAATACTGTGGACAAACAGAAGATCCTGCAAGCTTCCAGAGACGGGAACAGGTCACTTTCCAAAAGCTAGGAAGTAGAATGGGCTTCATTTCTTTTTCTTTTCCTGTTTTTTGAAACAGAGTCTCGCTCTGTCATCCAGGCTGGAGTACAGAGGTGCGATCTCAGCTCCCTGCAACCTCCACCTCCCGGGTTCAAGTGATTCTCATGCCTCAGCTTCCCAGAGTAGCTGGGATTATAGGTGTGCATCACCACGCCCAGCTAATTTTTGTATTTTTAGTAGAGATGGGGTATCGCCATGTTGCCCAGACTGGTCTTGAACTCCTCACCTCAAGTGATCCACCAGCCCTGACCTCCCAAACTACTGGGATTACAGGCTACCACACCCAGCCCAGAATGGGCTTGATATCCTATAGCAACCCTGGAAACTAAAAGATAGGAGAGCAATGACTTTGGAATTCAAGGGATACTGGTTTATGATCTAGAATGCTACAAATAGCTAACCTATTCATCAGGGAGAGGTTAGAACAGGACACGTTCAGACACACAAGGACCCAAAAGGCTTACCTGCAATGACTCCGTTCTCGGGAAACCTCTAGAGAATGCCCCCCTTTAAAAGGAGGGGTAACCCAAGAAAGAGTCACTGGGCACAGAAAACAAGCACCCCCGCATGGAAAGGCAGCTGAGGGTGGTCCCTAGATGAGGCACAGGCAGATGCTGGGATGACAGGTGCGCTCTGGACACAGGGCGCAGGTAGGAAAGTGCCTGGAGAGACTGACCATTTCAGGAAGATGAACCTAGCAGTGCCTGGTACATTGGAATGTCTCGAGAGGACCTTGAGACAACTGGTGAAAAGTTTGGAGTTGAATTGGTGATAAGCACACAGAAAATTAAACCATAAAAAGACAATTATTAACTTCAAGGATAACAAAAATTTGAGTAGAGAAGGAAAACTAGTCATGATATTTACTATATTTTTTAACTGATCTAAAGTATTTCCATGGCTTAATGACATATGGTGGCTATGAATCTAACCAAAATTATATCATAATTCCATAGGGATGAAAGAGTGTAGGAAGGTGTATAGCAGATGCACCTGACAGCAATAACTCAAGCACACCCTGAGAGTGACCCTGTGTGTGTTCTGCATTCTGAGCTAAGGAATCTTGGAGTGGCCAACCTGAAAATTCCCTCCTTATCTATAAATGGCATCTGAACCCCTGGTCCGTTCCTTTGAACACAGGTTGTACAAGGAATCGAGAAGCCCTTTGTTTTGGGTTAAATGAAGGTTGCTAGGTGGAGGTTGCTAAGTGAAAATGCTACATAAACTGCACGCTTTTTACAAACAGTAGCAGTTCTCCTGTCCAGCTGCCACTCCTGAACTGTCCTGTAGGTAAGCCCTCAATAAACCCTACGTTTCGTTCACTGGATCCGGGTCTCTTCTTTGGCCTCCTGGACACGGTGTGGTACCATCCCTTAGAGACAACAGGGGTTCGGCCTGACTGAAGGATTCACATGTGTAGGGGTAGCAGAGGGTGGAAAATGAGCTTAATTTCCACCTTCCAGAATGAGAAGTCAGTGATGGGGTCCACACTGAAAAATTAAAAAGTGATTATGCAGCCGGGCGGGTGGCTCATATCCCAACACTTTGGGAGGTGGAGGTGGGTGGGTCACCTGAGGTCAGGAGTTTGAGACCAGCCTGGCCAACATGGTGAAACCCCATCTCTACTAAAAATACAAAAAAAATTAGCCAGGCGTGGTGGTGGGCGCCTGTAATCCCAGCTACTTGAACGTTGAGGCAGGAGAATCGTTTGAATCCAGGAGGCAGAGGTTGCAGTGAGCCAAGATCGCGCCATTAAACTCCAGCCTGGGTGACAAGAGCGAGACTCCGTCTAAAAAAAAAAAAAAAAAAGTAATTATGCAAGCCTGTCTTCTAGAGATAGACAGGCATCCCGATAATCAGCTAAAAACACTTTGGGAGGCCGAGGTGGACGGATCTCTTGAGCTCAGGAGTTCAAGACCAGCCTGGGCAACATGGCAAGACGACCATCTCTACTAAAAATACAAAAATAAATTCGCTGGGAGTGGTCGCGCATGCCAGTGGTCCCGGCTACTTGGGGGACTGAGGCAGGAGGGTCGCTTGAGTCTGGAAGGTCGAGGCTGCAGTGAGCTGTGTTCAAAGCGAGACCCTGTCTTAAAAAAAACCAAACAACAAAAAAATCAGTAAGCAAAGTGAAAGAGGCTACTTCAAGGAGGGAAATAGGGAGCAGGGGCAGGAACTGCTGTTGTGTTTCTACAAGACACCTTCTAGAGCTATTCTCTTTAATATATGTGCATAAAACACAAAGGAAAAGGAGAAAAGAGGGTGGTGGCCCTCACTTCTGTCTTTGCTCCGTGAGAACAGTTGCATTCCTACATGGAAAGCTCTTGGGGAACCCGAGGGGCACGGGCAGATTGACTGGAGTCCAACTTCAGAGCCGGAGTCTCTGGCATACAAGCTTTCTAGTGGCAGCCAACAGCGCGGAGGCCCACGACCAGTGAGAATGAAGCCCCTGAGCCTGGCCCCGCAGCGCCAGCCCCTGACCAAGCTAAGCATACGAGGCCACTCAGCACAGGACGTGTAGGTTCTGTCCCAGTGATGGAAACTGCATGGTTCCAGTCTCTCTTCCCGGGGAAGGGGGCACCACGCAGTCCGGCGAAGTGCAATTCCCCCCACCCTGCCCACCCCAGCCCCGAGCACCGGCTTGGCACCCACTGGGTGCTCTGAACATTGGCAAATGCATGTCATGGACAAAACACTGAGCTCTCAAATTTGGTATGTGTGGCCGGGCACGGTGGCTCACACCTGTAATCCCAGCACTTTGGGAGGCTAAGGCAGGTGGATCACCTGAGGTCAGGAGTTCAAGACCAGCCTGGCCAACATGGTGAAACCCCGTCTCTACTCAAATTACCAACAAAATTAACTGAGCGTGGTGCCAGGCACCTGTAGTCCCAGCTATTCAAGAGGCTGAGGCAGGAGAATCGCTTGAACCAGGGAGGCGGAGGTTGCAGTGAGCTGAGATAGTGCCATTGCACTCCAGCCTGCGCAACAGAGTAAGACTCCGTCTCAAAAGAAAAAATAATAAAATAAAATTGGTATGTGTGTCTTTTTCCTCTGGTCCTCACATCTTCCATGTAAAGGAGATGGATTTTTTTTTCATATTCCTTTCTTCAGACAAGATAAAGGGGTGTTTTTATTTTTTTCAAAGCCAATATTGAGAGTCCAGAAGATGAAACAATGTCCCAAGGTTGTAGGGCTCCTGCTTGTGGAGGTGAGATGTTCTCAAACTCACTGTGCTGGCCCTCACCTGACCACAGCAAGCCCGGCTTCCTTTCACGTCACCTTTCATTCCTGCTTCTCGGAGGCCTCACAGAAGCCGCCCACGGAGAGGCAGGGGTGGGAGGCCACGGAGCACTCGAAGACTTGGGCAGCGCTGGCACAGGACAGTGCAGTGAAATGGGACACACGGACCTGAAATGGGATGACCAGCGTGCCAGCCTTTGTCCCTGCAGTGGCTGCACACAACGATTCACCTTCGTGACTGTTTCAGAAAGCAATTTAGGAAAGCCTGCGAGAAACTGGGTCAATGTGCAGGCCTGAGTGATGACAGGCCCAGGTTTTCCTTGGGAGAAAATTCTCCTGCAGGGACCCAGCTGACGAGGGGTCCAGGGTAAGCATGAATCTACGCGGATCAAGCCCTCAGCAGGATTAGGCTTGTCACTCACACAATCTGTAGGTGTATTTGTGGGATGAGGAGACCTGGAAACTGAGGCTCAGACATGCCAAGTTACCTGCCTAGGAAGTGGACAGCGCCCAAGCTTCTTCCACCAGAGCACAAGGACCAACCCAAGCGGGGTTCCTGGGAGTCAGAGCTTCCGAAGGTGGCTTGTCCTGGACTCTCATCTGCAGCATACCCAAGACTAAAAAATGAGCTGATTCAAGGGAGGGTGTTAGCCGGGTGGCGGGCCCGCGGGGAGCCCGGTATTTTTAGCCATTTTGTCATACAGACCAGGATGGAGAGATGAGAAACCGCAGGGACTGGCACAGGCCTCAGGATGAACTCACGAGGCCCAAAATAGGAGGAGCCCAGCCTCCTGATGCCTGTCCAGGCCTCTGTGCTGAGTCAACCACAGAAGTGCCAGTTGCTTTCTTGCTTTCTTTTTTTCTGGGGCCCCAAATCTCTTTTAGAAGGTATTAAATCAAAGAGAGATTGAGCTAGAAGGAAACTTAAAAGATTTTAGTGTCTAAGCCCTTTCTTTGACAAATGAGGCTAAAAGAGGGGGAGTTTCCTGTAAAGTACTGGCAGGACCCTCACCCTAGGCCCCTTGACCACACCCTGTCTCTGCACCATCGCAGGGCAGAGGGCCGAGGTGGAGTGTGGAGGGCGTGGCCCCGCCGTTAGAAAGCCCTGGGCGTGGATTCCGTCTCGTTGCTCACAAGCTTGGCAGCTTCCAACTACCGCTTTGCTTTCTCTGTGATGCTCATTTCTCAAATCGGGATATTGCGGATTTTTGAGAGATTCCAAGGGGACAACATACAAACATGACTTCTCGTCCTCTTCCTGTTCCACCAACTTCAGGGAATTGGGAGGAAGGAGATCTAACAAGCTGCTGTAGGAGTCCCCGGTAGAACCCTTCCAGCAGCCATTCCCTCCCTCCTCCCCCCAGGAGAACCTGATTGTGTCCAGCATCCTCTCCCCCTGGCCAAGTGCTTCGGGAGGTGGTCAGCGCCCAGCACCAGGGTGCGAGTAAGACGATCCTCAGCCACTTGCCGGCCAATCAGAAATGAAAGGGAATCTGCTGGGGCAAATGGTCCCCGGACGTTGTCATGCATATGTGACATCTGGGCCTAGGGCAGCTTTGCCAGGAAGGGCCTCAACCTGAGGGCTAAGGACAGCAGAGAAGAAAAAAGTAAAGAACTGGAGTCCATGGCTCTGGACTGCTTGTCACGTGAGATCACAGATTGCTCACCCTCTAAGCCATTCCCCTTGGAGGCTTTTGATATTCGAAGCCCACCCAGATCATTCTCACTGCAATGGATGAGTCTGAACAGAAGTACAGTTTTATTTTTAATGCCAAGGCTAACTCAGGACTGAACTCTCCTTGAGGCCCTTTCAAAAGATGGTGCAATTTCATTAATCCAGCAGTCTCCTTGGTCATGCAAAGTTCCTGACCATCCTGGTGCTCCCGATGTGCCTGTGTGTTCGTCTGTGTTGCACTTGGATCCCGAAGTCAGGTGTCCCAGTGATGTCAAAAGAAACTGTGAGGCCAGGCACAGTGCTCATGCCTGTAATCCCAGCACTTTGGGAGGCCAAGGCAGGCAGATCACCTGAGGTCAGGAGTTCGAGACCAGTCTGGCCAACATGGTAAAACCCCACCTCTACTAAAAATACAAAAATTAGCGGGGTGTAGTGGTGAGCACCTGTAGTCCCAGCTACTTGGGAGGCTGAGACAGAATTGCTTGAACCCAGGAGGCGGAGGTTGCAGTGAGCTGAGATCACACCACTGCACTCCAGCCTGGGCAACAGAGCCAGACTCCATCTCAAAAAAAAAAAAAAAAAAAAAAAAGAAGAAGAAAAATTGGAGGGACTGTTTGTTCACTGCCTCCTGAGAGCTTCACGTGACCTCTGGGGGCACACCACCAGAGTCTGTGTCCCACCCTCCCTCGTGGGTCAGGTCTGGCTGTGGGGAGCCTGCATTTGTCCCTCCCAGTGGCAGCCAGGCCTGGGCTTTCTCCTCAAACTGTCTCCCTGCCCCTTGGCCCTTTCACACTGAACCACAGAGTTTAATCTGGAAGAGGGGCTAGAGAGAGGGACTGTGAAGATGGTGGCCAAGCCAGGTGAGGCAATGGTGGGAGGGAGGGAGATGGGTGACAAGATTCAATTCCTGAACTGTCAAAGGTGAGGTCTCTGCTGGTCTCAGGACTCCATTCTCGGCTCTAAAGACCCAGGCAAGCAGATGTCATTTGAAGGCCAGAAATTTGGGAAGACATAAAATCAATATTTATTGAGCAACTACTGTGTTCCAGGAACCATCCTTTATGAATGAGGTTGCTATGCTATCCCCATTTTACAGGTGATGAGACTGAGGCTCAGAGGGTGGAGAGCACCAAATCGAGCATCAAATCCAGGTCAGAAATCTGGTGGGTTTAGCTCCGAAGCCTGTGCTTTCCACAGCACCGACTGCCCTCAGGCGTCACATTAAGGACGCACAGAGTAAACTGGACTCATGACAGCTTTCATGTGAGAGCGATCTCACTGCACTTGGCTTTTTAGTAAGAGGCAAAAGATTTATATGATCTGAAGAGAAACCTTTTTTAGGAAAATTAAGCACGATGGGTTCCATGTGCCTCCCTACTGGGAAGAGCGAGGCTGCTGGCTGCAGTGGGTGGGTGGCTCTTTTCCTGGACGGGTCCTGCTTCTCATCACTCTGCTAGGCTAGGGGGAGCCCCAGGCTCTGCTACCTCCACTCCCGCCATCACTAGCTGGTCCCCACCACCAACCCAGGAAGGGAAGCTTATTGGAATAGCACAGTATGTCTGTGTATGCAAGTGGTTTTGTGTGTGTGTGTGTGTGTCTGTGTGTAGCTAAAACTCAAGTCTTGGTTGAGGAGGGAGTGAAACTAAAAGGTCTGTATATTTATTTGACTAGGCCCAAGTGGGGATGTGTACGTGGGTGTGTGTGTGCTGGTGTGTGTGTAACCTAATGTTGTTTGTGTCCATGAGGCTGAATTTCAACTCAGGATCCTGCATCCCAGCTCCTTCTGGCCAGCATGAGGAGGCTGGCGTAACTGGGGAGGAATCTGCTAGGACTCGCTGTGAAGCTACACTGGTTTCCTCTCAGATGGATCTGGACTGGTCTGGATGAGCCACAGATTCTGAATCCCCCAGGGGCCGCATTTCCTTCCTATAATCCCTTTCTGTTGTTAGACCGCGCGAGTGAAATCAGATTGAGGCTGATTTGCAGGAAGCACCTGAAACAAAATATTCCGAGGTTGCCTCAGGACCTGCCTGGGGTCCTGGGGTGTCAGGGCCACAGAGTCCACAAAGGAGCCAAAGGGACTAAGCTGCACTCTTCCTGCCTGGGGCCAAGGCCTGAGCACCCCCTTCTCACACTGCCTCCCCACTGCCCTCCACCAGGAAAGACCTCACCAACAGGAGCTCAAGGAGCGTGAACACCAAGGGGGCACACAGCATTTATTTTTCCTGTCCCTCTCAGTTGTCGTTTGTGAAGGAACACTGGAGCCAGTGCTTCCCCACTCTTGCCCTCGCTTTTGTTTTTTGTTTTTTTGGAGACGGAGTTTCACTCTTGTTGCCCAGACTGGAGTGTAATGGCATGATCTTGGCTCACCACAACCTCAGCCTCAGCCTCCCGGGTTCAAGCAATTCTCCTGCCTCAGCCTCCCGGGTTCAAGCAATTCTCCTGCCTCAGCCTCCTGAGTAGCTGGGATTACAGGCATGCGCCACCACACCTGGCTAATTTTGTATGTTTAGTAGAGACGGGGGTTTCTCCATGTTGGTCAGGCTGGTCTCGAACTCCCGACCTCAAGTGATCCACCCACCTTGGCCTCCCAAAGTGCTGGGATTACAGGTGTGAGCCACCGTGCCCAGCCTTGCCCTCGCTCTTAATGACCCCCAAGCTCTATCTATAACAGGGACGAAGAAGTCCATCTTGTTAACAAAAGTTTGAGCCTCCATCTCCTTCCCAGAAACCCCCCTACCTTCCCCTTCTCAGGCCTAGGAAGGCCTCGCGGCAAGTGGAAGGGGTACTCCTCTGAGTGTTGGGGCCTCTGTCCCTCATCAGCAGCATCTCTGGCCAGCCAGTCAGCTTCCTAAGTCCTTGTTCTTCATTTGTGAGCAGAGCTAAGGTTTACTCCTAGCTCGCTAGATGCAGCCTCTCATGCCTGCAATCCCAGTGTTTTGAGAGGCCAAGGCGGGAGGATCGCTTGAGGCCAGTTCAAGACTAGCCTGGGCAATTTGACGAGACGCCCTCTACAAAAAATCGAAAAAACTCCGTGGTGGTTCATGCCTGTAGTCCTAGCTACTGAGGAGCATCACTTGAGCCCAGGAGTTCAAGGGTGCAGTGAGCTATGATCATACCACTGCAGTCCTCCTGCCGTAGACCCTGTCTCTAAAAATAAAAATAAAATGAAAAAAAAAAAAAAAAAGAATGTGGATCCAACTCCTGGGAAGTAGAAGCTGTTGGCGTTAGAACTTTGCCCACCTTTTCTCTATCATGTATGTAAAACATCTTTTTCTTTCATTATCTGCACATATTTTATTCTGGTTATTATTTACATATCTTTTTCCATTATGTACTTGCAACGTTCCTGAATCCTTTTATTTAAGATGTAAATAGCATACAGTGGGTTTAAAAAAAACAAATAGTTTCACGATTTTTGTCTTTTGTAACAAGATTATCTAGGCCGGGCACAGTGGATCGTGCCTGTAATCCCAGCACTTTGGGAGGCCAAGGTGGGCGGATCCCTTGAGGTCGGGAGTTTGAGACCAGCCTGGTCAACATGGAAACCCCGTCTCCACTAAAAATACAAAAATTAGCTGGCTTGATTGTGCATGCTTGTAATCCCAGCTACTCAGGAGGCTGAGGCAGAAGAATCATTTGAACCCAGGAGGTGGAGCTTGCAGTGAGCCGAGATCGTGCCATCGCACCCCAGCCTGAGCGGCAGAGCAAGACTCTATCTCAAAAAAACCAAACAAACAAAAAAAGACAAGATTATCTAATCTATTTACATTTTACATAATTTCTGATATATTTCTATTTAAATATACCATTTTTGTGATAATGGTATTTTAGTATTATAATTTTAAAGTCTTTAATAAAAATACACTCTACAATGTTTATGAATAAAATAACATGATGTCTGAGATTTGTTTTAAAATACTTTAGGAAAAAGTGTGAAAGATAAATGAAACTAGACTGTTAAGTATTAGAATAATGGATGCATAAGGTTCATTATACTATTCTGTATATTTTGTTTTTATTTATTTAGAGACAGGGTCTCAATCTGTTGCCCACGCTGAAATGCAGTGTTACGGTCATAGCTCACGGCAACCTCGAGCTGCTGGGATCAAGCAATCCTCCTGCCTCAGGCTCCAAAGTAGCTAGACTACAGGCCTATACCACCATACCTGGCTAATTTTGATTTAATTTAATTTTTTTTTTCAGAGACAAGGTTTTACAGTGTTGCCCAGGCTAGTCTCAAACTCCTGGGCTTCAGCAATCTTCCTACCTCAATCTTCCAAAATGTCCGGATTACTGGTGTGAGGTACCATGCCTGGCCTATTTTTGTGGTACTTAATTTCCTGTAATAAAAAGTGTTTTTTAATCTGCCTTTTTTTTTTTTTTTTAAAGAAATGGAGTGTTGCTATATTACCCAGGCCGGAGTGCAGTTGCTATTCACACGCACAGTCATGGCACATGCTATAGCCTGGAACTCTTGGGCTCAAGGGATCCTCCTGCCTCAGCCATTAAGTAGTACATACTACAGGTGTATGCCACCGCACCTGGCCACCTGGCTCTCTATCTTTATACTTTCTAGTTGTCCTGCCTATTTTATGTTTCTTTTTCTCTCATATCTAGCCTTCTCTTAGATTGATTATTTTTTAGCATTCTACTTTTCCCTTTTATTCATTTGGAAGTTACATACACTGTTTCCATTTATTCAGAGTTTACTGTTGAAATTGCAACATGCATTCTTAGCTTAACCAAGTCTAACATTAATCAATATTTTAGCCCTCCCCTCTCCATTTAACTGCATTTATTCCTCCCTCAACTTATCTGCAACTGTTTTCATGTATTTTAATTCTATTTTTAAGCCCTTCAGGACATTATGATCATTGCCTAGTGTAGTCTGTGTTCATTTAGATTTATTCACACATTCACCAGTTTCTTTGTTCCTCATTTCCTTTTGTACCACAGACTTTCCAACTGGAATTATCCTTTTTCTAACTGAAGTACATCCTTTAGAATTTAAGTCTTTGTGTGACAAACTCTCTCAACTGTCCTTGTATGAAACTGTCTTTATTTCTGAAAGACGTTTGTGTGGAGTGTGGGAGTCTAAGTTAGCAATTATTGCCAGCCCGTTGAATTGTTATCTTGGGCTTCTAGAGTTGCTTTGAGAAGTCAGCTCTCAGTCCCTCTGGCTCGTGTGCATTTTTCTCTCTAGCTACTTCCCAGGTTATCACTTTCTGGTGGTTTTTCTGAAGTTTCACGGTGACGTATTGCAGTGTAGATTTCATTTTATTTATCCAGTTTAGGATTCACTGTGATTCTTTAATTTGCGGATCGATGCCTTTTATTAGTTCCACAAAATTCTCAGCCATGATCTCCTCAAATATCACCTCTGCCACATTGTCTTTCTCTTCTCTTTCTAGGCTTTCAGCCTATATTGGGCTTTTTCGCTCTATATCTCTTGCCTTGTCACTGGAATCTTCCATCTTTTTGTCTTTCCATGCTGCACTCCGGAAACGTTTTTCTAACCTATTTTACAATTCACTAATATATCTCTTCTGCTATGTACAAACTGCTATGAAATCCGTCCTTTTGGTTTTTATTTCAATTATTGCATTTTATTATTTCTACAAGTTCTATGAGGTTCTTTCTCAAATTTTCTATGTGACTTCTGAAAGATTCCTATTGCCTAAAGAATCTTCAAGCCTGCATTTGATTTTGTTAGTCACTATAGCTTCTAATACTCTGGTTCTTGCCTATTTTCTGTGAGAGCCTAATTGTCTGTGACAGGTCTGCTCATTGTATTCAAAAGGAATAATTTGCCACCCATTGATAAAGACGCCTCCCCAAAGAGGATATATATTTGTTCCTTCTAGGCACCAGGTTCAAGGCTTGAGAGTTTCTGACCCAGGTGAGGCAGGAGAATACGGTCTGGAGGCAGGGAACCTAAGGCGGGTTCACACTGATTTCCCAGAACTGAATCAAAAGGAAAAACTCCTTTTTGTAACCCCTCTCCCCTTTTTCTGCCTCACAGATGAAAAATGAAAATACTTCTGACTGGTCCCTTCCTGCGACCAATGAGACTGGTCGTGGGCCTAGTCTTAATTTGCATAGGGGTATAACTTTGTAACTTCATTTCAGCTTCTGATTGGTCGCTTCCACGACCAATCAGACTGGTTGTGGGCCACTACTTCATTTACATAGGGTGTAAACCAAGTAACCAATGGGAAACCTCTAGAGGGTATTTAAACCCCAGAAAAGTCTATAACCCCCCACTCTTGCGTGCTGATTATTGGAGTGTTCTCGGTCTGTGGGGCGTACTTTTGTTTCAATAAATCTGTGCTTTTGTTGCTTCATTCTTTCATTGCTTTGTTTTTGCGTTTTGTCTAATTTTTTGTTCAAAATGCCAAGAACCTGGACAACTCGTAGTCAAGACTCTCCACTAGTAACACAGGGGTTTTTCCATTTACAGATTTTAATTCTATATTTCTCATCTTGAGAATCTTAGGTTCTAATTTTCTGGTTTTAGCAAATGACCTCAGAGAAAGAGCATTCTAATTCTGGCTTACTTCTCTGAACGAATGTTCCCTTCATTTTTGATGTGGTGGTTTCTTGGTGTCTTAATATTTCTTTAATGCTTTCATCAAGACACGTCTTACTCATATTTTTTAGTTTCTTTCAGTAGGAAGATTGTTCCAAATAGCCTGTCAACCATCCTGGAAATTAGAAGTGTTTTTGAATTTTAGACTCTAGATTATAAAATCCTCATATTAGAGCAGTGCTTCACAAACTTTAATGTGCATAAACATTACATTGGGATTTTTTTTTTTTTTTTGAGACAGTCTCACTCTGTAGCCCAGGCTGGAGTGCAGTGGCACCATCTCCACTCACCGTAACCTGCGCCTGTCAGGTTCAAGCAATTCTCTTCCCTCAGCCTCCGGAGTAGCTGGGATTACAGGCATGTGACACCACGCCCAGCTCATTTTTGTATTTTTTTTTTTTTTTTAGTTGAGATGGGGTTTCACCATGTTGGCTAGGCTGGTCTTGAACTCATGGCCTCAAGTGATCCACCTGCCTCGGCCTCCCAAAATGTTAGGATTACAGGCGTGAGCCACTGCGCCCGGCCAGTATCTTCTTAAAATGTGTATCCTGACTTAGCCTGGGGTAAGAAATCATGAATTTGCATCCTTAACAAGCTACAGATGCTGTTGGTCTTACTGCTTCATGGACCACTACTCTGCGTGGGAAAGCAATAAGGGACATTTTCCCAGAAAAATTGGGAATCTCTAAGTTTGTTAAACAGTGCTTCCGAGTTTCCTAAATAGGTGTTATAAAATTTAAGCACTTTACTCTCTTTTTTCCTTGTTTGAAGTCTATTGATTCAAATTTACACTTAATTTTAACAAATCTATTTACCTGATTTCCTAGAACACAAAAGAGTAGGAGTGTGTGTGTGTTTGTTGGGTAGAGGAGGGTCTGCCAGAGACAGGGACATAGATAATTGTCAGAGATATCTGGTCCCTGAATGACTCTTAAGCTACCTGTTCTGGCTAAAGCAGGGTCAAGTGTTACGACCAGCCTCCAGGTCTGACAATGCATTATCTGTAGCAATTGTTTTCAATTTTTTGGTCTCAGGACATCTTTACATTCTTAAAAAGTATCAAAAAATCCAAAGAGCTTTTAATTATGCAGGTTATATCTATCAATATTTACCATACTGGAAATTAAAATAGATAAAAGTTTTAAAACGTATGTTTATTAATGAATTGAAAATAATGCCAGGCATGGTGGCTCATGCCTGTAATCCCAGCACTTTGGGAGGGTGAGGCAGGCAGATCACCCGATCTCAGGAGTTTGAGACCAGACTGGAGAACATGGTGAAACCCCATCTCTACAAAAAATACAAAAATTAGCCAGGCATAGTGGTACCCACCTGTTGTCCCAGCTACTTGGGGAGGCTGGAGTGGGAGGATCATTTGAGCCCAAGAGGTGGAGGCCGCAGTTAGCAGCAATCACGCCACTGCACTCCAGCCTGGGTGAGAGAAAAAAAAGACGAAGAGGAAATAATGATTATCCACTACACATTAATATACCTTCTGAAATATAATTGTATTTTTCAAAACAAAAATAAATTTCCTGAGAAGAGTGGCACTGTTTTACAGTTGGAAAACCTGTACCTGCTTTTAAATTCAATCCATTGTGATATTTTGGTTTGTTTGCAGAATTTAAAGAATAGCTAGGCCGGGCACAGTGGCTCACCCCTGTCATCCCAGCACTTTGGGAGGCTGAGGCGGGCAGATCACCTGAGGTCAGGAGTTTGAGACCAGCCTGACCAATGTAGTGAAACCCCATCTCTACGACAAATACAAAAATAACTGGGTGTGGTGGCGGGCGCCTGTAGTCCTAGCTACTCGGGAGGCTGAGACAGGAGGATAGATTCAATCCAGGAGGCGGAGGTTGCAGTGAGCCGAGATTGTGCCACTGCACAAAGCAAGACTCCGTCTCAAAAAAAAAAAAAGGGTAGTTTCTTAGAGGTAGTTGCAGTGGAGAATCTGAGTTCCATCAATGAACTTTTTATGCTTGGTTACATTAAAATCCATTATTTTATCTGCTACTTTCAATGCATCTCTTACCCATGCATGATTTTGTAACATAATGCATTTGTTATTTGCAAAGTATTGGTTCACTGAGTGATATAGAGCGTCCAAATGTTGATATGTTTCATCATACAATATTAAAAAACAGGCCGGGCACGTTGGCGCACGCCTGTCATCCCAGCACTTTGGGAGGCCGAGGCGAGTGGATCACTTGAGGTCAGGAGTTCGAGATCAGCCTGGCCAACATAGTGAAACCCCATCTCTACCAAAAATATAAAAAATTGGCCAGCTGTGGTGGCACGCACCTATAATCCCAGCTACTTGAGAGGCTGAGGCAGGAGAATCGCTTAGACCCGGGAGGCGGAGGTTCCAGTGAGCTGAGATCACGCCACTGCACTCCAGCCTGGGCAACAAGAGTGAGACTCCATCTCAAAAAAAATAAAAAACAAAAACCACACTCATTCATCTTTACCCATGGCTCATCGTTGTTTAAGTACTGGGAGGCTTAGCTGAAGGTGGCAGATACAAATTTTCTAAATTCTAATTTTTCAGTTGAAAACTCAATTTGGTTTTTTTGCCAACAAATGCTGTCAGTTGTTTTCCTTGAAGCAACAGCCTCCTCGGTTGATTTTGTGGAAATGTTTGTCAAACATCTAAGTGGGAATAAGCAGCACTTGTTTGTCAGTTGTCCTTTGCAAGTAAAAACGACACTCCCTGAAAAACGCTGCTAGTTCAGCCTGCACCTGCGTGATGCAAGTGCTTTTCTTCAAATGTCGCATGTGATCACTTCCCAGTTCCTCGTGCAGAATATTAAAAGGACATGTACTCAAAGGTTGAGATTTTATAAAATTAGTAATTTCTACAGCTTCACCAAGGACATTCTTTCTGTTCTTTTTTTGAGTCTGTGTTTGCCAGGTGATGAGGAGCACAGTGACTGCTAGAGCAGCCTGGGGCCTCTGCCCCGATCCATGCCGAGGTGCCAGCAGTTTACACACCATCGCTTTTGTACTATCAGTGCAAAGGCCACCTCGGTGAACAGGGCACGACAGCTCAGTATTATTATATTATAGAGATAATTTTGACCTTGAGGACTCCTTGAAGGGTTTTGGATTCCGCTAGGGTTTCAAGGACCACCATTTGAAAGCCAGTCCAGCTAAGATTTTAAAACCCTACTAGGCCGGGTGCAGTGGCTCACACCTGTAATCCCAGCACTTTGGGAGGCTGAGGCGGGGGGATCACTTGAGCCCAGGAGTTTGTGACCAGCCTAGGTAATATAATGAGGCTCTGTCTCTACAAAAAAATTTAAAAATTAGCCAGGCGTGGTGGCACGTGCCTGTGTGCCTAGCTACTTGAGAGGCTAGGTGGGAGGATTGCTAGAACCTGGGAAGTTGAGACTACAGTGAGTCGTGATCACGCCACTGCACTCCAGCCTGGGTGACAGAGTGAGACCCTGTCTCAAAACAATAATAAATAAATAAATAAATCTTACTATAAGATATTTCATAACCCTTGGAAACAAGGAAGTGGAGCTGTATATCCTCACGTGGAACTTTTTCTAAGTCAAATTTAATATGTAAAAGTAAAAATTTAAACAAGCAAGTAATGGGACAATAGTATTTTATGTACTATGACATCACATTTGTGTTTGTGTTTGTGTATGTGTATGTGTGTGATGTATAACATACTGTTAGTAATTTCTTTTGGGGAGCTTCAAGGTTTTGTTGTTTTGTTTTTTGGGTTTTTTTGAGACAGAATCTTGCTGTCGCCCAGGCTGGAGTGCAATGGCGCGATCTCGGTTCACTGCAACCTCCACTTCCCAGGTTCAAGCGATTCTCCTCCTCAGCCTCCCGAGTAGCTGGGATTACAGGCACCACGCCTGTGCCACCACACCTGGCTAATTTTTGTATTTTTAGTAGGGGCGGGGTTTCACCATGTTGGTGAGGCTGGTCTCCAACTCCTGACCTCAGGTGATCCTCCCGCCTTGGCCTCCCAGAGTGCTGGGATTACAGTCGTGAGCCACCGTGCCCGGCCTCAAGTTTTTACTTTATATGTCTGTATCCATCTACTAGAATAATGTATTCATATGTTGTTTCATTCAATGACTCAACAATTTTTAAAAATGAAACAAAGAGAGAGGAAAGAGCCCATTCTCTCAGCTTAATGGCTCCTTCCTTCAGGCCTGGGCCCATGGCAGGCAGAGGAGGAAGCCATCACCACATTTGTTTCCTGGGGAGGGACTGGGGAGGGAGTGTGGGCACTGAACCGGTCTCTGAGGAGTGTGGCTTGGGGAGCCTTGAAGAGATCAGGCAAATGCACACGTTCTGCCGCCAAGGCTTTTACCAAACAGCCCAGTTTTCTCCCTAGGTGGGAGCAGAAGAAGAAGGGAATGCTTTTACTTCTTTTTGTTTATATTTGTAGCAATCTGCAATAAAGGAGGTGAAATAACTGCTTTTTTTTTTTTTTTGAGACAGCTTGCTCTGTCACCCAGCTTAGAGCACAGTGGTGCAATCACGGCTCACTGTAGCTGTGACATTGCAGGCTAAAGTATTCCTCACACCTCAGCCTCCTGCGTAGCTGGGACCATGGGCACGTGCCACCACGCGCAGCTAATTTTTTACACAACTTTTTGTAAAGACGGGTTCTCACTGTGTTGCCCAGGCTGGTCTCAAACTTCTGGGCTCAAGTGATCCTCCCACCTTGGCCTCCCAAAGTGCTGGGATTACAGGTGTGAGCCACCATGCCTGGCCTGAAGTAACTTCTACCTCAGGATGGCTGTGGTGGCTGAGGGTAGGCTGGGAAGGGCTGGGCCTGAACTACTGTCTGTGGGAGAAAGGTCTTGGGGGCAGGCCTGTGGCTGGAAGGAATTATAGTGCAGCAGATGGAGCTGAGGCCTGCAGGAGCCTCAGGGAGAGAGGGTTGAACTGCTGGCCCTCCTCCTTCAAGGTTAGGAGATCTCAGGCAACTGGCTTCCTCTCCCTGACTCTTGGCTTCCTGGTTTGTAAAAGGGGATATAACACAACTCGCAAAATATTGTTGGTGAACAGTAAAGGAAATAATGTGCAGGGGATCAAGCAGAGTCTAGCACATAGCACTCATTCAATGGGAGTATGATCCTAAGAATAAGTGTTAATCAGGCAAAATGTAGGGGAAGATGCTATGGACTGAACGCCTGTGTCCCCCCAAAAATCCATATGTTGAAAACTGTTCTGTGGCAGGCAGATCTATGCAAACCTACCCCTAAAGGCAAGGGGAGCTGAGAGGCCAAAGAAAGAGGCTGACAAAATCCAGTTTCTCAGAAAGAAACATCTAATAGAGGCTTAGGAACAGAAGGCATGTCTTGGGCAAGATGGTGGATCTCCAAGTCCTTATCATCTCCCAGACCCAGGGCCTATGTACCATAAAGAAAGGATATATGTGCTTCAGAAAGAGTTTGCCTGTGTGGAGGATTTACAGTAAACAGTAGATAAAGCAGAAATCTTAGAGGCATTCCTGGAACTGGAATTAATCAGAAGTCAACATGGCAGACTAGCATCCAAGATGGAGTTGCTTCAGCGCCTACAAAACCTAATCTCCAATGTGATGGCATTAGGTGGAGAGTCCTATGGGAGATGATTAGGTCATGAGGGCAGAACCCTCAAGAATGAGATTAATGCCCTTATAAAAGAGGCCCCAGAGAGGTGCCTTCCCCTTTCTACCATGTGAGGACACGTCTATGAATCAGAAAGCAGGTCCTCACCAAACACCAAATCTACCTTGACCTTGGACTTCCCAGACCCCAGATCTGTGAGAAATGAATTTCTGTTGTGTATAAGCCACCCAGTTAATGGCCTTGTATTACAGCAGATAATACAGCAGATAGACTAAGACAGAAGGGTCCCACTGGGGTACTGTCACTGACATGCCACTTTGCGGGAGGCCAGCAAGAAGAGTGGCAGGGACTGGGGCTCCAGGAACAAGTGTGTGGTTCAGACACAGAATTATAGCACCTGTGGAGGTGGAAAGGTGAGAGCTGGAGTGTCCCAGAGCATGAGGCAGGTCAGCAGGAAAGAGCCCAGGCCCAGGCCCAGGAAATGAGGCAGGGTCCTATGACCCAAGCAAGAGAACTCGGCAGGCAGCCTATCGTGGGCTTGTGGCAGGCAGGGCTGGACAGACCTGTGCAGGCACCCACATGTTCTCTCAGCCTGAAGGCAGGAATGCTGCCCCTCTTCCCCAAGTTCCATGCACTCAGTCCAGGGCCTGAAGGAATGGATGAAGGACCCCACGAGGTTGCAGTCCCACCACATGCTACAGCCAGGGTGTTGGGCACAACTTTTAGGACTCTTTCAGCCTCGGATCTGATGGGTCCTATGGACTGGGCTGGGCTGTGCCTCCTGTCATGTGCAGTGTCTTAGTCTGTTCCAGCTGCTATAACAAAATATCATAGGCTTGTAAACAATAGAAATTTTGTCCTCACAGTTCTAGAACCTGGGAAGTCCAAGATTAAGGTGCTGGTAGACTCAGTGCCTGGAGAGGACCCACTTCCTGGTTCATAGACAGCTATCTTCTCATTGTGTTCTCACATGGTGGAAGGGGCAAGGCAGCTCTCTGGGGTCTCTTCTCTAAGGGCACTAATCACATCGTGAGGGTGTGGTCTCATGATGTAATCACCTACTAAAGGCCCCACCTCCAAGTACCATCATTTCAGCAGTTAGATTTCAACATATGAATTTTGGGGGAAACACAGACTTTCAGGCCATAGATGGAGGAAGGCCTGGAAGCAGGCACTGGGATGGGCTTGGTTTTCAGGGTGTCTTACGTCTGCGTGGGCCTGAGACATGGGAGCTGGGCTTTGAGGCATGGGTGTGATATGGTCTGACTCTGTATCCCCACCCAAATCTCATCTTGAATTGTAATCCTAATTGTAATCTCCACATATTGGGGGAGGTGATTAGATCATAGGGCGGTCCCCCCGTGCTGTCCTCGTGACAGTGAATGAGTTTTCATAAGATCTGAGGTTTTATAGGGGGCTTTTCTCGCTTTTGCTCTGCACTTCTCTCTCCTGCCGCCATGTGAAGGAGGACGTGTTTGCTTCCCCTTTCCTCGTGATTGTAAATTTCCTGAGGCCTTCGCAGCCATGTGAAACTGTGAGTCAATTAAACCTCGTTCCTTTATAAATTACCTAGTCTTGGGCATTCCTTACAACAGCATGAGAACGAACTAATACAGGTGGTGCTTGGCAGAACTCAAGAACTTAGTAGAATATCAGCCTACTGAGAAGTCCAAATCACAAATCCTGCTTTCAATTTCAGTGAGGAAGTAATATTACCTAACATAAAATAATAATAAAAATAATATGACTGTGTATATTCTAAAATATGGTACAATTAATGAGAGCTATAGGAATTTGTTTATTCTTTTATTTACTCGTATCTTTTAATGAGCGTATCTGCTCAGAAGCCAGGACAAGATTGTTAAATGTGACTACTAAATTTATATTTAAAACTTTTATGAGGCAAAAATAAATAAATAAGAAATAAGAAGAAATAATATACAACAAACTGGGGGGGAAGAGATTTTATACATATATATATATATATATATATATATATATATATGTATGTATGTATACAGGCTAATTTCATTAAAATCTAAAGGACCTAGGCAAATCAATATGAAAGCGAAAAATACCAAATAGGACAATGAGCAAAGGATATTGTAACTAAGTAGTTCACTGAAAAAGAAATACAAATGACCAATGATAACATTTTAAAAATACAACTTTTCTCAAATTAGTGCCAGTCAGAAGAGTGAATTGTATTCTTCAGACTAGTAAAAATTACAAAGGTGACTACATTGTGTTGGCAAGAGTTTCTGGAAAAAGACTCCTGCCCTGTGCTTGGAGTTTGATTTGTTGCCACCTTTTCGGAGACCTTTGACAAATTCTAAATGCCCTTTCTATGTCCTACCAATTTCATTTCTAGAAATTTGTCCTATACCCATGTACAAAAGCAAATAGGTGCATATAAAAAGAGATTATAACAGCCAGGTGCGGTGGCTCAGGCCTGTAATCCCAGCACTTTGGGAGGCTGAGGTGGGTGGATCACCTGAGGGCAGGAGTTTGAGACCAGCCTGGCCAACATGGTGAAACCCTGTCTCTACTAAAAATACAAAAATTAGCTAGGCGTGATGGCAGGCAGCTGTAATCAATCCCAGCTACTCGGGAGGCTGAGGCAGGAGAATTGTTTGAACCCGGGAGGTGAAGGTTGCAGTGAGCTGAGATAGAGCCACTGCACTCCAATCTGGGCAACAGAGTGAGACCCTGTCTCCAAAAAAAAAAAAAGAAAAAAAAAGAGAGATAGAGAGAGAGGGGATGCGGATACAGCACTGTCTAAAATAGAAAAAAAGCAATTTAAAATGTGAGATTGTTTAAATAGACTTTTCTAGACTTCTATTATGGTATATTATGCATCGATAGATTAATGTAGATCTATACATGTTGCCATGGAAAGTTTTAAAAGCTATATTGCTGGCCAGGCCAGGCATGGTGGCTCACACTTGTAATCCCAGCACTTTGGGAGGCCGAAGCAGGAGGATCACTTAAGGTCAGGAGTTCAAGACCAGCCTGGCCAACATGGTTAAACCCCATCTCTACTAAAAATACAAAAAATTAGAGAGGCATGGTGGTGGACAACTGTAATCCCAGCTACTCAGGAGGCTGAGGCAGGAGAATCGCTTGAACCCAGGAAGCAGAGGTTGCACTGTACCTCTGCACTCTAGCCTGGGCAACAGAGGGAGACTCCATCTCAAAAAAATAAAATAAAGCTCAATTGCTGGACAGGCATGGTGGCTCACCTATAATCCCAACTACTCAGGAGGCTGAGGTGGGAGGATCACTCAAAGCCAGGAGCTCAAGGCTATAGTGAGCTATGATTGCACCACTGCACTTCAGCCTGAGTGATAAAGCAAGACTCTGCCTCTTAAAAAAAAAAAAAAAGATACATTGCTAAAGTGAAAAGGGCAAGCATGGGACAGCGTGGCTTATATGGTCCTGTGCATATGCTTATGTGCTCGGTGCCTGAGTGCACATGTAGTATGGTCATTCAGGCGTAGTCAATATCTAGAAGACTGCTTTCCTCGTGTATGTGGATGCCTCTGAAGAATGAGATTGAGAAGTGGCAGGAAACTTTTATTCATTTTTTGCCTTAGACCCTTCTGCAATGTTGGAATTACTTTTAAACCAGTTTAAAATTGTTACTGAGCATCTAATCCATACCTAGTGTCGTGTTGTGCCCTGCAAGTACAAAGATAAAATTCACATTCACTGGCCTCCAGCAGACCCCACGTCACGAGGACAGAAGTGTAGAAGAATAGGTCAGGCACAACATGTTAAATGTGACAGTGCAAGCTCGGTTTTCAGGGACGGGAGGCAGGGTCCGGCACCACTTTTTGGAGGAGCTGATATGTGAGCTCTGAAGGCTCTACTGAGCCATTGAGGCAGAGGGCAGGTGGAGGACCCCAGGCTAAAAGAAGAACTGGCACCAGGGTGCAGAGCCCCACAAGCAGGTCGCTTGGGGGTCCCCAGGTAGTTTGCCATGGCTGACATGTGGTGACTGTGGGCATGCGGTGAGAGGCAGGTCTGTAGACAGGGGCAGAGCACATAGGGCTCTGGGGTCCTCCTGTCTTCCTGCAGGAGTGGGCAGTCATTTGTGGCTGCAGTCAAAGTGGTGGCTTCTTGGAAAAGAAGAAGCTTCTGGCAGCTTCTGGCACCTTCTAGGATTGTTTGTGCAGGATCTCAAATTCTCTCTCTTTCTTGGTTGGCTTTTAACAAATCTTCCTGTGATGGGGAGTGTGTGAACGGCTGGAGAGCAGAGGAGCTGGAAGCTGAGACCAGGTCATCTGAATCACTCCTTTGTAGAGGGTGCATGTTTTCCCGACAGACTCCTCTCTGTTGTAAGTGAAAATTGCTGAGGGAGTGCGCTCCTGGGTGTGCTATAACAATCCCCTCGGGGTCCTGGCTGTGAAGATGCACTGTGCTGCTTCTCACAGCTATCCGGGAAGCCAGAGCTGTGCAGTTTCCCAAGGCCCCGCCCTGCGACCTCCCCGCCATAGAGTAAGGATGGGGACAGAAGAGACAGCAACACGTTTGCAAATCTGTGATTCTTGTTTCTTAATTTCCGTCTGTGTTTATAACCAAGCTCACTGAAGGAATAGATCAAGGATGATGTCAGCAAGCCTGGGGAGTTTGACTACTTAGTCATCCTCAAGGAAATGGGGCATTTGGTTAATTGAATTCTGTGGCTCAGATTGAGTTACCACGGTGACAAAGGATAGATGTGCCAGAGCCGAAAGCATTGAGACATTAAAAGACTATACTTAACACTCCATGCTGGGGATTCAGTCTTTCTGGGAGAATTCAAAAGGAACCAAGTAGCTGGCAAAGCCTGATTCACTGTAATGGGCATCAGTTTCACTGCCCAAGATTTTGGAGGTAAGAGGTTCTGGAGTTTGGATCGAGTCAATGGCCTCAGGCAAGCATTGGCCCAAAACCCTTCACTGGCTCCTCAAATAGGATTAACGGGTTTAAGAAAAAAAATGTCCAGTTAAATTTGAATTTCAGATACACAATGAATACTCTTTTAGCATAAGTATGTTCATGCAAATATCCATTGTGTTTCTGAAATTTGAATTTAACTGAGCATTCTTTATTTGATCCCGCAACCCAATCCCAAAGTCTACAATTTAAAGCATCAGTTCTGGCATCCAGTTCGCCAGGGTTTAGCCCCTTCCTAACTTTTCCCTCCCAAAACTTCATTTCCCACTCCCTGTTCCCTTATTTGTACCAGTTTAGCGTCCACACAAATTCAACTACCTCCCACACAGCAGGTTGTCTTTTGCTTTCTTGCCCTTGGTTCTTTGCCAACTTGTTCCCCTTCACTTTCAATTCTAAGTGAGTGGGTACTATAACATCCTTGACCCCAGGAGGACAGAGCCTCTCTCCTTTTTAAATATCTTTAATATCTTCTTGAATGAGCTTCTGTCATTATAGAGGGCACTTACTGCTTGGTCTGCCTGACACCTCCTCCCTTCTGGGAAGCATGCCTTCTTGGGGGAACCGCTCCTCCTCTGACTCTAACCCTTTGATTTTAGCAGGAGCTTCCCAACTTGTTTTATTTATTTATTTATTTATTTTATTATACTTTAAGTTTTAGGGTACATGTGCACAACGTGCAGGTTAGTTACATATGTATACATGTGCCATGTTGGTGTGCTGCACCCAGTAACTCATCATTTAACATTAGGTATATCTCCAAATGCTATCCCTCCCCGCTCCACCCACCCTACAACAGGCCATGACTCTGCCCCTGGTCACAGATGACTGGCCCAGAGGTGGACACCTGATCCAAGCCAGGTCCTATTAGATCCTTCTCCAGGCATTCTTAATATCTCATTTTGTCTGGCACTCAGTTCAGATAACATCCCAATGCCTGTACTGGGCATTGAGCCAGAATCACCATTCTTATCCAAAACATAATCTTTTTATGTGTTAGGATCTATCTATAGTCTAAATTAGCATCTCACCTAAGGACACTCACCCCCGTGTGACTGTGGCGATAGAATAGAAGAGGCCACAATATAACAGGATAAGCCCTGGTCTGGGAGTCCAGAGAGAGACCTGAGCTCTAGTGGCAGCTCGGCCACTAAATTTCTGCAGGACTTATCATCCCAGCCGACTGCAAGCCCCGAGGGCAGGACCACCTCTTATCCTTCTCTCCAGCCTCAGCACGCACACTGGGTAGGTGTTAGATAAATGGTTGACAATGATGGTGATCATGGTGATGGCAACAATGACATGGCATGACTGCTGTTCCCTGGACCTCAGCTTTCTGGGTTTTTTTTTTTTTTTTTAGAGTTCTGTTGCCTATGCTGGAGTGCAATGGCATGATCATAGCTCACTGTAGCCTCACACTCCTGAGTAGTTACCACCTCCCGAGCAGTTACAACTACAGGTGTGCACCACCACACCTGGCTAATTTCTCTCTCTCTTTTTTTTTTTTTTTTTTTTTTTTTTTGGTAGAGATGGGTCTCACTATGTTGCCCAGGCCAGTCTCAAACTCCTGGCCTCAAGGGATCCTCCCACCTGAGCCCTTTCAAAGTGCTGGGATTACAGGTGTAAGCCACCACACCCAGCCTAAATGTTCTCAATAAAACCCCAAATTAAATACTTAATGTGGCTCTCTCTTTTTTTTTTTTTTTGAGACAGGGTCTCGTTCTGTCACCCAGGCTGGAGTGCAGTGGTGCAATCTCAGCTGACTGCAACCTCCGCCTTCTGGGTTCAAGCAATTCTCCTGGCTCAGCCCCTCAAGTAGTTGGAACTATAGGCATGAGCCACTATGTCTGGCTAATTTTCATATTTTTAGTAGAGACGAGGTTTCACCGTGTTGGCCAGACTGGTCTTGAACTCCTAACCTCAAGTGACCTACCTACCTCAGCCTCCCAAATTGCTGGGATTACAGGCGTGAGCCACCACACCTGGTCTGCTCTTCAAAAGAAAGACTGTCAGGAGAAAGAGAAGACAAGCCACAGGCTGGGAGAAAATGTCTGCATAAGGCACTTCTGATTAAAAACCGTTATCTAAAATATACAAAGAACTCTTAAAACTCAACAGTAAGAAAATGAACAACCCAACTAAATAATGGGAAAAAGACTCAAACAGGCTGGGCACAGTGGCTGATGCCTGTAATCCCAGCACTTTGGGAGGCCGAGGCAGGTGGATCACTTGAGGTCAGGAGTTCGAGACTAGCCTGGCCAAAATGGTGAAACCCTGTCTCTACTAAAAATACAAAAATTGGCCAGGCGTGGTGGTGGGTGTCTGTAGTCCCAGCTACTCAGGAGGCTGAGGCAGGAGAATTGCTTGAACCCAGGAGGTAGAGGTTGCAGTGAGTTGAGATGGCACCATTGCACTCCAGCCTGGACAACAGAGCAAGACTCCATCTCAAAAAAAAAAAAAACATACAGACCCCTCACCAAAGATGTACAGGTGGAAAAATAAGTGTATGAGAAGATGCTCGACATCATACATCCTTAGGGAATTACAAATTAAAACAACGAGATACCACTACACGCCTATTAGCACGGCCCAAATCCAAAACACTGGCAACACCAAATGCTGATGGGGATGTAGAGTAACAGGAACATGGGAGTGCAAACTGGTACAGCCACTTTGGAAAACAGTTTGGGTTTTTTTTACAAAACGAAACATACAATCACGCTACTTGGTAGTTACCCAAACAATTGAAAACTTATGTCCACCCAAAAACTTGCACAAGAATGTTTAGAGCAGGCTGGGCACGTGGCTCATGCATGTAATCCCAGCACTTTGGCAGGCCGAGGCGGGCGGATTGTTTGAGGCCAGGAGTTCGAGACCAGCCTGGCCAACATGGTGAAACCCCGTCTCTACTAAAAATACAAAAAATTAGCTGGGCATGGTGGCATATGCCTGTAATCCCAGCTACTCGGGAGGCTGAGGCAGGAGAGTCACTTGAACCTAGGAGATGGAAGTTGCAATGACCTGAGATCATGCCACTGCACTCCAGCCTGGGCGACAGAGTGAGACTCCCTCCGTCTCAAAAATAATAATAAAAGAATGTTTGGAGCAGATTTATTCATAGTTGCCAAAACTTGGAAACATCCCAGATGTCCTTTAATAGGTGAATGGATAAACTGTGGTATATCCACACAATGGAATATTATTCAGTGCTTTAAAAAAAAGAGCTATCAAGCTGCATGGAGGAAAATTAAATGCATATTACTAAGTGAATGAATCCAAGCTGAAAAGGCTACTTACGGTACAATTCCAACTATATGACATTCTGGAAAAGGCAAAACTATGCAGACAGTAAAAAGATCGGTGGTTGCCCGGGGTTTGAGGGAAGAAAGGGATGAATAGACGGAGCAAGGAGGATTTTTAGGACAGTGAAACTATTCTGTATGATGTCATAATGGTGGATACTGTCATTATACAGCTGCCAAAACACATACCCTAATGTAAGCTATGGACTGTGAGTGATAATAGGGTGTCAATATTGGTTCATCAATTGTAACAACCTCTTTGGTGCAGAATGTTGATGGTCTTTGCAGGAACAGGTATATGGGAACTCTCTGTACCTTCAGCTCAATTTTGCTGTGAGTCTAAACTGCTCTAAAAAATAAAAGTCTCTCTCTATAACAATATGTATACTTAATATGGAATTGATATGGGGTGGGGTTACAATTTTTTTTTTTTTTTTTTGAGACCTGTCTCGCTCCGTCTCCCAAGCTGGAGTGCCGTAGTGCAATCACAGCTCACTGCAGCCTTGACCTCCCGGGTTCAAGGGATCCTCCCACCTCAGCTTCTCAAGTAGCTGGGACCACAGGTGCCTGCCACCACGCCTGGCTAATTTTTTTTTTTTTAAAGACAGGATCTTGTTATGTTGCCCAGGCTTGTCTCAAACTCTTGGACTCAAGCAATCCTCCCACTTCAGTCTCTCAAAGTGCTGGAATTACAGGTGTGAACCATCACACCCGGCCGGGGCTACAATATTCTTAAAACAAGGTAGTCCAGGAATAGACTCTGCGTAATAATCATTTTTCGCCTTCCTGTTTACTAAATCTACATATTGTATAAACTTTTTTTTCTTTTTGAGACAGTCTTGCTCTGTCTCCCAGGCTGGAGTGCAGTGGCACGCTTGGCTCACTGCAAGCTCTGCCTCCCAGGTTCAAGCAATTCTTCTGCCTCAGCCTCCCAAGTAGCTGGGATTACAGGTTTGCGCCACCACACCCAGCTAATTGTTGTATTTTTAGTAGAGATGGGGTTTCACCATGTTGGCCAGGCTGGTCTCAAACTCCTGGCCTCAAATGATCCACCCGCCTCGGCCTCCCAAAGTGCTGGGATTACAGGTGTGAGCCACTGCGCCCGGCCTACACCTTGTACAAACTTCTATCATTGGAGTGATCACATAGATCTTTATCCAACTGAGGTATGCATAATATTAGGAGTATGTGAAAAGATTTTAGGTGATACACAAATGAATGTTTTTATTCTACTATTTATTTTAAAATGTATCAGACTAAATATGGGTAACATATATAGTATTGATAGGAAGTTTTCCTTTAAGATAAAGAATGTATTGAGAAAATGATAAATAGTGCAGGGAGCACTGAGGTGGCCTGACACACAAATAGAAATATGGCCCCCCCAAAAAAATCCAGGAAAGGGAAACATAGAGAATGGGTTTGTTTTGCAAATGCTGCTGAGTGGCAACCACCTGGTTACGCACCAGGGAATTTGTAGGCCACCCCAAGCCTCTCTCATCTGCCCTTTACAAGGAAGGCCTTTTGTGTATTTAGGGGGTTGATATGCAATGTGTTGGTGTCACTTTATAAAATCAATACATTTTAGGAAAGTTGCACTTAAATTGAACTGTTACAAAGCAAAAATTCATAGTGAAGGCTGGGCCTGCTGGCTCATGCCTGTAATCCCAGCATTTTGGGAGGTCGAGGCAGGCAGATCACTTGAGGTCAGGAGTTCAAGACCAGCCTGGCCAACATGGTAAAACCCTGTCTCTACTAAAAATACAAAAATTAGCTGGGCATGGTGGCGTAAGCCTGTAATCCCAGCTACTTGGAGGCTGAGGCAGGAGAATCTCTTGAACCTGGGGGTTGGAGGTTGCAGTGAGCTGAGATTGCGCCACTGCACTCCAGCCTGGGAGACAGAGCGAGACTCTATTTTCTCAAAAAAAATAAAACTAAAAAATGAAATAAATAAATTTAAAAAAATCATAGTGATGCTTACTATTCACTGGCTACTAAAGTGGCTTAAAAAAAATGACAGGCCAGGCACAGTGGCTCACGCCTGTAATGCCAGTATTTTGGGAGGCCAAGGCAGGCGGATCACGAGGTCAGGAGATCAAGACCATCCTTCCTAACACGGTGAAACCCTGTCTCTACTAAAAATACAAAAAAAAAAAAAAAATTAGCCGGGCATGGTGGTGGGCGCCTATAGTCCCAGCTACTCGGGAGGCTGAGGCAGGAGAATGGCATGAACACGGGAGGCTGAGCTTGCAGTGAGCCGAGATGCCCACTGCACTGCAGCCTGGGTGACAGAGCGAGACTCCATCTCAAAAAAAAAAAAAAAAAGACAGGGGCTGTGAGAAATCCATCAGCTACTTTGTGTCACATCCAGAAAATAACTAATGGCTCCACCCCAGGGCTACAGCTGCCCAGAAGGGTATTATGAAGGATTAAAGAGTATCAAGGCAGTAATTCTAATTCAAGACTCACAGTGCCTTAAATCTGTCATAATGAGAAATGAAAACTTCTATTTCAGTATGCTGACAAGAAGGCTTGGAGACATATTCTCAGAAAGAGGCAGAAATCTGAAGTCCAGGAGTAGAAGCTCAGCTGGGGGTCAGAGCGAGGTTGGGCGGGGGCCAGACAAAGATGGGGGCGGCAGAAGCCAACAAGTCCAGGCAGTTGAGGCAGAGGGGCCTCAGAAGCCTAAGTCGGTGCTCAAAATACATATCATTCACTTTTTCCTCAAGAGTGAATGAATGGGCCTGGCGGGTGTTTCTGTTACACAGAAGCCTTCATCTTGACGATCTGTCTGGGCTTTCAGAAGATTTTGTGAAATGTTCTGCCAGTATTTACTCAGCTGCATGAACCTCTTTACTTTTTAAGTAAACATCTTTTAGATTCAAGAGTAAATGAAACCTTAGGGAGTCAAAGCAAGCAGGCAGAAGATTGCAAATCTGCTGATTGCAGTCTCCTATCTATATGTTCAAAATCAAGAACTGGCTCCAGGTAGCTATCCAGCCCTGGAGCTTAAGTCACCATGACTGGATGCAGCTGGGCCTGGGTGCTACTTCAGTGTCTCCACCCAGGTGTCAAGTTCTGCGCCAACAGCCCCCAACCAGGAGTCTGCCAGGCAGCAAACCCAATTCTCCTACTCAGGCTGGCACTAGCCCAAGAAAAGAGAATGCAGGGCAATCATGAGCAGGGACAAGGCATGGCCTTTTCCAACAGAGTCCACCCTTCCAGGCTCCTCTCTAGAAAGCAAAGTAGAGCCAGGACATGTCTTTGCCTGAACACTCCTTCAGAGGTTCTTGCATTTTGGACAACTGCAGTTGGATCCCAGAGTTCACTTGCAGAAAATGGAACCCAGGCTACAGAATGAACTGTTCAGAGGCACCCAGGCTCAGAAACATACATAGAAAATGAAAAGATCTTTCTGGATATAAACATACATGTAAAATAAAAATATCACTCCAGATATAAAAATACCACTCCACCCAGCACTTTGGGAGGCCAAGAACGGCGGATCACCTAAGGTCAGGAGTTCGAGACAAGCTTGGCCAATTTGGCGAAACCCCGTCTTTATTAAAAATACAAAAATTAGCCGGGCACGGTGGCGGGTGCCTGTAATCACAGCTACTCGGGAGGCTGAGGCAGGAGAATCACTGGAACCCGGGAGACAGAGGTTGCAGTGAGCCGAGATCATTCCACTGCATTCTCCAGCCTGGGTGACAGAGGAAGACTCTGTCTAAAAAACAACAACAACAAAAACAAACAAACAACAACAACAACAAAAAACACTCCGGAGGGAGTCTAGAGTTCAAAGCCAATTTCACCCGCTAGGTGCTACTTCAATCCCTAACTGAGCATGTCTGGCATAGTCTTCCCTGGTTCTGGTCCAGATGAACTTTTCTCATCATTCTCTTTGTGCTTGAGTTATTTTCAGCCTCACAAGCTCTGTGATATTACAGCCATTTGTTGGTGTCAACAACAGTGAGCGCAGAGAGGTCTCATTCTCTCTGTCTGCAGAGTCCCATGTCAACAGCACAGACTCAACCCACTGTCCTGTCACTCTGGATGTTCCTGTGTCCATTTGTTCCTGCAGGGTTCACATGAAGCTGAAATGGTGGTGTCTTTCTCCAGGCACTCTCTACCCATGGGAACAAGTCTGAAAATCTTCCTCTATGAATGTCTGTTACATCTGCAGAGGTTGGAAGATATTTTTATAGACCTCTTTGGCTTTAAGCAGGGAAGATACATTCTGGAATTAAGTGGGAGACCCTCCCTGACCTATGATTTCTTCCTGTGTTCCCTTATCAAATTGTCTCGTCTTTGGGACAGTTAGGGTTAGGAACCGTCCCCATTCCTTTTCTGCCTCACTAGGGTTTTGTAGTGCTGCCGTTTCCTATCGCGATCAACTGGGATATCCTCTCTGCACCAGCCCATGTGGTCCCAGCAAGAAACTGAAGACCCTTGGTCAAATCTCCCCTGTGGGAGAGACTCCTCCACACACCCAGACCCCACAGTGAACATTTGGAGGTTCATCAGGTGAGCTGTTTCTATCAATGAAATGGTTCCTGAAAAGTTGTATGTAAGTAACATTTTTATAAATTGAAAATCTGACAGGAACCCTGCAGATAGTCTATTTAGATTTAAATATACCTTGTTGTACAAATGCTTAATCCCTCTATATTTTAGGTTTTGTGAATTGTGTTTTTCTAATAGCGTTTTATTTGTTTGTTTGTTTTGAGACGATGTCTCGCTCTGTCGTCCACGCTGGAGTGCAGTGATACCATCTCAGCTCACTGCAACCTCCACCTCCCGGGTTCCAGCAATTCTCCTGCCTCAGCCTCCAGCGTAGCTGGGATTACAAGCATGCCCCACCATGCCCAGCTAATTTTTGTATTTTTAGTAGAGACGGAGGTTTCACCATGTTGGCTAGGCTGGTCTCGAACTCCTGACCTCAGGTGGTCCACCTGCCTTGGCCTCCCAAAGTGCTAGGATTACAGGCACGAGCCACTGCGCCTGGCTTAATAGTGCATGGTCTTAAAGAGGAAACCTTCTCTAGAGACAAGGCCATCAGTGTCCACTGGAAGCAAAGCCAGGCCCCAGCTGGAGGAGACAGCCTGTCTGAGTGCAAGAGGCTGGGAGACCGAGTAGGAGAGAAGAGATATGTCCCCTACCTCCCAGCCCGAAGGAACCTGTCCTCACCCTGAGGGGGCCAGTCCTTAATCTATGAGGACTTGTCATCAGCCCACCTGAGATATGTAGACAACATGACATGGCCTTTCCATACACTGAGGAGACCAGTCCTCAGCCTGGAGAATGTATTTCTATATTTCTTTGTCTCAAGTAGCCTGTGAGCTATTAAAGTCCCCAGCTCAAGACCATATGCTACTCATCTTTGTGCCCCTTCTGGGCGCAGTGCCCAGGGAATATTGTTGGAGTTCCCCCAGCTTCTTCGGTAATTTCCACTTTCCCTGGGACATACCCATGAGGACACACATCTGCATTCTTTCCAATTTTCACCCTTTTTCTTTGCAGGTCTCACCTCTGGACCAAAGGTCCATAAGTTGTTGTTGTTAAGAATTTCTCCAACGTCTTTTTTCTTGAGGAGCAGTTTCCAGGTCCAGTTCAACAAATACTTACTGTATGTCTATAACTGAATGCAAGGGATGGGGCTACTCGCTATGAAGGTACAAACCAATAGTGGAAGTATCGCCCGCCCCGTCCCACCTAGAGTCTGTTAGGAAAACAGAGGGGATGCTTCCCTATGCTGCAGAGATACCCCCAGGGAAGATGACCTTAGTTCACACAGAGCCCCCTGGGGACAGGATATTGACGTGGCCATTGCATCCCAGGCTCTGATCCAAGGTAAGCCCTTGACATTGACTCACACAGCTGAGATCCTGAGACTGCCGGACTAGCTGGTCACTAACGTGTGAGCTGTAGGCCGAAAGAGGACTCGCATACTGGAATGTTTAGATCAACCAGTCAACACCCCTAGGGGTGTCCACATGGAAGACAAATGTCAGTGAAAGGCAGGAGCCAGAGACTGAGCTGGTGTCATCCACAACGACTGCCACAGCCACTCACTTCCCCCTGCAGGGACAGGTTACCCTGGGGACCATGGGGTCATATCACCTGGTCAGGGCCAGGGACATGCTGCCTGGACATGGCTCTGCAGTCCGGGTTAACCCTTCACTTCCACTGGCACATTTTCTTTTTCCTTTCTTTCTTTCTTTTTTTTTTGACATGACGTCTCACTCTATCGCCCAGGCTGGAGTGCAGTGGTGTGATCTCGGCTCACTGCAACCTCCGCCTCCCAGGTTCAAGCAATTCTCCTGCCTCAGCCTCCCAAGTAGCTGGGACTACAGGTATGTGCCACCACGCCCAGCTAATATTTGTATTTTTTAGTAGAGATGAGATTTCACCATATTGGCCAGGCTGGTCTCGAACTCCTGACCTTGTGATCCACCTGCCTCGGCCTCCCAAAGTGCTGGGATTACAGGCGTGAACCACTGCGCCTGGCCCACATTTTCTTATTTAATCTATTAGGAGTACTGATTCGTTAATTAAGTCAGTAAGTCCTTCTCCTCCTGCTCCTTTTCTGGAAGACATTTTGCCTTTGAAGTGGATTTTATCTATCATGCACTGCCTAACTAGCTTGACTCTTGGTCTCTGGACATGTCTCCAGACATGTCTCCCAGTCACCAATGGGCCACCTCCAAGGCAGGACCTCCATTGTGCCAACTCAACAAAGCAGGCTGGGCTACGTGTCCAATAAGTGCTGTGGAACAGCAGAAGGGAGAGCCTTTACTCAGCTCATCCAAAGAACTTCATGGAACGGGTGGGATTGGTACAGGTTTTGGAGGATGCTGGAATTTGAATAGGCAGAAAGAAGAGGGAGGTGGTATATTTAGGTGAGCAAAGACTTGGAAGAAGGCAAGAAGAAAGAGGGGACAGGCCTGCTAAGGAGAAAGCTATGAAGGAGAATCTGGGGAGGTTAGAGCCAAAGGAGCTCATGCAATGGCAACGGGGAGCCATGGAAGGCTTTTGGGCGGGAGTGACACGATCAAAGTATGATTTTAGGAAAACTAAGCTGGCAGTGGAAGAAGAGTCTGGTTTTAGGCAGATCAAATGCCAAGTAAAAGATTCCCAGAATAGAATTATAAATAGAGTTTCCACAAATACAAAAACTCTTGCCCTAGTTCACCCTAGCATCTATCTGTCTGTGGAGGGGGATCAGAATTTGTCATAAATGGAACTCCAAGAGAAGGGTAAAAAGGTAATATTGTGTTGCTATATTCAAAAATAGCATTAAGCAGCAAAAACACATTTTGCAAGCCAGACTGTTACCTAAAGAAAGGATCCCCCAAGTTTCTTTCTTCCTTCGGCGTGTCAGCATGTGGGCTTGGAGGACTCAGCCCACAGAGTTCCCCTGCAGTGCATAGGAGAGATCCCACTTCATCATTAAAGCTTAGCTGGAAGCAGAATGAAGGAAGATATGATGTAGGAGAAGTAAATGAAAAGCCCACATTTTTTCTGGCTTGGTAGATGGAGGAGAGAGAAAAAAGAGAGTGAGGAGACAAAGCAGGCAGGTGTGGGACCCCCCGTATCCCTGTCAAGGCTTGCACTGGGACAGGGAAAGGGAGCATTAAATAAGTTCAAGGTTGACGTCAAGGACAGATGATCACATGATCATATCCAGTCTGCCTGCCATGGCAGGATGAGGTGTCTCATGGCAGAAGCTGGGGAGGGCAGCTGGGCAAGAGGGCAGGGGCAGGACAGGGCAGACACTCAGGGGCTTCCCTAATCACGTAAGGGAAGACCAGGTCACAAGGCACTCCAGCCTCAGATGTCAGTGGGGCAAGAGGAATTCAGGTGGGTCAAACTCATCACCCAGGGAACAGAGTGGGAGTGGACACCATCATCGAGGACTACAAGTGTTTGCTGTTGCTGTAAGCAAATGTAAACCCTTCTCTGATACCACCAGACACCATCTTGAAGCCAGAAGAGGTGAAGGACAGGCAGTCTTAGAGACTGAGTATCTGTATCCAAATGCAAGACAGTTTCCTAAAGAGGCCAATTCAGTGAACAGATGGAACCATGTTTAAACAAGATGGAATATAGAATTAATTTTTTCCACTAATCAGTGGGTGGGGGTGGGTGGACCTCAGGAGAACAGACCATGTTAAAGATGGAAAATTTTTAAATTGCACTCACTTTCCCCTGCACATCAGAGTGGCAGTGAGTTACATTTTGCTCTACCAAAGTATGAACTAGGTAGAAGAGACAGGAAGCTATGGGGTCAGAAAACTGGGCCAACATTTGGCTATGCCCTCAAATTGTACCTAGAAAACCCAATAATCTTACAGAATGTGGTGAACCTGTGCATGTCTCGTTTCTGCTAAAGCCGCTGTTAATAAGAACATCTGTCTCTCCCTCTGAGATGAAGCAGGGTTACAGGTGGCAAACGTCCAGCACTAATTAGCACTCTGCAATAAGCAGCTCTCCATCTTGAGGGGTAACGTCCCTATCTCTCCCCATCTCATGCCTCAGCTCTCAAAGAAACAAGCCCATAAACTGGGGATGGATCAACACTTCACAACCCGTATCATCATGCAGTGTGCAGCTCTTGTGTATATCCTAGTGGAAGCTGAGTTTGTTGGCTAATAGGATACAAGACAGGAAGAGCTTAGAATCAAGGGTCCAGTAGACAGAGGAGTAGGCAAGACCGTCTCTATTACTTTCTCCTCTGAGACTGAGGACAAGTCACACAAATGTGGTCAGAAACTCATGTTCTGAGAACTGAGAGAGCCAGCGGTAGGAGAGTCATTTTTAGTTGCAAAGAAACATTGCAGTGGATTGAACTGATGAGAGACAGGCTGCTTGCTGGAGTCTCAGCAACCAGCTTTTCTGAAAGGAAAGAGAGGTGGGTGACCACACTGCCAGCACCTTCTCCTGACTGTCTTGCATTTGCTCCTCCGTCATTGGAACCTGATAACCAATTCTTCGTATAGTAAGGGGATACTACTGAAGTTTTCAGTATTGTTAACATCAATCAAAACAGTTGTTATGTTGCCTTCTTATATGTACATTGAAAAGCTTACTGCATTTATTTTCAATGTGAAGGGTACGTGATAGCAACCTTAAAGGAAAAAAAAAGTTTAAAAATCAAAATCACCCATAATCCCAATATTCTAACTCAAAACAGCCTTTTCCTGTTTTGCACATTACCTTCCACATCCACACTTGCTTTACAACCTTGTAATCAAGTGTATAGACAGTATGGTATTCCCCTTTTGTTTTCATTAATGATATGTCAAAAGCATTTTCCCACATTTTCATAAAAATGATTAATAATGGGGCTGGGCACGGTGGCTCACATCTGTAATCCCAGCACTTTGGGAGGCCAAGGTGGGCAGATCACTTGAGGTCAGGAGTTTGAGACCAGCCTGGCCAACCTGGTGAAACCCCATCTCTACTAAAAATACAAAAAATAGCCAGGCATGATGGCACGCGCCTGTAATCCCAGCCACTCAGGAGGCTGAGACAGGAGAATCACTTGAACCCGGGTGGTGGAGGTTGCAGTGAGCCGAGATCGCACCACTGCACTCCAGCCTGGGCAACAGAGCGAGAATCTGTCTCAAAAAAAAAAAAAAAAGATGAATAATGGCTACAATCTATTTCCTCATATGTCATATCATGATTTACACCATGTGTTTTCTAAGTTCAAAGCAGAGGCTCTGTCCCACCTACCACTGTGGCCACCACGGTGCTCTGTCATAATGGAACCTCAACAGACCTGTCAGGACATCATGTCCAAGATCAATAATCAATAGCATGACAGCATCAGTATTCATCTTGGCCTTTGTCAGCCTCCAAGGTTTCCCGCCTCATCCCACAGCTGCCTCCACCTATTAATAAGGTCTCTCCTCCCTCAGCCCATTTCCTACACAGAAGTGGAAATCCCAGGTAGGCACACTGGCTCACACTTGGCAATCCCAGCACTTTGGGAGGCCGAGGCAGGAGGATCACTTAAATTCAGGAGTTCAAGACCAGTCTGGGCAACATAGTGAGACCCTGTCTCTATAAAAAATAAAAATAAAAAAGTATCCAAGTGCAGTGGTGCATACCTGTAGTCCTAACTACTCGGGAGGCCAAGGCAGGAGGATCGCTTGAGGCCAGGAGGTCAAGGCTGCAGTAAGCCATGTTTGTGCCACTGCACTCCAGCCTGGGCAACAGAGTGAGGCCTTGTCTCTGGGGGGAAACCCTAGAGGCCCACCACAGTCCCAGCCCCTTCCAGGCAGGCCTGAAAGGAACGGCAACCACAGAGCCACGGATGGTTCCAGAGGGCTGCAGCAGCGGAACAGCAAGCCCCACTGCCCTGTGTTCCGAATTGGTCACAGCCGTGTCCGTTCGTGTTGTGGCCCTGGCCAAGGCTGTGGTCATTGCCCAGTTCTCAGCTCCTGTTTATTTCCCACGCCTGTCTCTGCAGCCCTCTGGCAAGTCTAAGGGCTACCCAATATACTGTCAATAAATCTCTTTTCTATGTCAACTAGCCTGAGTCTGTTTCTGTTTCTGTTGTTTGCAGAGACAACAGAAACAGACTAGTTCAATCCTCATTTTCTATTCCTATCAAAGTCTGTCCAAGAGAGAACTGAAAATCTATTTCCACTGAGGCAGAAAAGTACTCTCTCTCATTCATACAAAGCTTTACTACATACAATATTCTTTTTTCATTATGCATGCTGTCTTTTGATTTGTCAAGTCGAAGCATTATAACTTACCTATATGTATTATGTTCAACTAAAAGATAAGAAAAATAGGGCCCAGAGTGGCTCAGTGAATGATCCAGGGTCACACAGTAAATCATCGAGTCTTCTAATTCGAAATTCCGAGCTATCTTCACTTATCAGGCTACCTCCCACTTCAACAGGCTCGATTTCAGGCATTGCAGGATGGCAGGAAACTAACTGGGGGTAGGGAGAGGGAATACAGAATGGGGGAGGCTTCTCAGATGGAGAAATTAGAAGGAGTAGGCATATAGAACAAGCAGTGATTTCTGCCAGTTGAGGGGGAAAGAAGTCTTGGAGACACATTCACATGCATACACTCACACACTCACACTCACACACACTCACCCGGCTTACACGCCCTCTCTGCTTTTCCATTACGATGTGCTAAGCCTCCCATGAATTGGTGAGCAGCCACCCAGTCCGGCAAAGCACACCTTTGATGAGCTTCTATTTCTGTGACACTAAGTATTCCATCCTGTGGACTTGAAAACCTAACACCCTCAGTTGAAATGACTCACACATTGAGACCCTGGTGAGGTAGAGGGAACGAGTTTGGTATGAGGGCAGCCAGACCCCCGCCTCCTGCTGCTGAACGACCCTCGCGCTACCTGCAGGCGGGAATTCAACCAGCTTTGGAAAGGTTCAGACATAAATGCAGGGAGCAGCCCCGAACAGGTGACAAAGAAACGTGAGAGGTAGGCCCCTGACTGTGTGAGGCAGACCCCTAGCATTGTAAGGCTGAAATCACAGAAGACGAGTAGAGGCCCCTCCCACAGATCCACTGCCACTGACGGAATAGCGGGCTCCGCCGGGCCCACGCAACACAGTGGGAAGCACACAGCAGTGCCGGAGACGCCAACGTGCCAAAACGAGAAAGCGAGGAAGCTGCATCCAGCTGAGCTCTGGAGCTAACCATGATTTATTAGACACAGGAAGGTGTCTTAGCTTGGGTTCCATCGAGAGAAGAGCCTGGGACCGGGATTTGGGAGCAGGTCATTTATTTGGGAGATGGTCTCAGGAAGGAGTGTGGGAGGGTGAAAACCCAGAAGAAAAGACAATGAGTGTGTGTTACTGACAAAGGGTGGGCACCCTGTTTTAATACATGAATGATGAAGATTAAGTATAATGTATGGTAATAAATAATAATAATAATAAAGGCCCACAAAGGATGGTTACTATTGTGGGTAATAGAGGCTCAGTCTTGCTGGGGATCCTCTGAAGAACCATGCAGAATGTACCTCAGAGTTATCCGACCAGAGGATGGGGAAGTTGGAGAATGTAGGTACCACTGGGTTTTTTGTTTGTGTGTGTGTGTGTGTGTGTTTTTGAGATGGAGTCTCGCTCTGTTGCCCAGGCTGGAGTGCAGTGGCACCATCTCTGCTCATTGCAACCTCCACCTCCTGGGTTCAAACGATTCTCCTGCCTCAGCCTCCCAAGTAGCTGGGATTACAAGGATGTGCCACCACGCCTGGCTAAATTTTGTATTTTTAGTAGAGACAGGGTTTCACCATGTTGGCCAGGCTGGTCTCAAACTCCTGGCCTCAAGTGATCTACCCACCTTGGCCTCTCAAAGTGCTGGGATTACAGGTGTGAGCCACCATGCTCAGCCCCATTGGATTTTTCTTTTTGTTTTTTTTTGTTCTTTGTTTTGTTTTGAGACAGAGTCTCACTCTGTGGCCCAGGCTGGAATGCAGTGGTGCAATCACCGCTCATTGCAGCCTCAACTTCCTGGGCTCAAAGGATCCTCCTGCCTCAGCCTCCTGAGTAGCTGGGACTACCGGCACATGCCACCATGCCCAGCTAATTTTTAATTTTTTTTGTAAAGGCAAGGTCTTATTATGTTGCCCAGGCTGGTCTGGAACTCTTGAGTTCAAGTGATCCTCCCACCTCGGCCTCCTAAAGTCTGGGATTACAGGCATGAGCCGCTGTGCCCAGCCATTTCATTGGTTAATGGTTGTCCTGGGAGCGTTAGTCCTTCCCCCATTACCTCCCTCTCCCGACGAACACACACGATGTTCAGGAGAAAACCATGAGTCAGTGAAGCAGAATAACAGCTGCAGTGCTTAACGTGGGGCCACAATTTCCAGAATGTAAGCAATGCTGAAACCAGGCATGCCCAGGCAGTGTGGCATGCAAACCTCTGCTACCCCGGGATGGAGGAGTGTGCTCAATGTCACCGTGGGGATGCCATCAGCCAAATCCAAACAACTGTGGAAAATGTCTGCAGGACTCATGGCCTGGTTTCTTCCACAATTAAATGGCATTTAAAAAAACAAAAACAAAAAAAAGAAGGGGAACAGACATAAGAAACATACCCATCCAACACCACACTTACTCTTTTAAGGATCCTAATTTGAACAAACCAACAGTAAAAAGACTGTTTTGAGACAACTGAGGAAAACGGAATGTGGCCTACATGTGGGATAATATTAAGAAACTTATTGGCTGGGCGCAGTGGCTCATGCCTGTAATCTCAGCACTTTGAGAGGCCAAGATGGGAAGATCACTGGAGCCCAGGAGTTTGAGAACAGCTTGGACAACGTAGGGAGACCCTGTCTCTACAAAAAATTTAAAAATTAGCTGGGCGTGGTGGCATGTGCCTGTGGTCCCAGCTACTCAGAAGACTGAGGTGGGAGGATTGCTTAAGCCCAGGAGGTCGAGGTTGCAGCGAGCTGTGATGCTCCAGCCTAGGCGACAGAGCAAGACGCCATTTCCCCCCACCCACCCCCCTCAAAAAAGAAAAAGAAATATATTCTGTTAGGTCTGAGAATGGCATGTAGTTGAGTTTGTTTTTTTGAAGTCCTTTCCTATTAGAAATCTATACTGAAATCTTGATGGATGAAATTACATGATGACTGAGATTTGCTTTAAAAGACTCTAGCAAAAAAAAAAATGTTGGTGCGAGTGTAGATGAACTAAAAATAGCAAAATGATGATCATTGTTGAAGCTGGGTGGTAGGTATAATATGGTAGTATGCAATTTTCTCTACTTTTATGAGAAATGTCTATAAACAAGGTTACATTTGGGAAAAAAAAGGAAAGCAATAATAGGCTCCAGGAGGCATCATCTATCCACTGCTCGTTTACTGAGTAGCTTTTTTGCGTGTTCAAAGATGAGTGAGACAATCTCTACCCTCTGTGAGCAGAAGGTGGAGGGACAAAGAGGAGTTAAGTCCTCAAGCCTTGCGTGCAGTTAAGAAACAATACCACACCACCCCTGGAGGCCACCTCGCAGCAGTGATTAACCAACTTCCATGGCAGTAACATTGACAGTGAGTGCTGGATGGAGTCTGCACTGGAGAAGAGAGAAAAGGTGTGGGGCTTCACACCTTCCCCCATTCTGGAGCCTACAGCTTAATCGCCTGTATTAAAACCTTCCTTCTAAACCCTCATTTTTATAAAATCCAATTTGATTTCTGATTCTTAACATTCCTGTACGTTCAGTCAGCTAATACACTTAAATACTGTTATTAGTGTTTTGAGAACTCCTAGAAGAAGCAGAATTGGGTGGTTAGGGGTTGAACAGAGAGGCAGGAGAGAAGTAGAAACTTTGTTTTGGGAAGGCTGGAAGTGGGAAAGTTAGGTCAGAATTCCACAGGGCCTTGGCATCGGGCTCATGCCTAACAGGAAGGAGGAAGCAAGCTCTCAAGATGGGGTTAGGGTCCCATTAGTTTCTGCAAAGCTTTGCACAGAGTCATGTGGTACCCCCGGCCTGGGGCCAAGGGCACTGAGCAGGTTCTCCTGCAAGTGCCGTTCGAGCCAAAGTGATCAGGAAGAGCTTCTTCCATCAAGGACACCCAGGCAACTCTGTCTCTGATCCCCAGACTGAAAGGGGGGGAGTCATCACAGTTCAACTTAGTTAAACATTTTTGAACTTGACTGTGTGTCAGGCCACACACTGGCCCTGGAGCTACGGAGACCAAGTAGGCACTTTCTCTTTGTCAAGGTTCTTTGATTGTAAACAACAGAAGCGACCTCCGGATGTGAGAGAACTCACAGTCCTAATGGAAAAGCTGAAGAACCAAGCTTCAGAGAGGACAGACACCAGAGGAGCTCTGGGGACTTAGGGGACAGAAGCCATAGCATAGGCTCCAGTCATGTTCAGCCTTTTTGTCACCCCACTCAAATCCAGATACCGGGGAAGAGACTTCTAGAGGGACCATCAGAAGCATGCTTGGTGGCAGATGTGCTACCCCTCAATAAGAAAGGTGTTTTGTTTATTTGGTTTTTGTTTTGAGATGGAGTCTTGCTCTGTCTTCTAGGCTCACTGCAACCTCTGCCTCCCAGGCTCAAGTGATTTTCGTGCCTCAGCACCCCAAGTAGCTGGGACTACAGGCGTGCACCACCACACGCAGCTAATTTTTGTATTTTTAGCAGAGATGGGGTTTCGCCATGTTGGCCAGGATGGTCTCAAACTCCCGACCTCAAGTCTATCCGCCGATCTCGACCTCCTGAAGTGCTGGGATTACAGGCGTGAGCCACCGTGCGCAGCCAATAAGAAAGTTTTTAAAAAGGGAAGTCATTATCCACTCCTCTCAGTCAGATGCATTGGCTTCTGGCTGTCTGGGTTGTCTAGAAGCAGATTCCGTGCAGGCTGAGCACAGCAGGGAAAGGGCTCCGTTAGATGGGGGTTGAGTCTTTGTTTCACACTGACTCATCCCTGCATCCTGAGGCTGTTGACTGTGTAGACTCAGCCCTGGCATAGGTGAACTGGGGTCAGGCCTGTGGTTCTCACTTGTAAATCTGAGATAATCTATAAATGGTTTTCTCTCTGGTTTTCTTTCCCAGTAGAAGCGGTTCTTTTGTTTTGTTTCTTGTTCTTTGTTTTGTTTTTTTTGTTTTTTTTTGGAGACAGAGTCTCACACTGTCACCCAGGCTGGAGTGCAATGGTGCAATCTCGGCCCACTGCAACCTCCGCCTCCGGGTTCAAGCGATTCTCCTGCCTCAGCCTCCTGAGTAGATGGGACTATAAGCGCACGCCACCACGACCAGCTAATTTTTTATATTTTTAGCAGAGACAGTATTTCACTATGTTGGCCAGGCTGGTCTCGAACTCCTGACTTCATGATCTGCCCACCTCAGCCTCCTAAAGTGCTGGGATTACAGGCATGAGCCACCACACCCAGCCTAGTAGAAGCAGTTCTTACAGAAAAGTTTCTATTTGCAAGAGAGGTGACTCAAAACTTGATAATTGATTTTGTTTTGCTGTAAATGTCTTTAAACATTTTTAAAAACCCTCTAGAACTTTGGAGGGGGAGGCTTCCCTGCCTGGGGCTGCAGACTGTGGTGGGGGCTGCCAGTCACATCAGTGGGGGCTGGGCACACCCAGGACCCTCCAAGGGCTCATTTCTTACCCCAGGGTCAGGGTAAGCATCTTTGGTGACCACAGTCAAGGTGGGCTGGAGCCATAGGTTCTATTTTATTCTGAAACATGCCTGTGAAGTGCACCCGGCCTGGGGAGTTGGAATTACTCATGCCCAGTCAGTCAGCTACTGAAGATAAAAATCAGAACAAAAACTAAAGATGCTTGGGGTTGTGGCGTGGTTGAATAGCTAAGTCACACTTCATCTTCTTCCACTCTCAGCTCAAAGATCGAAGGAAGACCAGAGTCTGACAGTCATCGAGTCTGACGCACTCCCACTGCAGCAAAAGTTTGAATTCCCCTCTCCAGCATTCTGGCCACCGAGTGGTCCCTGCTGTCCTTGAGGGTCTTTGGTGACAAGGAACTCACCTTCCAGGGAAGCCTCTTCCACCCTGGGACAATTCAGATTATGAAAGGACACTCAGATACAGAGCTGAAACTCTCTACCTAATTGTTCCTTTTGGGTTTCACAGAAAAAAAGAAAAAAAAATTTTTTTTTGAGACAGGGTCTGGCTCTGTCACCCAGGCTGGAGTGCAGTGGCATGCTGTCAGCTCACTGCAACCTCCGCCTCTCTGGCTCAAGCAATTCTCGGGCCTCAGCCTCCCAAGCTGGGACTACAGGCACACCCCACCCCACCCAGCTGATTTGTTGTATTTTCAGTAGAGATGGGGTTTCGCCATGTTGGCCAGCCTGGTCTCGAACTCCTGGCCTCAAGTTGATCTGCCCACCTCAGCCTCCCAAAGTTCTGGGATTACAGTTGTGAGCCACCATGCCTGGCTGGGAAAAAATTTTTTTTGTTCTTCTTTCAATGGACAGTTCTTCGAATATCTGATAACAGTTTTCAGAGTCTCCTCCAAGCTATAGCCTCAGTCCTTCAGGTAACCCCTGTGACGTGTCTCGAACCTCCCCAGCAGCCCTAGTGGCTCCCTCTGCATGCAGTCCAGGCTGTCCCCATCTCTCTTAAAGCCTGTGAGCACAAAAGTCCAGTTTTCCGGGTAAGCAGCCTGTGGCTGCTAATACTGCATGGTGCTTGGCATCACGTAGGCAGCCATAGCACTGTGGAAGAAAGGAGAGAAGTGGAGTAGAGAAGACAGGAGGGAGAGTGGGAAAGAAAGGGAAGATGAAAGAAAAGGAAGGAGGGAGGGTAGATGGCTTTCAGCCAACATCTGCATGTCACTTCTAGCAGAGTTGCTGCTGTTGCCGTCTCCCCTGCCTGGGCTGGGCTGGACTGGGCTGTCCCAGACCCTGTCCCCAGATGCCCCCACAAACTTGCTGCTATTCAAAAGGCTGGCTCTCATGGAGTCCTCAGCATACCTGCTCCTGCTCCTTCTCCTGGAGAACTGGGCCCTGGAGAGAGCACAGCACACAGAGGCAGCTAGGAAAGCTGACAGCCTCCCCGCCCCATTCAGCACCGTACCCCAGTACTTAGAGCTGGGGCCCCAGGAGGGATGCAGAGGTCCAAGTTTGGGCTCCAGAAGCTGCTGGCCCAAGGCAGTCAGTGGCTGCTCTGGTTCCAGTTGTGTACACACTTCAGAACTCACCCCCAAGCTTCCACAGCACTTTCTAGGGCCAAGAGAAAACAGACAGGAAGATGTAGTGGAATGATGACCAGGTGCATTTTCACTAACAGGACACTTTCGTACTCATGATCTCATTCAGTCTCACTGGGACCTTTATCTTCTCATTTCACGTATATATAAGCAAAGGATCAGAGAGGCTTGCCCAAGGTTAATCTCAGTATCATTCAGAGAACTATAGTTCTATAGAGTCACACACACACAACGCAATCTCTATCTCACATCATTCTCTCCTCTCCCCAGTCCTAGTACATAGATGTTGTTCTTACTTTCAGAGATAGAAACTGACGACCAGAGATTTAGGTTAGCGGCCCAAGGTCACACAGCTAGTGACTATCTCAGAATAAAACTCCTGGTTGTTCAGGCTAACATCCATGCTGTGTCCACTTGATTTATATGGGAGGTTTCCTCCCATACAAATAAAACACCCCATTGAGATAACAATACGAATAATCTGTATGAAAAGTCTGTTCTGTTCTGTTCTTACGCTAACTCCTTAGTCTGTAGAAACAAAGCAGTTCACAGACACCCAATAGAAGCAATGAAAGCATCTCCCATTGTCTTTTCCACCACGTGCTCCTAAGAGGAAAACTGATGGGCCAACAAAGATTGGCCCCAAGCACGGAATCTCCATGAAAGAACAATGCTTTTTTAAAAAGGCATCATAAGCAGAATACAAAATTATAGGTTCACTGTGTTACCACGGAGGAGGATGAAATGCATATGGAAATAGACAAAGGCTGGAAGGGAAATGCAAACATTCAATCAGTCCAATGGCAAAGGGATGGTTTATTTTTCTTTCTTAAAAATGTATTTAATGACTTTATCATATTTGTGCAATAACAAAAAAGACTCTCATATAATGCACAAATATTCATAATCTGAAATACAGAAGACCTCCAAGCAGTGGTATAAACCTAAGCTGCAGCTGCCGGAGTCCCTGGGATATTGCTGCTTGGTTGACCATGTTCGACCTTGACCAGTTCCGTTAACAGTCACCATAGAGATGGAGAAGAGAGAGAGGCGGAGCAGTCTTTCCACCATGCAGTCTGGCTGACTGCTTGTTACTATAACATTTTGAATACAGACTGTTCCCTACATCTCTGTTTTTGTAGAGCCTTGTCTTCAAGTCAGAGTTCATTAAATTCTGCTGACTTCCCAGAGCACCTACTATGTGCTGGGCCCCAGATATACAAGAATAGTAGGCTAGGTCCCTACCTAGTGACAGCTCATAGCAGGCTCAGTTCTTGGTGGTTTTTGGAGCCTGTGGAGGGTGAAGCATCATACGCTCCCAAACTGCTTCAAAACTTAAAAATAATAGAACCCATAATGTACCCTCTAAGTCTCCAAATCTTGCTAAGTAATTGCTAACCTTGCTAAGTAATTGCTAAGGCTTTTTCTTTTCTTTTCTTTTCCTTCTTTTTTTTTTGGCTCACTAGACAGGACACGAGATATGTATATTTCATTTTTATCCCTAGACTGTATCACCAACTTCTGGAGAACAGAGGCTGTGTTTAATTACCTATATTCCTGGCATAGGGCCTAGCACTGGCCACCTGCTGAGCAGTACGGACTCAGTGTTTGCTGAATATACTGAGCATCCAGAATGAACTCTGCACTGTGCTCCTGAATGAAAGAGTGAATGGATGGGTGCATGGATGGATGGGGCACTAGTTGGAGGGTGGAAGGATGGATGGATGGATGGATAGATAGGTCGATGAGTGAATGGATGAATAGGTGGATGGGTGATTGGGTGGATGGATGGATGGGGGTATGCATGGTGTGAGGTTGGATAGATGGATGGATAGATGGATGAGTAGATGGATGAATAGGTGGATGGGTGGATGGATGGATGAATGGATGGATAGATGGATGAGTGGATGGATGAATAGGTGGATAGGTGGATGGATGGATGGATGAATGGATGGATGGATGGATGGATGGATGGATGGATGGATGGTTAGATGGATGAGTGGATGGATGAATAGGTGGATGGGTGGATGGGTGGATGGGTGGATGGATGATGGAAGGATGGATGAATGGATGGATGGATGGATGGATGGAGAGTAAGTCACTGCATCAAGATACAGATGCACAAGTTGGGAAACAGGAGGAAAGTTTAATCAAGAACTATTCACGAAGCGGAGGAAAATGTTTATGGCAATCAGTAATGGATGCAGTTCCCTGGGGTAAGAAACAGAAGGAGCAGTTACCACCCCTAGTCCTGAGGGACAAAGGGAAAAAAATAATGACCAGAACCCAAAGAGAGGAACTGACCAGAGAGGAAGCATCAGGGAGAGGGAAGTAGGCAGGTCACACATACAATGTGTGGCCTTTTCCTACTGACTTTTTTCTTTTCTTTTTTTTTTTTTTGATTATACTTTAAGTTCTAGGGTACATGTGCACAATGTGCAGGTTTGTTACATATATATACACGTGCCATGTTGGTGTGCTGCACCCATTAAGTCATCATTTACATTAGGTATATCTCCTAATGCTATCCCTCCCCGCTCCCCCGACCCCACAACAGGCCCTGGTGTGTGATGTTCCCCACTGTGTCCAAATGTTCTTATTGTTCAATTCCCACCTATGAGTGAGAACATGCGGTGTTTGGTTTTCTGTCCTTGCGACAGTTTGGTCAAGATGATGATTTCCAGCTTCATCCATGTCCCTACAAAGAACATGAACTCACCCCTTTTTATGGCTGCATAGTGTTCCATGGTGTATATGAGACACATTTTCTTAATCCAGTCTATCATTGATGGACATTTGGTTTGGTTCCAAGTCTTCGCTATTGTGAATAGTGCCGCAATAAACATACAAGTGTATGTGTCTTTATAGCAGCATGATTTATAATCCTCTGGGTATGTACCCAGTAATGGGATGGCTGGGTCAAATGGTATTTCTAGTTCTAGATCCTTGAGGAATCGCCACACTGTCTTCCACAATGGTTGAACTAGTTTACAGTCCCACCAACAGTGTAAAAGTGTTCCTATTTCTCCACATCCTCTCCAGCACCTGTTGTTTCCTGACTTTTTAATGTTTGCCATTCTAACTGGTGTGAGATGGTATCTCATTGTGGTTTTGACTTGCACCTCTCTGATGGCCAGTGATGATGAGCATTTTTTCATGTGTCTGTTGGCTGCATAAATGTCTTCTTTTGAGAAGTGTCTGCCCATATCCTTTGCCCACTTTTTGATGGGGTTGTTTGATTTTTTTCTTGTACATTTGTTTATTTGTAGATTCTGGATATTAGCCCTTTGCCCACTGACTTTTTTCGTGTAGCATAATGTCTTCAAGGTTTATGCATGTTGCATTTTATTTCCTTTGTTGTCTAATAGCATTCCATCCTGTCGATCTTGTTTATCTGGAATGCATTATGGATGCTGCTATGAGCATTTGTGTGCAAGTTTTTGTGTGTACATATGTTTTCATTTCTCTTGGAAATATATGCAGCGGTGGAATGGCAGGGTCATGTGGTAACTCTGTTTAGCCTTTTGAGGAACTGCTAGACAATTTTCCAGCCACTGTTAAGTGTCTGCCCCAGTTAACATTCTCACCAGCAGCACACAAGGGCTCCAGTGCCTCCACATCCTCATCAACACATTATGATCTGTCTTTTTGATATGTAGCTGTCTTTTGATGCATCCTAGTGGGTGTGAAGTGGTGTCTCATTGTAGGTTTCATTTGCATTTCCCTGAGAGCTAATGGCAAACATAGTTTTGCCTTGTTACTTCATCTGCAGCAGTGTCAGTAAAAGACAGTGTGTTAGGTTTGGAGGGAACTTGGATGTCACTGCTCCAACTTTGTCATTTTCTAGATGGGAAAACGAAGGCTCAGAGCAGACCAGGGGCTTGCCCACATTCACGCAATCAGTCAGGGGAAACCCTGGGGGTAGGGCTCAGGTTTTCTGACCCTTAGACTGTGACTTCTTTCTCTGTCATCTGGATCAGAGGACAGGTGCTATGCCCCTCCAGTGCTGTCCCCACCCTTCTTCACCCTGCACTACGCCCAGAGAGGCTGGGGCATACCAGCTACATCAATGCATCCCTTGCCCTCTAGTTTCTTTCTTTCTTTCTTTCTTTTTTTTTTTTTTGAGATGGAGTCTCACTCTCTCTCCTGGGCTGGAGTGCAGTGGTGTGATCTCAACTCACTGCAACCTCCATCTCCCAGGTTCAAGTGATTCACCTGCCTCAGCTTCCCGAGTAATTGGGACTACAGGTGCGCACCACCATGCCCAGTTACTTTTTGTATTTTTAGTAGAGATGGGGTTTCACCATGTTGGCCAGGCTGGTCTCGAACTCCTGACCTCAGATGATCCACCCACCTGGGCCTCCCAAAGTGCTGGGATTACAGGTGTGAGCCACCGTGCCTGGCCCTGGTTTCTTTCTTTTTTTTTTTTTTCTTTTTCTTTTCCTTTTTTTTGAGGCGGAGTCTCGCTCTGTTGCCCAGGCTGGAGTGCAGTGGCACCATCTCAGCTCACTGCAACCTCCACCTGCCAAGCTCAGCACCAGCACACCCTGCTAATTTTTGTATTTTTTGTAGAGACAGAGTTTCACCATGTTGCCCAGGCTGGACTTGAACTCTTGGCCTCCCAAAGCGCTGGGATTACAGGAATGAACCACGGCACCCGGCCGCCCTCTAGTTTCTTATGGGGTTCAGCCAGTGGAAGGCACCAGCTAGAGACTGGCATGCAGGAAGTGCTGAGGCTGTGTGACCTGGTTCCCTTGAGGGTGGACCAAAGAGTGAAGACAGGCTGGGAGGGAGACTTGGTCAGGTGAGCAGCCAGCCAGCAGGAGCCTCTTTCAGAGGAAGATGTGGGTTTATTTATCTCTCTTGCTCTCTCTTATGCAGAAAGCTCTTCACTGCTGCTCAGCCCTGGAGAGGGGGAGGAGGGGCAAAGCTCCCCCGAACCCCACACCCCCTCGCAAGTGATTGCTAATATTTATCATGTGTTTGCCAAGTGCCAGGACAATAGCAAACACCTCAAAGGCATTAGCTCATTTTATATTTGCAGGAACCCTAGGAGGCAAGTCCAGTTTCCAGATGAGGACGTTCAGGTGTGGAAGGAGTAGCTGTCAAGGTCACGCAGCAATGCAGGTGCAGTCGGTGGCAGGACCAGACATAGAAACTCCTGTTTTGGCACAATCCAGACTCCATTCTTCACCCCGCCCCCAACCCTGCATTCTGCTGCAGCGCCAGGCTGTGCCACCGAGAGGTCACCATCTGTAGCACCCACCTGGCTGCCTCGAGGTCTAGAGTCCTGGGACTGTGACGGGACCAGGTACCAGCTGGGAGGCAGGCCATCCATAAAGGCCTAATGGGAGCTGAGCAGGCCTCACTGGGCATGGAAAACAGCCCTCCCTACTGCGTCACGGGTCACTGTTGCACCTGGGGAGGGAGGAAATCCAGGTGTGTTATACTCGCGGCACATCTCAATGCAGACTCATCACGTTTCAAGCGTTCAATAGCCACGTGTGCTTAGTGGCTACCATGTTAGTGCATTTTGAAATGAAATTTCATAATAAATTTTTAATAATAAAGGCTCAGGAAAAGCAGGTAACCTTCCCAAGGTCACATAACTGGAAATGGCAGCATTGAGGTGTGAACCTTGCCTGTCTGACACCAGACCTGGGCATTGCCCACTACCCCACACAACGAGGGGCCTCAGGGTGCAGATCTGGGTGTGGTTTGGAACATCGCATCCTGCACTGCCTGGCCAGAGGGGCTGCCTGCTGACTTCCAGCTCAGCCTCCCGGTTATGAAGATAGCACTCAGCGGGTACGGGGTGGGGTAGGGAGGCAGAAAGATGCAGTCTGTATGTCCTGCAGGGAGGACTTGCACCCAAAAAGCCAAGGGATCCCTAGCGGTTGAGGCTGTAACCCAGAGACAATCAGTCATTTTCTGCCACTCATTCCTGTCTCAGCAAAGCCCACCTGGTTGCAGGGCCCAGCCCTCCCCGGGAAAGCCAGGAGCATGCTGTTTCCAAACTCCCAATATTTGCCGTCCTTGCAAACCAATAAGGCCGCAGCTCGCAAAGAATGCTGATGGAATCAGTGGCATCTGAAGGTGACTTTGAAAAAGAACAGGAGTACTGCTGAAACAGCTCACTCAATGACAGGGACATCAATGAGAGAACTAGAGAGGGATCAATACCCTGAAGGTGAACCGTTTGCAAACTGGAACCACTATTGAGCAACTGACAAGCCAGCCTCAGAAGTGGGCAACCACAGGAACATAAAGGGAGGTGCTTACAAGCCCCCAAACCCATCTTTTTTTTCAAGCAGAGAATTCTGCTTATGCACGTGTGATGGAAGTCTCTTTACCAAATCATGAGTCTCTTTGATTTTCAGAGCTTCAAAAGAGATCCTGGATTCCTTTGACCTGAGTATCATTTCACATACCACTTCAGGTCTCAATAAATAAGAAATGGTTTCAGTTCTGAAGGGCCTGCTTTACCACATAGTGCAAGGGTCTGGAACCAGAGCCAGGACTGGGAAATTGAGAGATCTGGATTCAAGTCTTGGTTCTGCCATTAACCAACTGGGAGCTCTCAGATACCACATTTACCTAGTCTGAGCTGCAGTTTCCCCTTCTATAAAGTGGGTCCAGATGACATGTGGTGTCCAAGGTGTGCCCATTCCTTGGTGACAAGGGGGAATAAGGATTGCTGGGAGAATTCGAAGAAAAATATCTCGCATATAGAAGGAGCTTAATAAGTGATTGTAAATTGAATGAAGGTAACAGGTAAATTCTAGATCCCTCTGGGCTCCATTTACCATTTTTTGTGTTGTCACTCCCACCCACCTCCTCTGCCCCATCTCTCACTTTCCCTCCCTGGTACTTGAAGCTCCCAGCATTATCTCCCTGTTTGTATCTTCCTGCGCATGCTGCTTTTCATGTCTTTGCATATGCCGTTTCTCCTGCCTCAAATTCCCTTCCATCCTGCACTGGCTTGCCTAACCCTTATTCATTCTTTAAAACCCAAGGTAGGTGTCATTTACTCCTGACCTCCCTTCCTGCACATTATGAGTGAGTTTCCATTCCCAAACAGCATTGATCTCTTCTTCTCTGGGGCTGCCTCAGCACTGTGGAGACTTTTTTCCCTTTGTGTACAGAATTGTACTGTAATTGATTTTTATCCCCACTGAACTGGGACTCCCCAAGGGCAGGGACTCCTTGTTCCTCATTGTGGCCCCAGCCTGGGACCATGCTCAGGAAGATGGGTATGGTTCTAACATGCCTCACAGCACCTTATTCCTCTGAGAAGGCCCGAGGATGTGCCGGACATCCTATCTGGGGGGGCTTTGGTCCCCTGAAGAATCCAGGCTGTCCTATATCCGGGAGATCCCTTCCCCAAACACTCCCCAGAGATACGTTCTCCCTGCAACTAAACACGAGGCTGGCTCTACGGGGGCTGGGCGCTGGCGAGAGCCTGGTGAGGAGCCCTCTTTACAGCCAGGACACACCAAGCCCTCCCTTCCTCTTCTTCCTCCATTGCTGCCATTATCCATTAAAGCAGCACTGCCCCAGAGGACCAGGAGAGCCGGAGGAGTAGACAGATTATAGGGAGTTCTCCTCCACCCATTCCCTCTCCTCCCCTCTAGCTCTCTTTCTCCTTTAAAAAAAACATTTGTGGGCAGCTTACCATGGGATCCACATTACTTATCACAGCTGCTTGGGATACAGAAACCAACATCACAGCCCCTGCCTTGGGAGAGCTCATGGGCTAGTGGGAGGAAGCACAGAAGGAAACGCATGGTTGCAAGGGACGGCAGGAAATGCAATGCTGAGGTCCACCAGGTGCCAGCATGCAATGAGAGAGCAAGGGGCAGGGCGAGGGCAGACACTGTGCAGATGGTGCCCTGTCCCGGCCCTCGCTGAACAGGGGAGGGAGCTTGAAGAACAGCCTGCACCCTTGGTGGGCTGCCTCTGCCGCGCCTCTTCTCTGGGTGTCTCCTGAACCTTGCAAAAGCACAGTGGTGGGCAGTGGTGGCCCTAGGGTCAGGGCTGTTTGGAAAAGAGTCGGAGAAAATTTAGAAGAGGAGAACCTTGGTTTTTTTTGTTGTTTTTTTTTGAGATGGAGTCTCGCTCTGTCGCCCAGGCTGGAGTGCAGTGGCGCCATCTCAGCTCACTGCAAGCTCCGCCTCCCAGGTTCACGCCGTTCTCCTGCCTCAGCCTCCCAAGTAGCTGGGACTACAGGCGCCCACCACCATGCCTGGCTAATTTTTTGTAATTTTAGTAGAGACGGGGTTTCACTGTGTTAGCCAGGATGATCTCGATCTCCTGACCTCATGATCCACCCGCCTCGGCCTCCCAAAGTGCTGGGATTACAGGCATGAGCCACCGCGCCCGGCCGAGAACCTTGGTCTTAAAGGATGAGTGGACCCTTGTCAGTAACAAAGAGTGGGACATTCCAGGTAGAGGGAAGAGCATGATGCAGGGAGGGAGGAGGGCGGAAGAGGGGCTGGTGAACAGGGGGACTGCCAGAGAAAGTGGAGCGGCGGGCAAGGACCAGGACTGGGGGCCTGATGCCACGCCCAGGGGTTTAATTATCCTGGGCAGGTGAAAAGCCATGGAAGGGGTGCATATGCGGGAGTGACATCATCTGCCTCTCCTTCCACTTATGTCTCCCAGAACCTCTAGGCTCTCTGTAGGTAGAGCCACAAACACTACTCACGTGCCATGTGTTGAGTTTCTCAGCCTCCTCAGGATTAGCCCGAGCAGCACTTCACTCTCCTGAAGCAGCCACGTCCTCGCACAGCTTTTCTCGCTGGGAACCCATCAATGCAGCTCTGCAGTGCACTGAGTCTGAACCCCACTGCCAGGAGTGACAGTCAAAATACCTCACCTCCCACCCAACGTGGCAGAGTCCCAGCAGCAGCAGAGCTGGAGGCCCCCACCCACCACCCCCAGGGCTGGGCCAGGCATTGACCCTTTCATTGCTAGATCAGGGTGTGGAGAGTTTATAGGGTTCCAGGAAAGAATGGGAGCGACAGGAGGGCATGCACGATGCTTGAGGACAGCAGCTCTTTACTCATGGGAGCACCTATTTCAGTATGTTCACAACCCACACACCTGTCCAGGGCACACACCGTCCACATCGGCCCTTAGGTAAAGACCTGGAAGAGATGCTTCCTGAAGTTCCTTCCAGCAATGACAGGGAGGCCCCTAATCCAAGTGACGGAGGGCTCAAAGTGAGACTAAACAAGACTTTGAACTGGAAGGCACTTTTGTTGGTCAGTTACTGTAGCGCAGTTACTTCTACGCTAACCAAGAGAATGACTCTGTACTTGAAACTCTGGCCAGCGATGAACTCACTTTCGAAGAACTCTGGAGTACACAGTGGTTTTCCTGCCTATGCTTTTTCACAAAAGCTGTCAGGAGCCTAGAATTCCGCACCAGGAAATACAGACAAATATTTGCTATCATCAGAAACCTGTAAAACCGGTCACCAAGTGAAGAGCATGTGTGAACAGGGTCTCTGATGAGACATTGGTCCCTGCAAGGCCTGCTGGATACTCACTTTTCAATCATCATCAGTTGGCCACACTGGAATCCAGGCAGCCACGCACATACAGCATGCACTGATGGCAGGCAGCCCCAAGCGGTGTCTCACTTACTTGAAACGAGGAATTAGGCCTGGCAGGTGACTAAGTTGGAATTTCTGAGGTTAATGATCTAGATTAAATAATTTGTGCTACAAAAGATGCTTGAAATTAATATTTGTTGAATATCTACTATGCATTCAACACTCTGTTAGGTGCTGGGAGAAACACAGTCTCTGCCTTCAAGTTGGGGAACTACCATGGCACATGGTGAACAATAAATTGCTTTTCAACAACACTGAAAAATGTAAAGGACCCTAAAAATATACGGTGATATAAAATCTCAAGCCTCACAACCAAAGTAACTTCCAAATAGATGTTTATCTTCATGAGCAATTTCTAAACGCACCTTGAAGCTTTTTCCATCAACAAATATTTGACTCTCCTACCAATCAGTCAATTGGGTACGTGCCCAGCCCTGTGGATTGTTGCCTACAAAGCCAATGATTTTAAACTACACACTGCGAAGAAGAAACACACATGGGTTCTCTCTTGGGTAGGGAGAGCCTAGCCCTGTGGGAACAGTCCGGGCTAGAGCCGTTTCCTCTTGTGTGGGTTTCCAAGATGCCTCCAATCCACGCACCTTCACTCTAGCACCTGTGTCTCTTCTCAATCAACAGACTTCACGTTGGCCCACTCTGTGTTTCAAATACAGATGTCAGCCCTGCACCTAATCACAGCCCAGCAGCCCCCTCAGAACTCAGTGGTGTCCCTCAGCCTGGCCTCCCACAGGGAAAGTCCCATTATCTGAGGCTCTAGACAAGATTCTGTACCCAGAACACAGCTTTCAAGAGGGCACCCAAAGGGGAGCTCCGCGTGGCAAGGAAGGCTCTGAGGCTCAGAGAGGGGGGCAGAGGAGCTTCAGGGATGGGTCTATGGCCTGAGAGAGGAGAGAGGAGAGGGTCTCACCCCTTCTCTACCTCCGGTGCGCCCAGATTCAGAGGAGATTTGGGCAATCACGGGGGTAGAAAAGGAAACCGCACAGCTGCTAAGGAAGACTAGGCAGGGTGATCTGGGACCAGAGTAAGTTGGGAGAAGTGAGAAAGGAAGAGAATGAGGCTGGCGGAAATGTCACGCTCCAGAAAAGCTGAGGCTGAGTCTACAGGGACAGGGGAGGCCCCGCAGGGAGGGTGGGACACTCTCTTCAGAACAACCAGGAATGGACAGTTCCATCTCCCTCTCAAGAACAACTGCACGCCGGGCACAGTGGCTCACGCCTGCAATCCCAGCACTTTGGGAGGCCGAGGCGGGCGGATCACGAGGTCAGGAGATCGAGACCATCCTGGCTAACATGGTGAAACCTCGTCTCTACTGAAAATACAAAAAAATTAGCCGGGCGCAGTGGCTCACTCCTGCAATCCCAGCACTTTGGGAGGCAGAAGCGGGCGGATCACGAGGTCAGGAGATTGAGACCATCCTGGCTAACACAGTGAAACGCCGTCTCTACTAAAAATATGAAAAATTAGTCGGGCATGGTGGCAGTTGCCTGTAATCCCAGCTACTCAGGAGCCTGAGGAAAGAGAATGGCATGAACCCGGGAGGCGGAGCTTGCAGTGAGCGGAGATCGCACCACTGCACTCCAGCCTGGGGGACAGAGTGAGACTCCATCTCAAAAAAAAAAAAAAAAAAAAAAAAAAGAACAACTGCAAAGCGCAGGGCGTCAGGGCTGAATGAGTCTTTGGAGATAATGATGATGATCAGTGTTATCATAACAGACAGCAGCAACCACTATGAACTGAGCACTCACTGTGGGTCACACGCTGCACAGGGCTTTACACAAAGCATCTCATTTAATCCTCACAGCAACCGCTGTGCTAAAGAGGAAACAGAGATGCAAAGAAGTTAAGCCGCTCTCCCAGGGTCACCGAGTTCGTGGCTGACTGGACTGGAACCCAGGTCTTCTGATCACTTCAGATCCTGTGTTTAGTCAGCTGTCTTTTGAATGCAAGCTTCAGATAATTTTTCTTAGCACAGGATCTGTTCTGAATTGTCATTGCTCATTTTATGACCATAAACTACTTTTGTAAATGATTTCTCTTTTATAAAATGGATTAGAGCATGCAATGGTCAAATTTGCCCTAAAGTCCTCTCACACATCTTACGGGAATGATATGGGAGGATGTCCTTCACCATCTAAATAGGCTGTAATTTTGAAATATTTATGAATTGATAGGATCAGAGGATTATGTAAAACTCCTGTACGATCATAATCGCCTCTCTGTCTCACACAAGAATGGGTGTGGGGGTTAACATTGTGAAAATAAAATAGAAAAAGACGGCTCAGGCTGAGTGCAGTGGCTCACGTCTGTAATCCCAGCATTTTGGGAGGCCAAGGCGGGCAGATCACTTGAGGCCAGGAGTTCAAAACCAGTCTGGCCAAGATGTCGAAATCCTGTCTCTACTAAAAATACAAAAATTAGCTGGGCATGGTGGCACGTGCCTGTAGTCCCAGCTACTCAGGAGGCTGAGGCAGGAGAATTGCTTGAACCCAGGAGGCGGAGGTGGCAGTGAGCCCAGATCACGCCACTGCACTCCAGCCTGGGCAACAGAGTGAGACTCTGTCTCAAAAACATAAAAAAAAATAAAAATAAAAAGATGCCTTGGAGTGACCTTGGATGCCTCTTGACTTCCGCATCTAATCAATATCTCTGCAATCTCTCTCACCACCCTCCTGCACACCCCCCCACCCCACTGCCACTGTCATCATCACCTCTGAAGTTCTCTGCAGCCGCCTCCTACCCCAAATCCTCCAACCTATCCTTTACAATGTAGCTAGGGGGACTTTTCTTAAAAATCCCATCAGGTGCCCCTCGGGCTTAAAAGCATTGATGATAGAGACAGAAAGTAGGATGGTGGCAGTTGCCAGGAACTAGGGGGAGGGTAGCATCGGAGGTTAGTGTTAAATGGGTGCAGTTTCAGTTTTACAAGATGAAAGAGTTCTGGAGATGGATGGTGGTGCTGGCTGCACAGCATTTTGAATGCATTTAGTGCCACTGGACTGTACACTTAAAAAGGGTTTACATGGTAAATTTTATGTTATGTATGTTATCACAATAAAAAATCAATTTAAAAAGTATCTGATAATTTCTAATGGTCTCAGGATACAATGTCTTTTCCTCAGGGAGATACTCAAGGGTCCGAAGAATGTGGTTTCAGGCCAGGCGCAGTGACTCATACCTGTAATCCCAGCACTTTTGGAGGCTGAGGAAGGAGAATCGCTTGAGGCCAGGAGCTTGAGACCAGCCTGGGCAACATAGCAAGACCTCTGTCTCTACAAAAATAAGAAAATAAAACAAAATGTAAAACTCAATGGGTTAAAAAAAAACTCAGAAGGTTTTAAAGATTGGGGTAAAAGGAATGTGGTCCCAATCTTTTGTTTTGTTTTGTTTGAGACGGAGTCTCGCTCTTCGCCCAGGTTGGAGTGCAGTGGCGTGATCTCAGCTCACTGCAACCTCCGCCTCCCAAGTTCAAGTGATTCTCCTGCCTCAGCCTTCCAAGTAGCTGGGATTACAGGCACCCACGACCACGCCCGGCTAATTCTTGTATTTTTAGTAGAGATGGGGGTTTCACCATCTTGGCCAGGCTGGTCTCGAACTCCTGACGTCGTGATCCACCCACCTCGGCCTCCCAAAGTGCTGGGATTACAAGCGTGAGCCACCGTGCCCAGCCGTGTGGTCCCAATCTTCAGCAACAACCTCACCTCCCACCTCCTTGCCTGCTGCCCACATGCACACCATATCCCAACAAATCTGTTCCAAAATCGCCACGCCTTCTCATGACTCCTTGCCCTGTACATGCTGTTCCTTCTCTCTGGGATGCACCTCTCCCTCTACCAATGGCTGGGAACATCTTAAGACCCATTTAAATAAGTCATCTCCTCTGCAAAGCCTTCACACCTCCACACACTTGGCACCCGATGTGACCTTCTTCTCAAAGGCACAGGCCATGTCTTTGTCCCCTAGGTCTCCCCAAGGCCTAGCAGACACTCAGTGAATGTTTATTAACTGTTTAATGAATACGAGTTTTGTCCTCATCCTGGGGGAGCTTGACAAGACCTACATAAATGAAGTAATTCATTTCTAAAAAGTGTGATGCAATCTAGAGGTAGAATCGCAACTTCAACAAGAGAGAGATCTTTGTGGGTCACGGAGGAGGGCAAGTCTGGGGAGGGAAAAGCCTTCCAGGTAGGGACATCAATGACAGCAAAGCTCCCCCAACCTTTTCCAGAGAGAGAAAGATGAGATCCAGGCTAAGGCTTTTCCCAGGCTCCAGCTTTTGCACACTGTCCATGCATGGCTTTTGCTTTTTTTTTTCTGCCACGTAGACTGGAAACCCAAGTATAACTGCAGGGGATGTGCTATTTTCAGGCTGCCCAGCCTCTGAAGCCCCTTCCTTTGTTGGAAGAATTCCCCGCTTTATGAACCTTAGTGGGAAGTGGAGCCCACTTTTCACTTTGAAAGGTGTACATTCCAGATACTTACTCCCCCTAGCTTATCTTGAACCTTGGCGTGGCACGTGACTCGGACCTGGCCAGACACCACAGCCAGGATTTTGAATCTGGAGTGAATGACCCAAAGCAGCAGGGACTGTGGAGAATTCCTTTGTGGGGCAGCAGCAAGGCTTAGTGTCATGGATTTCAAATGAGAGTAGAGGGTCCTGGACCGTGTCGGCGTCCAGGTTCCAGGACCTGGTGCCACGGAGTCAGTGCAGCATGGTCTGATGTCTGCTGTTCAGTGGCAGAAGCAACAGGGATCTCCCTGGGAGAGGTCTGCAGGGTGATTTTGGCCATTGGTTCTAGCTGCACACCCTCCCAGCGCCTGCTCATTCGATAAGCCTGCTTCACCAGCCTTCCTCACAATCAGTAAGAAGTAATAGTCTTATATTCAAATCCACTAGAGTTGGTTTCTTTCGCTTGCAAATAAGGACTCTGATATAGTAATTAATACAGACCAAGCAAGGCCCCTGGAATTCAGGAAAGGGAAGGAAAATATGCATTTTCTGAGCATCTACTAGGTGCTTACTAGTGTTCTACAAAATTCAGCTAATGTTCCTAGATGTGCTTTTTTCCTGGATGCTTTGAGGATCTTGGAGTGATAATTTCATCTGTGCTGCCCAGACCTCTGAGAGTGCAGGGGCTGTCAGAGCCCTGCTTCATCAGCATCATTTCCAGGCCGAGGTTTCAGCATCAGCCTCCAGATCCCAGCCCTGGCAGGGACAGCTTATATGGCAGCTACAACTGTCCAGCAAAGACCCAAGACTGCCTGCTTTGGCCTGGTGAGCTAAATCCTCATTTCACTAACTTCTTGCGTTTTTTATTTTAATCTCTCTCATTTGGTCTCATGTCCTAAATCTCTTGGCTCAAGAAGCGACAAGTTGCTACCTTTTGTCCTCTATTTCAGGAAGTTTGTGTGACGGTTGTAGCAGCTGGATTCCGTCTGAACACATTCCAGCAATTTGTCTGCTGCAGGATCCTTCAGAGTGAGGCTGGCCACATCAGTCTGGTCAGCTGCATCTCTGAGTTTCAGAACCAGGATCAGGGAGTGTGGCTGGGATCGTTTGCATCAATTATAGCAATTGCTGTCCCTAGGCAGAGAGCATCTCATATTAATAGCTGAGTGGGTTGGCAAAACTCCTTTTTTTTCCAGAGGTGACTTTTGATATAACAAACTTTTATGTATTTTGTCTAGATGAATGAGGGCCCCAAATATCTTACCTGGGTTTTCCCTGGTTTAAGGAAATCCAGAAGAGAAATCATCCAAATAAATCAGCGTGATTGATCACATTCAAAAGGGTTCTTTTCTCTCTCTGCAAAAGGTTTCTTCACTGGGTTCTCTTAACTGTCAGGCCTTCTGGTGCAGTTGAGAATTTGTTTACAGAACTGGACATGACTAAGGGGAAGGAGGGCGGTCAGGGGCTGCCTGGATCTTCCAGCCCCTCCCAGCTAGAGTCACGGGTGCCTCCAGCTGTGTGCTGGAGCCTGGCCAGAGCCTGAAGCTGTCCTGACCAGCAGCCTCAGCTCTGTCCTTTGGGCACTGTGCACTGGCCTATGGACTCCTCCTTCCATCCTTTGTGAATTCGTGCATTTGGCCATTGCTTTCTTGGCACCCAGCGTATCTGCCAAGCACTCTGCTAGGCACTGGGGCTACACAGGCAAATCACATGGACGTAGCACGCCCTCTCTGAGATACCTTCAGCTATTGGACAAGTGGACCAGGGGAAGCAACATCAAGTAACTACCTGCTTGGGGAATCCAGGATGGGGGAGCTCACCTAGCTGAGAGGGGCTCAGAGCCCTAGAACACCCCATGGAGAAAGTGCCATTTCCTTGAAGACCTGAGAGATGAGCAGGTAGCCAGGGGAAGATGGCAGCAGAGCAAAGCCCAGAAGAGGCTGAAGCAGAGAGAAGGAATGGAGCCAGGAGAGAAGACAGGAGAGGAGTGGGGGAGCTCCTCACCAGCCTTCCTCCGTGGAGCTTCCTAACAACCCTGCGGGGTAGGACTCTTACTACCATCATCCCCATTTTATAAATGGGGAAACTGAGGCACAGAGCGGCCAGCTGACCTGCCCAAAGTCACATATCTTGTGAGTAGTGCAGCCATGATTTGAACCCAGGTCATCTGGCTCCTGAGTCCAACCACCATGCTGAGCTGCAGCTGAGTAACGGTGAAGGGTTTTAAGTCACAAAGCAAAATGAAGGTCACACTTGCACTTTTCACAGAGCTGCTCCTGCTGAAGGGGTTGAGGGTAGCACAGTGAGTCTCCCAGCATGGCCTGTGCTTTTAAAGTGCCCATGTGCTTGGTGCTGAGCTGGTTAGGGCAGGAGGGGGAGAGGCAGAAGAGTCCTCTGCACCATGGCTGCCTAGCTCTCCTGGCTGGTCACATTCCGACATTGTATCCAGATCCACCTTTTCGGGAGTCAGCCCTGTCCAAAAGCAATTCCAGCACAAACAGAAACACCTGTGCCTTCCTCCCCTTTCCCAGGGGCCCCTCCACTGGGCAGCAGGAAGGATGGAAACACAGACTGGCATGACCTCAGTTGCTGTCCCCACAGGGGTCCCTTTCACTCCATAGCCTTCTGGTGCCTGAGCCCACACTCATGTTTCCCTTCTCTCAACTCCCATAGCACTTATTGTGAGAAGCACACAATCAACTCCTGTGTGCATTGTTCTCTAGCTGTTTTGTGGTCATTCATCTCTTCAACTATCTCGAATTGTCTGGAGATGAGTCATAATTAGGGAGATGATTATGTACCAAAACTTAAAAAAATCCCAACTCTCATATATGTCCAGAGAGACAGAGAGAGAAGGTATATGTCTACATATAATATGAAGCAAAAAATATGAAATATAATGACCATTTTTTTTGTGATGATTAAGGCTAATTGCTGCGTACCTAGGGCCTGCCTGGGATATATGGGCCATGTACCCCGATGCTAACTGGCCCTGGCCTCTCCAGGTTTTTCATGAGCTCTTTATGGGTTTGTTGTCTCTGCCTTGTCCACTGATTGCCTTGCATAGACCATAGATATGGGCTCCTCAAAGCCCTAGCTGTTACTCTACTCAAAATCATCTGCGGAAATGTGGAGTAGATTTCAGATGAAGTGTCGGGACTAATTCTGCTCCCACCTTCTAAGTAACCACTTCTAGACTGCTGTGGACCAGGAAACCTGGTAACTGAACATCTTGCAACTGAAGAGAAAGGGGATCTTCCCTGCCTTTGCTGACCTCCAGGTTAGGCACCCACCTCTGTGCTCTCGGTCAAGCTCCTTCTAAGCACAGACTGTATCTTAATCATGCTGGAAACCCCAGCCCTTAGGACAGCATCTGGCACGTTGAAGATCTTTAAATATTTTGTGGAATGAATTAGCAGGAAATTGAGTCTGAGTGAGGGCCTGGAGAACACTCCTCTACGTCTTGCATGTGTGAGCATCAGTGTGTGATCTTGCGACAGCTTTCTGATGGCTCAGGGACCTTCTGTTCTGGCTTGAAGGTTCTGGGTGTATTCTTCCGAGCAGATGCAATCCTGTATCTACGGAACATCTGCTGAAGACACAGCTCTGCCTTGCGTGCTTTCCTTCTGTGACTTTACTATTCTAGTGACTCTGCATATGGTTGGGCACATACTAAGCACACAATGCCAATGGTCAGCATTATTGGAAATGCGTCCTGAATGGTCTGGATCCACTCTCCAAACAAGCCTTCACTGAATGCCTTCCGTGGCCCAGTAAAGTCACCAGGGACATGGAGGTCAGATGTAACTTCTCCCACTGGGAGGTAGCAGTCTGATGGTGGCAGTGGGAGAGGAGGGGAACCATGTAGACAATTAAAGGGAACAGACAAGGGACAAGAAGGCACCTCTTTCGCTGCTGGATGTGTCGAGCGTAAAAACAGAGCCTTCCGTATGAAAATAAAATCAGTTGCTGACTCAGGGGTAGATACATATTCATCCACCCACCAACCTCAAATAACTAAACATTGTTCCCAGGCCAGCAAACACTGGAGCTTCTGTCTTCCATTGCAGGTAGCACAGATTCTTGTTTGTTGTAGTAGAAGATAAAAATCAGACAGACCTGTTTTTAAGTCTTTACTCTAAAGTTTACCAATTGGGATAGGTAATTGAACCTCTCTGAGCATCAGTTTAGTCAGCCAGTGGGAACTATAATACCTAAGTTTACCCAGCTGTTGAGCGTTCACCGAATACAAGATAACAAACAAACAATCAAACAAACAAACCCTTACCCTCAAGAGGCTCATGGTCTGGTAAGGGAGAGAAGAGAGACTGATATGTTGCAGACATACATTAAAAGCTATTAAAAGATATCCATATCTGGCCAGGCGTGGTGGCTAACGCCTGTATTCCCAGCCACTTTGGGAAGTCAAGGTGGGCAGATCACCTGAGGTCAGGGGTTCAAGACCAGCCTGACCAACATGGTGAAACCCCATCTCTACCAAAAATACAAAAATTAGCCAGGCGTGGTGGCATGTGCCTGTAGTCCCAGCTACTTAGGAGGCTGAGGCAGAAGAATTGCTTGAACCCGGGAAGTAAAGGTTGCAGTGAGCCGAGATGATGCCACTGCACTCCAGCCTGGGCAACAGAGTGAGGCTCCATTTAAAAAAAAAAAAAAAAGATATCTATATCATTTGTTGGGTAAAAAAAAAAAAGGTTACTAAATGCATTCAACAGAATACACACATGTATTTATATGTATGTGTACGTGTGTAGAGAGAGAGATTTATTATAAGGAATCTGCTCACACAGTTATGGATGCTGGCAAGTTCAAAACCTGCAGGCCAGCAGGCTGTAGACCCAGGAGAGCTCACGTTCCCTCTCTAGTTCTAAAGGCATCTATGGGGGACCCAGGAAGGGCCGGCGCTTCGGATGGAGTCTGAAGGCAGTCTGCTGGAGAATTCCCTCTTGCTCAAATAAGGATGCTCTTTGTGTGTTCTTTTCAGGTTTCTGATTTGATGAGGCCCACCCACATTAGGGAGTGCAAACTGCTTATTCAAAGTCTACCGATTTAGGCCAGGCACAGTGGCCCATGCCTGTAATCCTAGCACTTTGGGAGGCCGAGGCAGGTGGATCACTTGAGGTCAGGAGTTCAAGACCAGCCTGGCCAACGTGATGAAACCCTGTCTCTACTAAAAATACAAAAATTATCCAGGTGTGGTGGTTCACGCCTATAATTCCAGCCACTCGGGAGGCTGAGGCAGGAGAATCGCTTGAACCAGGGAGGTGGAGGCTGCAGTGAGCCAAGATCACACCACTGCACTCCAGCCTGGGTGACAGAGCGAGACTCTGTCTCAAAAAACAAAACCAAAAAAAACACCACCAACAACAAAGCCCACCGATTTAAATGTTACACCCTCAAAGAAACACCCAGAATAGTGTTTGACTAAGTATCTGGGCATTGTGACCCACCAAGTTGACACATGCAACTAACCATCACCCTGAACAAAGTGAATCAAGTTTCAAACTAAGGAATATGTAGAAAAACTTTCTTGACCAGGCTCCCTTGATTTCCCTGCCTGTGTGTGACTCTACGAAACCTCATTTAGCACCCACAGGCCAGAGTTGGGGGGCAACTTTCTCTGCCCACTGCACAGAAGCACCAATAATAATTATATGAAGAGTTTGGGTGAAAAGTCCCACTCAGATGTTTGCTTGTCACTAAACTAGCTGCCATATGGCAGGAAAGGAAGAAGTTTCTGGTGATCCACTGGTCTGAGCAAATAAATCACTGAAACGATTTATGAGAGTGAGCTTAACCTGAAGGACTCATTCATTCTGAAATGTACATGGAATGTAGCCATTCTGTAGACCATTAACTGCACTAATTACAACAATGATTCAAGAGATAAGCTTTCACTAAACATTTAATAAAGTTCTAAGGCTCCTTGCAGCAGGATAGCATCCTGCCAGCGCCGTACCCCACCTCCAAGCAGAGGGAAAGAAGGAAAGAAGAAAACACTACTTATGGAACACTTGCTATATGCTCAGCATTTCCCTATGTGACAGCTCATCTAATCTCCAAACAACTCTTTGATGTAGCGATGATGATGATGATTTTTGAGACAGGGTCTCACTCTGTTGCCTAGGCTGGAGTGCAGTGGTGCAATCATGGCTCATGCCAGCCTCGACCTTCTGGCCTCAGGCGATCCTCCCATGTTCAGCCTCCCGGGTAGCTGGGACTACACGCATACGCCATCACACCCAGCTAATTTTTATGTTTTTTGTAGAGACAGGTTTTTGACATGTTGCCTACACTGGTCTGGAACTCTTGGGCTCAAGCAATCCACCCACCCCGACCTCCCAAAGTGTTGGGATTACAGACATGAGCCACTGTGCCCAGCTGGGATTATTTTTATAGATTACAGGTAGAGAGAATTGAGTTTCAGAGAAGATCAAGGTATCCAAGGTCAAATCACATATAAATAGCAGGGCTGAATTTAGGGTCTTCTGGCTCCATGTTAATGTGCTCCTTTTTGTTCCAGGAGCTTCTTCATACCAGGTAACTTAGAAAAAATAATAAGAACTTCATAAATAAAGTAATAATTTCTCAGTACTCCCTTTGCTAGCTGTCTGTTCCTTGCACTTCTTCCCAGTATGTTGGATGTGATGCTTAACAGGTTTCACATTTATTAGGGTGAAGCTCCTAGAAGACAGAGGCTGGTCTGATCCATCCTAGGATCTCTACAGCATCTAGCAGAGATCTGGGGAGACTTGGTGAGGCAGCCTCAGCAGTGGTTAAAAAGATGGGCTTTGGCACCCAAACTGCATGGGGTCCATATCCAAGGTTCTGCCGCTCTCTAGCTGTGTGGCCCTGTACGTCATGCTTGACCACCCTGTGCCTTAATTTCCTTGTCTGTGAAATAGAGATAGTGAGTATAATAACACCTACTTTGTAGTTGCATTAAGCAGATTGGATAAGTTAATTCTTGCAAAAGACTTAAAATAGTGCTTGACATATGCAATCACTCAACACAGGTTAGCTCTTTCTGTGTCCAGGGACTTCAAGTTCCCAGAGCCTTGTTTCTCTCCAACCCGAGTTCTTTCAGGCACAGAAGCCTTTAGCTATGTAGAGGGTCCTCTGAATCTTCCTAAAATGCAATTTTATACTGTGTTATTGGTTGGAAGCAGTTTTTACCCATGATTCCAGATGATTGCAACTAGATGAGTTGGTGTTCAATAAATATTTGATTGAATGAAAGCAGAAATTTCAGAGACTAAGGTACAGAAAGCAGCAAAAACTTGCCCAAGGTCACTGGGGGAGACCACAGCACAGCCTAGACTTTCTGACAAAGAATTTAGTGTGCTTGCTCCTTCTGGTAGTCCCTCTCTACCACAGAGGTTCCATCCCCTGACAATTTCCTCTCCTGGGTCTCTATCCCCCATCCACCTCCACTGGCTTCTCCCCTTGCCCGGGTTGCCTCTAATTTTGGTGAGCTTGAAATTCACTGGTCATACAGAAGGCATTTTATCTGACCTTCCACATGCAAATTCTTTCCATTGGGATTTCTCGGTGTCCAGCTCCACCCCAGCCCACAGGGCCATAAACACTCATGTGTCTGTAGCGGGGCCCCAGGGATTCCAGAAATAACAGCAGGGCCCTCCATTAGAAGGCTGGAACATAGTAAGGCATTTCTGCATTAAGACACAGGCCCTTTCCAATCCAGGCCGCTCCTGTCTGTCAAAGCACAAAGCAACCTTCACAAGTCAGGACAGGGAGGGGCAGTCAAGAGGGAGTCTGAATTTCTGGAAAGTCGGCACCTTCTCCTCCCATCTGTCTGCACTCTCAAATCTCCCATTCTAGAGATTCTCCGGATTTGCTCCAGTCTCCACTCAGAATGGGAAATTCTTTATGATCCATTCTCCTTAGACCTGCTGGAATCGGGATCATAGCAGCGTGAACCCAGAGGGCAATTCTCATCTTAAGATGGCACAGGGACCACGCGCCAGACGGGCAGGGCAGCCACCCTACCTGGATGGAGTTAGGGAACTGGGGAAGTGCAAGGAGAGACAGGAGTGGTTTAAGAGGAAAGGGAGCTGCCAGGGATGACCCTGAATGGGAGGGGCCTGGGGGAATCTTTCTCGCTTCAGCAGGGTGTTCCCCAGGAGGAGAAAATCAGAAATCAACATCCAGGGAGAGGATTTCAGCTTTTCAAGTGACCTCTCACAAATAATACCAGAAACAAAAGCGTGTGCACATGTGACAACGATGTGAAAAATGATGTATTTAGGTGCATAACCTGGAAAGCCTAAAAGATACATAAAAATTGCTTTTTTTTTGCGGGGAGAGATGTTATGGGCAGGGTTTTTTTTTGCGGGGGTGGGAAGGGGTAGTAATAGGTGTTTTCCTGCAAATTGTGCTTAATGTCATTTCTCATTTTAAAGAAAACCACAATACTTGGCATTGTCACAGAAACTCCCCTGGATCTTCTGGGACCTACCTTTTCACAAGGGAATTTTTTGTTTTAGGATGCCCATCTGAAAACTTGAATTTATCATGTAAATGCCATACTGAAGACACCGTCTCCAGAATCAATTCTTCTTTAATGGGGATGCGGTTTGCTTAATTCGGAGCCCTAATGGCAACGTCATTAAGGTCTGGGTTTAGTGTCTTGGGATCCAAACCTTTGTCACGGATAGAAAGGTGGAGGAAAGAAAGGCCCCCGTGCTCTAAAACAGCTGAATATGTCACCCTCCGAAGTCCAGCCTCGGCCAGAGCCCGTGAGATGCAATGCACCATCCGCAGCGGGAGACGCAGCCGCCGCCTAGGAGGTCGTGCGCGCCTCTGGGTCTCGTGCCGCACCCAGAAGTGCCGGGGTGGCGGGGAGGCTGAGGGGAGTTGGTAACGGCATCGCCATGGCAACAGTGACGTCCTTTTACCCTGGATCTAATTGGAGGAAACCCCGTGGCCGAAGCCGCAGCCTGCCGGCCAACCGAACTTCCCCGTACCGACCCACCCTCCTAGCCTCCGCGTTCCCTCCCGCTCCGCCCCCCTCGCCCCCTTCCGCGCGCTCGGTCCTCATTGGCCAGCGGCGCGCTGGGGGCGGGACTCTCGGGAGAAGCTCGGCGCATCATTGGGCGGTGGACCGCCCCTCGGCCCCGGGGTAGGCTGACACGGGAGGGTCCTCAGCTAAAGCCAAAAGCAGATCAAAGTGGTGGGACTCGCGTCGCGGCCGCGGAGACGTGAAGGTGAGCGCCTGGGTCGGCCCGCGGGCTTCCTCCGGCCGCGCTCGGATTGAGGGCCGGGCGGAGGTGCCGCCCTTGAGAGCAGCCGGTTGTCGATGCCGCTCCCCTCAGGGACGGCTCCGGGCGGGAAGGTGCGGGGCCAACGGTCGCTTCCATCTTGGGCCGGCCGGGCGGGGGTGGCGGGAGCGGCCGCGGCTCGGGCTCCCTGCGCGCGGGGCCTCCGCGCCGCCCCCGCCTCCTCCAGCCGCGGGCCGCGGCCTCCCCGGGTGCCCAGCGGGGGAGGGGGCGGGGGAGAGGGAAATTCAAGCGGCCGCGTGTGCGGGAGACAAAAGCGGGCGGCGGGCCGCATTGTCTGACGGCGCTCCCTCTCTGCTTTTTGTTCTCGCCTCGCCGCCCCGCCCCTCCGCAGCTCTCGAGGCTCCTCCCGCTGCGGGTCGGCGCTCGCCCTCGCTCTCCTCGCCCTCCGCCCCGGCCCCGGCCCCGCGCCCGCCATGGAGAAGACTGAGCTGATCCAGAAGGCCAAGCTGGCCGAGCAGGCCGAGCGCTACGACGACATGGCCACCTGCATGAAGGCAGTGACCGAGCAGGGCGCCGAGCTGTCCAACGAGGAGCGCAACCTGCTCTCCGTGGCCTACAAGAACGTGGTCGGGGGCCGCAGGTCCGCCTGGAGGGTCATCTCTAGCATCGAGCAGAAGACCGACACCTCCGACAAGAAGTTGCAGCTGATTAAGGACTATCGGGAGAAAGTGGAGTCCGAGCTGAGATCCATCTGCACCACGGTGCTGGTGAGTCCTCGGCGCGGGGAGCAGGGGAGGCCTTTTGTGAGATGCTTTTCATTGAGAGTTTCGCGGGCACGGAAACAAACGTGAGCCGGGGCTTGCCGGACTGTCTGCTGGGGTGGAGGGTTTTAGGTGAGCCCTGACTTCCCTACTGTGTCCCTCCGGTTGTTGAGACTCAAGAAGCCGCTTTTCCAAGGATAAGTCCTTTTTTTTCGCCCCAGATGCTGGGTAGCTACCAAACGATGGAACTTGGAAACATCCAAGTAGGTCTCTGCGAGACTGAAAGGCGTTTTTAAGTTTCTTGTGCGGGGAGACTGCGTCCTGAGATCTGTGAGCCCTTTAAATGTATTCAGTCGGTTCACAAGCTTCAGGCAGTTGAAAGAAGGCGCAGGCACCTTTTTGTTACAGACAATGTAGTAGGGATTTTTTCCCAAACCCAGTAATGGAAATTTACTTAGAAAATCTGAACAGATACTTTATTTTTCAAGTAAGAGTATCTGTTGTGCTCCCCCCCACCCCCCATAAACAGGAGAGGAGGGGAGTTCGGGAAATGTGAAAAGGACACAGCTGTATCTGAAGAACACAATGTCCTGGTAAATTTCAACATTTAATAACATTTCCTTGCTGTTGCACACCTGTGCTTAAACACTAGTGTTGAAGTGAATTCGTTTCCAGTGTGGAGCAGACAAGGAAAGCTTTCCAGGTTTTGAACTGTCCAGTCTTAGCAAGGACGATTGTTGGGTGGAGTAGGTGGCTGCTGTGATTCACCCTTATTAGTGAGAGAGAACATTTTTAGCTTTGTCATTCCATGGATCTTTTGATCCGTAGGATAAGTTTTTAAAACTGAAATACCAGCATTATATCCAGGAGTGTTTTTAAATGTTTCAGTGCTGCCAAGAGTCATTTCTATGAATAAAATGGGAAATAATCTCATATGGTTTGCCTTTTAAGTGTCACTTTTACAAGAGGCCTACTTATTTTTGATGTGTTTGTGCACATCATATTTTAGGTGGGCTTTGATAGACAAGCATACTAGACTGGGGATTTTTCAAAAGGGAATGGAAGAAATAATTTCTCCCTGGCCTCCTCCCCCACCCCCACCCCCCAAGCCGCCTTTCTTCATCTCATCAGAATGGTGGGGCAGGGAATATGTTCCCCACCCCTTGTTTAAAAAAAAAAAATCCACGAAACTTTTTTAACCTATCTATTTTTCTAATACGATGACAGGCGATCCGGACAAAATCATGGCTGATGGAAATAACTGGTAAAGAGGCAAAGAAAGTAATGCAGACAGTGTGTACTAAAGTGGAGAAAACTTAAGATTATTTACTTTATGAAGTCAAAACTTCGTTGTATTCTTCCGTGTGCTCTTAGCTTCCAGTCCCTGCTTGGCATTGAAGAAGCACTTGTAAAAGCTTTTTGGACTGAATTGCTCGTATTAAAAAATTTTGCCAACTTGAAAGTAGTGGTAGACTTCAACTTGAGTAACATATGGTAATGGCTGTTAACAGCATTATCTGTTACCAAGGGAAGACTCATAAGAATTCCATATGTTAAGGTTTTCTATGTATGTATTTTGGATACTCTTACAGCATATTTCATTTCTGTTCAGTTTATTGCTTTTCAATTAGTTACCTTGAAGCAATTCAGAATCACCGCGTGATTTTTCTTGTTCTCGAGCAAGGTGACTCTGAGCCAAAGGAATATTCGTTTTATTTTGTGGCTCTTATAAATTCTGCTTTTTATGATGGCGTAAGTCGGGGAAGAGTTTTGCTTAGTTGATACGTAGCTTGAGAGAGAGACCAGGTGTTATTAGAATAGAACTTTCATACAGACCATTTCAATGGGGACAACCCCTGAATTTAGGACAGTCTCTTTTATATACTGAGAAGACATAGAATAGTTTAGTTTGATGAATCCGAGACACCAAGGCATAAATGAAATATTCATAAAATGGCTTAAGAGGCTAACTGGGGCTTGGTGGCCAACCTATAAAAAATATCTTGGGAAAGCACTTCTTCAAGTTGGCAACTGTATTGAGAGCTTTCTGTGTGCCAGGCACTGTGCTCTGAGCAATATGGGGAGGAACAAAACAGAACCGTGGATTTTGCCCTCTGATGATTTATAATTTAGAGAGCATGTGAGAGATACACAAACATAAATACCACAATATTCCCATCAGATGGTTAATGAACACAATGCTATGTAGTCTGAAGGAAATAGAAACCTTTGAAAAGGCTTCACAAAGATACCGTTTTTTTGGGGTGAACGTTGAGGGAAGAGGCTGGCGGAGGTGTCAGTATTAAAGGAATATCCGGGGTAGGGCTTGTTCGGGGAACAGTGTGTCGGTGTGGCTGGAGCAGAGTTCATGTGCAGAGTTGCTGCAGGAGACAAGCCTGGAAAGGAAGGCAGCCATCATCATTTATAGAAGATTGGAGTAAGGGGGGTTTCTTCATTTGGTTCATGGGAAACTGGTTTTTTTAAAGTTTTATTTATTTATTGTAGAGATGGGATCTTGTTACACCCAGGCTGGTCTTGAACTTCTGGCCTCAAGCAGTCCTCATGACTTGGCCTCCCAGAGTCCTGGGATTACAGATGTCAGCACCACTGTACATGTAGCAGCATCTAGAATTCGTGGTTTGAGGGCTGACTAACCAGTCTGTGATCTGAACTGACAGATAAGGAAGTTATAAGACAAGTGATAATTGATGAGTTAGTAATTTAATAAGGAGTCTAGGAAAGTAGAGTAACACCTAAAGTTTTTGAACATGCGTGCTAACATAGGGTTTTCTTTTTTTCCTTTGGTGAACAGGAAGAAAGATTTGGTGTGGAGGAGGTGAGACTAACTTGGTAATTATAGAAGACTAGTTAAAGTAACATGAAGGATAGCTAAATTTTTGGTAGAAAAGAGCAGATATTCTCAGCCTCCTCCCTTTCATAGAGTAGGTTGGGGCAGAATTACTTAAACCATGTATTCAAAATAACTGTGTGAACAACTCTCAACCCTTTTGATAATCACGGTATTGAAAGAGGTTACTGAACCGTGGAAGCACAAAAAAATGTTAAAATCCAAGAGTAAAGAACTATAAGTGAACCAAACTCTCTAAGATGAGGGGAGTTAAGATTTCATCCAGTTAGAGCTGTCTCTCAGTGTCATTGTAAAACCGAAGACTTTGGGCTTAACTTTCTAAGTCTCTTCGAGTTCTCATGGTTTGGGGCTGTAGAGTAATGCAGGTCCTAGCCATTCTGCTCTGCTCTGACATCCTTCCACCTCTTAAATGAGTAGTTTTTAAAGTCCAGATTGAAGAATACATGACAGGTTGAAAACTGGTGACTTTAGGGAAATGGCTTCAGAAAGAAGTGAGGCAGAAGTCATTGGTGATCTTACTGAGTGTTGGCAAGAGCAAAATTTAGACACAAAAAAACTGGGCTTTGGCTGGATGTGGTGGCTCATGCCTGTAATCCCAGCACATTGGGAGGCCAAGGCTGGTGGATCACCTGAGGTCAGGAGTTGGAGACTAGCCTGGCCAACATGGTGAAACCCCGTCTCTACTAAAAATACAAAAAAATTAGCCAGGCGTGGTGGCACATGCCTGTAGTTCCAGCTACTCGGGAGGCCGAGGCAGGAGAATCACCTGAATCTGGGAGGCGAAGGTTGCAGTGAGCCGAGATGTGCCACTGCACTCCAGCCTGGGCCACAGAGCGAGACTCTGAAAACAAAAACAAAACCCTGGGCTTAAATATTACAGGTAAGATGTTTAGGAGTCATTAAGAAGAACTTGGATGTGAGGGAAGGGCAAATGGAAAAAGTTAGAGGGGTTCACAAAGCTCTTCTGGGACTTGGGAACAAAATCTGTCATTTACAAAGTCAGTGACCTTGGAATAAGAACCAGGCAGTTTGAGTGTATACAAGATAATTTCTATCTTAGACATCATATTATCCTCTCCTGTACATCAGTTCTAGTAGAATTTCAGTAAATTACTTCAGCATAATGCATAAACAATTTCAGAAACTAAAGTGCATATCGCAATTTTTAAAAATGAGAGTTAAAATAGTATGTAGGGAATCTCTGGAAGTTGTCTGTCTTAGTGTAAAAGCTTTGTAACCTTAATTGAGTAGTATGCTTGAATTTAGTTGTGTTTAAATTTAATCTCAATAAAAAATGTCTTACGCTGCTCATTATTTTTTAGTAAGACTGATATGTTTTTCTTCATAGTTAATGAATCTGAATGTGATTTTATTGACACAGTGGAAAAAGTATGGGCTCTGAATCAATTTTTGAATCGTTGCTCCATTACCTTTTATTTTCGTGGACTCTGGCAAATTTCTTAATCCCTCAGACTCTCTCTCTTCTGTAAATTGATGATGGTGCCTGCCTTTATGGGCTTGTAGTTAGAATAATGGCTCATAATTAACATTTACCAGGTATTCACTGCACACTAAACACTATTTTAAGCACTTTATACTCACTTTGCTCCCCTAAGGTAGGTTGATAGTATCTCTGTTTCAGAGTTGAGGAAAATGAGGCATAAAGAAGTTAGTAATGTGGTCAAGATTACAAAGCTAGTAAGTGTTAAGAGCAAGGATTTTAACCCAAGTGGTGTAACTGCTTATGACATGAAACACAGTAGGCCCTAAGTACATGGCAGCTCACTTAAGACCATGGTGTGAATTTCTGTTTTGAGGAATTTGTGCATTTTAATAAATATAAGACATTAATGCTTCTAACGAGGAAGGTAGACCTGTGATGGGCAAAACTCCTAGTCTGTAATATTGAAGACTTTCTTATACACACAATAGTGTAATAAGATTTAAAAACTCATTGACGTTGTGGGTTTTGCCCTTAGATTGTAGGCTGCTTAAAGGCAAGAGTTTTGGGGGGTTTGGGTTTTTTTTTTTTTTGTGATGGAGTCTTGCTCTGCCACCCAGGCTGGGGTACAGTGGCGCCATCTCAGCTCACTGCAACCTCTGTCTCCCGGGTTTAAGCAATTCTCCTGCCTCAGCCTCCCGAGTAGCTGGGATTACAGGCATGCACCACCATGCCTGGCTAATTTTTTGTATTTTTGGTAGAGATGTGCCCCAGCCAAGGTTTTTGTTGTTGTTTTTTAAAGAATGAAATGGGCTGGGCATGGTGGCTCACGCCTGTAATCCTGGCACTTTGGGAGGCCGAGGCAGGTGGATCACCTGAGGTCAGGAGTTCGAGACCAGCCTAGGCAACATGATAAAACCCCATCTCTACTAAAAATACAAAAAATTAGCCTGGCGTAGTGGCGGGCACCTGTAATCCCAGTTACTTGGGAGGCTGAGGCAAATTGCTACAATCGGGGAGACAGAGGTTGCAGTGAGGCGAGATTGTGCCATTGCACTCCAGCCTAGGCGACAGAGCGAAACTCTTGTCTCAAAAAAAAAAAAGAGTGAAATAGAATATTGTAAGTTTAAGGTTAGGTTCGTGTCACTCAACCAGGTGATTTTACCCACTCCCCACTGCCCCCAGCGGAATTTTGGCAACATCTGGAGACCTTTTGGGTTAAGACTTGAGGAAGGAAGGTGCTGCTCACGTCTAGTGGGTAGAGAGGCCTGAATGCTACTAAACATCATGCGGTGCACAGGACACTCCCCAACGAAGACCCCAGCCCCCCCCATGCCAATAATGCCAAGGTTGAGATGCCTTGGATTAGTCCATAAATAAAATGAGCTGTATTAAGTTGTATTGGATTGTGTCATGCTGTCCTTTGGCTTCTTCCTAACGTGTTGATATCTTACCTGAACCTCTTGTCTAGCTAGACTTGTCATTTTTCCCCTTGTCATTATTGTGTGTATGCTGTTCAAACTCTACAGTTCACCTTACTGAAACTTATTCAGTGGGTCCTATTTTTTGTTTGGTTTGATTTGATTTGTTTTTATTTTTGAGACAGAGTCTGGCTCTGTGGCCTAGGCTGGAGTGCAGTTGCGCCATCTGGGCTCACTGCAACCTCCACCTCCCGGGCTCGAGCCATCCTCCCACCTCAGCATCCGGAGTAGCTGGGACTACAGGCACTTGCCACTATGCCTGGCTAATTTTTGTATTTTTTGTAGAGATGAAGTTTTGCCATGTTGCCCAGGCTGGTCTTGAACTCCTGAGCTCAAGCAATCCACCCAGAGTGCTGAGATTACAGGCGTGAACCACTGTGTCTGGCCGGGTCCTATATTTTCAAAGTGCCACTTCTTCATAGTTGTCTCCAAAGCCCTGAGCTCTTTTAAAGACTTCGCACAGACTGCAATTATATTGAAATCTATTAGATGCAGTGAAAATTGATGAACGGCAAATCTCCTCCCCTCCTTCATAGTAGCTTGGCATATGTGGTTCAGACTTTTTAAATTTAATTTTATTTATTTATTTATTTATTTTGTTGAGACAGAGTTTTGCTCTTGTTGCCCAGGCTAGAGTGCAGTGGCGCAATCTTGGTTCACCTCAACCTCTGCCTCCGGGTTCAAGCAATTCTCCTGTGTCAGCCTCACAAGTAGTTGGGATTACAGGCATGCACCACCACACCCGGCTAATTTTGTATTTTTAGTAGAGACGAGGTTTCTCCGTGTTGGTCAGGTTGGTCTCAAACTCCCGACCTCAGGTGATCCTCCCGCCTCGGCTTCCCAAAGTGCTGGGATTATAGGCGTGAGCCACTGCACCCGGCCGTGGTTCAGACTTTTAATGCAGTGGTGAACACTGTCAACAATTTTTCTCCAAACAACCCCTGGGAAGAAGATCGTTGTTGCATGCTTTATGCTAGGATTTACTTAAGTTCTCGAAGTGGAATTTCCAAATCAAAAGATGTGCGGTTTTTTCCAGATAGCCTTCTGAAAAGGTATGTGTATACACTGTCATCAGCAGTGGTTGAGAAGGTCATTCATTTCCCCTAACCCTTTCCAGCACAAGCAAGTTTTTAAGGCTAACAAAAATCTGGTGACCAGAAGGTTTAACGTCTTATCTCCTTGTTCAGTATTGGATGTATGAGGACCACCTCCCTTCTCACAAAGGACTGCTTAAGAAAACTAGTATTTTTAAGTCTCATGTAGTTTCATTTAGAACATGATACCATAGCATGGGATTAGTTCAGTCAAGGTGTTGCTTTGGCAGTTGGGAAATCTGGTTGGCTATGGTAATGTTCTCTATTTTTATCATTAAGACCAGTTTTTGTATTTAACACTAATCCTTTCCAAATGGCAACAGAAAACGTATCTGAATTCATACCACTGACTTTCTGGATATCAGGGAGGTGGTAGAGAGACATCATTTAAAAGATGTGAAGAGAAGCAAAGTTTATCCATTGCTACTTTAATTAAACTCTTAATCCATAGATAAGTCAGTGATAAATATGATAAATTACTAGATTTGAAACTATTGTTTGCATATTGAGTATTTAAAGACAAAATGATGATAATACCTAGGACTTCAGAGTAATTGGGGGAATACAGATGAAACAGGAGTGTCTATGAATTAATATAGTTGCAGCTGGCTTTAATTGGAATTCATTGTACTATTCTTTGTTCTCCTGTGTACCTTTAAAATTCCCTATTATAAGTTTTTCCTCCCCTAGAAATTCCACTCTTAGGTGTTTACGCAAGAGGGAATGATGCATGGGGCCAAGGCGCATAGGTACAAAAATGTTAATAACAGCTTTATTCTAAGAGCAGAAAACTAGAAATAATCCACTAGTAGGAAAATTGATAAACACTGATGTATTCATAAATGGAATACTATTCAGCATTAAAATGAATGGACCACTGATACTACAATATGATTGAATTTCAAAAACATGCTAGGTGAAAGAAACTTTGCATGAAAAAGTACATAGTGTATGTGATTCCATTTATATGAAATTTTAGAACAAACACAACCTGTTTATGGTAGGAAAAAAAATCAGGAATAATGGCCTCTGTGGGAGAATAGGCAGAGATTGGGAAGGGGCAGGCTTCTGGGATAATTGTATTTTTTTTTTTTTTTAATACTTTAAGTTCTGGGATACAAGTGCAGGACGTGCAGGTTTCTTTCATAGGTATACATGTGCCATGGTGGTTTGCTGCACCCATCAGCCCGTCATCTACATTAGGTATTTCTCCAATGCTATTCCTCCCCTAGCCCCCGACGCCCTGACAGTCCCCGCTGTGTGATGTTCCCCTCCTTGTGTCCATGTGTTCTCATTGTTCAACTCCCACTTGTAAGTGAAAACATGCGGTGCTTGGTTTTCTGTTCCTGTGTTAGTTTGCTGAGAATGATGGTTTCCAGCTTCATCTATGTCCTTGCAAAGGACATGAACTCATCCTTTTTATGGTTGCATAGTATTCCATGGTGTATATATGCCACATTTTCTTGATCCAGTTTATCGTTGATGGGCATTTGGGTTGGTTCCAAGTCTTTGCTATTGTGAATAGTGCTGCAATAAACGTATGTGTGCATGTGTCTTTATAGTAGAATGGATAATTGTATTCTTTAGTTGATATGGGTTTGGGTTTTATACATTTGTCAAAACTCAGCAAATGTACACCCAAGATTTGTGCATTTTGTATGTAAATTTTGCTTTGAAAAAAAACTAGTGATATGCCTGTACTTATGTCTTCAGCTTGTAACTGCTAGAAATGTATGGGTATCTGAAAAAGCAAGTATGGCAAAAGGTTAATGGTAAGATCCAGGTGGTGGATATGTGGGGGTGTTCACTGTAATTGTTGGTTGCCATGTATTGGGGGTTATGATATTTCACATCACTGGTTGAGTGTCTTTAATACATATAGCAAGAAGATAGTGTGTAGCCTGTGTCTTGTTATCCTCAAGATACGAGAATGTATAGAACGGTATTGATCCCCACTTAGGAGACATCACTGGCACCATCACTTTTTTGTTTGGGTGATGAGTGCTAAGTAGATTGATGGAGTTACCAGATGCTGTGTAAGACGTCTTAATTGGCCATACTCTGGGACAGTGGTTCACAAATTTGATCTCAGGACCCCTTTTTAGAAAATAAAATAACTTTAACAAAAAATTGAATGAGAATAGCGGCATTGCATTTCATTCAACCTATTGTAGTATTCCACCTCCTGTAGCTTCTGGAAAACTCCACTTGTGAGAAAATGACAGTGGAAAAAAAGCAAATATCTTAGACTTATGAAAGTGGTTTTACTTTGTCTCCTCTCCACCCCACAAAGGATATAGGGGAGACCTCTAGGGGTTCCCAGACTATACTTTGCCCTATGAGAATTTAATTACTGAAGTTAATAGTAGAACTGCTGTTCTACGAGAATTTTATTACTGTGTTTGGGTGATTGAGCAGTTTATTTTCTGAGTAGTCATCATATGTGGTGATAATGGAATTTGTAAAACCTTCCCCACCCTTCCCATTTCTCTGCCCCTGCACCCCATCTTATCCCTAGGAATATAGGTTTGAAGACCAGGAAAATCACAGATGTGATAATGAAGAAAGGAGAATAGTTGATATTAGACATTGGGTAATAAAAGTCCCTGTTAATTCCTGGAAACCAGCTAAAGATCTGGTATGTTGGAATGTCTTTCTGCTTTCTTGTGTTGAGAAGGATAATATGAAGTTAATAATCTCTTAACTTGCCCCTCCCAATACCTGACCAAAAAGCAGAGTTGACATCCATGAAAAATATGGATAATGGTCTTTCAGAGCTGGTTGCATTTAAGTTTTAAAAATACACAGCTTTTGGAGGCAGTAAGTCAGGTTAGCTGTTAACCAGCATTGGTCAAAGTATTTATCAGTGAAACTTGTCTTCATACCAACCTTTGATTGTCAGTTTACATGTTTTTCTATCCAGATGAGTAGTATTTCATGATCTCTTTGTCATCTGGATTTTTACTACAGTATCCAGTTGGGTTTGGCACAGTGTGGTACTAAATACATATTCTGTACGATACTCTTCATTTGAACATTCTGTCTCCTGTACCTTTGCTACAGGCTTTACTTAGAGAAATGGAAAAATAATGGTGCAAGTGGTGAGACCATGATGATAAGAACTTACATAAATTTAAATGCTTTCTTAAAGGATGGTCATAGATTGTGAACGTCATGTCGCGGTGATTGGAGGAAATAAATGGAGAAGTGTGTGAAAATGCTTTAAAGCCATAAGCTATATGGATCATCAGATTAGACATTTTATTCCTGAATAACTCTTACTGCTGTTGTTCTTCAATAATTAGTACTCCATTTTCCCTCTTGTTTTGTACATTCCACCAAACATTACTTGAATGCAGCTCACAGGATTTTTGCTCTTAAAAGCTACAGTTGTTAAACCTCTGCAGTTAAACATATTTATACTAGGTGTTCTGATCTTTCAGCCTGGTACTGTTTCCAGTCATTTGGGAATATACTTTTTAGATCTTCAGTGCTAGTGTTTGCCCTCTTGGGATTCTGATGGATAAGAGGTTGGAAAGGTTACATTACGGATTTAAAATACTCTTGATTATTTGGTGCCTGATTGCAGAGACCACCATTTGGAAGGATAGAATATCCCATTAAATATAGCTATGCTCTGTGGAAGTTACTTTTTACATAATTAAATTTTTAATATATTTTTAATTTTTTTACATGTAACTCTTTGTTTTTTTGTGTATGTTTTTTTTTGGTGAGACAAGGTCTCCCTCTGTCTCCCAGGCTGGAATGTAGTGGCACGATCTCAGTTCACTGCAACCTCTGCCTCCTGGGCTGAAGTGCACATATAACATTTAAACATTTAATACCTTTTTTTGGTATTACTGTATTTATTGTTAGGGTTTTTCATGCCTTATTTCTTGCTGTTTTAAATAGTACAGTGTACACTGATGCAGTTTGAATAACTCAGCAGGTAGGATTTAAGGTTGTATACCTCTATTTTGTTGTTGACGATCAGCTGTACATCTCTGGAAGGTGATCCTTCTTATACAGATACCAAAAAGCACTTAGTGATTTATTTTTTGTCCAGGACAGGTTTCTGAACATTTCTGCTTGTAATCAAAATGGCCTGGTAAATGTTTATAAACTTATTTTAGCTATTGATGAAACTACTGTAGTTTTCTTTTAAGTTTATATCAGGATACCAAAGCAACATATTTAGCCCCCACGTCTGTTGAGTCTTTAAAGGACCTACTAAGATTATTAGTATAGATTCTCAAATATTATTTTTTCAGAAGGATGTATTCCTCTTTTTTGCTGTGGTAGTAGAATTTGTAATTAGAGTTTATGGAGAAAAAGGACTAAGGGGAAGGGTGGAGGTCACAAATTTATAAAAGCCCTGAACTATTTCTCATTTAACACGTATTCTCTGATCATTTTTTCTAGTGTGTTATTTTTGTTTGTTGTTTTGAACATCTGAAATAAACATAGGCTGGGCAGGGTGGCTCACACCTATAACCCTAGCAATTTGGGAGGCTAACACGGGAGGATTGCTTGAGTCCAGGAATTCGAGACCAGCCCTGGCAACAAAGTGTGAGACCCTGTCTCTACCAAAAAAAAAAAAAAAAATCAAAACAGTGGCTGGGGATGTGGTATGTGCCTGTGAGCTAACTGGCGGTTGAGGCAAGAGGGTCTCTTAAGCCCAGGAGGTTTAGGCTGCAGTGATCCGTCTTCCTGCCACTTCACTCAAGCCTGGGTGACAGACCTAGTCTCTGTCTCAAAAAAGAAAATGAAACAAAGACAACTCTAAAGAGTATAGGCACATATATTGAAAAGTCATAGTGATGATTGCTACACAAATAATTTCCCTCTTTAGAATTAATTTCTCTAAGGAAACTTATCTCCTTTCCTTAAGTTTCAAAGAAATGTTTACAAAATAATTTGGCTTAGTTGCAGATACTATCCTTGTTAGAGAAGCTATCTTGTTTTTTGTTGTCCTTATGTAAAAACTTGGAGTGTCAGTTTACATATATTTTAAAATTAAATATAATTCAAATACCATAAATTTTACCTTTTTAAATATGATTCTGTGGTTTTTAGTTTATTCACAAAGTTGTGCAGCCATCATTATTAATTCCAGAACGTTTTCATTACCACAAATTCTATATCCATTAATAGTCATTCACTATCTTCCCTTACCTCAGCTCCTGACAACTACTAATCTGCTTTCTATCCCTATAGATTTGCCTCTTCTGGACATTTCATATAAACAGAATCATATAATATGTAGTGTTTTGTGTCTGGCTTCTTTCACTTAGCCTAATGCCCTCAAGGTTTATTTGTGTTGTAGCTTGCATCAGAACTTTTTTTTTTTTTTGGCAGAGGGTCTCACTCTGTCACCCAAGCTGGAGTACAATGGCACGGTCATGACTCACTGCATCCTCAAACTCCTGGGCTCAAGGGATCCTCCTACTTCAGCCTCCCAAATAGCTGGGATTACAGATGTGCACCACCACCCTCAGCTGATTTTTTAGAGATGGGGTCTCACTTTGTTGTCCACGCTGGTCTCAAACTCCTGGGCCAGATGATCCTCCTGCATGGCCTCCCAGAGTGCTGGAATTACAAGTGTGAGCCACCACACCTAACCTTTTTTAAATAAAACTCTTATAGTGTGGTAAGATAACACGTAACATAAAAGTTAGCGTTTTAACCCTTCTTAAGCTACAGTTCAGTGGTATTAAGTACATTCATTTTGTCGTGCAATGCAACCAGCAACCATCGTCTGCAACTCTTCATCTTGCAAAACTGAAACTCTATACCCATTAAACAGAAGCTCTCCATTCCCCGCTGGCAACCACCATTCTACTTTCTATGAATTTGACTACTCTAGGTACCTCATATAAGTGGAATTATAGAATAGTTGTCTTTTTGTGTCTAGCTTATTTCATTTTGCATAATGTTTATGTTGAAACATGTATCAGAATTTTGTGCTTCTTTTTGTGGCTGAATAATATTACACTGTATAGAAATACTACTTTTTTTGGACGGACGTGGTGGCTCACACCTGTAATCACAGCACTTTGGGAGGCCGAGGCGGGCGGATCACGAGGTCAGGAGATGGAGACCATCTTGGCTAACATGGTGAAACCCCGTCTCTACTAAAAAAAAAAAAAAAATTAGCCGGGCGTAGTGGCAGGCACCTGTAGTCCCAGCTACTCGGGAGGCTGAGGCAGGAGAATGGCGTGAACCCAGGAGGCGGAGCTTGCAGTGAGCCGAGATCACTCCACTGCACTCCAGCCTGGGCAACAGAGTAAGACTCTGTCTCCAAATACAAAACAAAACAAAACAAAGTACTACTTTTTAAAAATCTTTTGTCCATCGATGGACATATTTGGGTTGCTTCTACCTTTAGGCTGTTAAGAATAATGCTGCTGTGAGAATTTGCTTGGGCATGTTTTCATTTCTCTTGTGTATATACCCATTTAATGTTTTAGGAACTGCCAGATTGTTTTCCGAAGTGGCTGTACTATCTTACATTCCCACCACAGTGTAAGAGAGTTCCAGTTTCTCTACATCCTCACCAATCCTGGTGGATATGAAATGGTATCATGTACTTATTGGCCTTTAGTATATGCTCTTTGGAGAAATGTCTGTTCAGATCCTTTGCTTGTTTTAAAATTGGGTTATTTGTGTTTTTATCATTGGGTTGTAATCTTTTTTTTTTTTAAATATATTATGGATACTAGACCTTTATCAGATAGATGATTTGCAAATGTTTTTCTCCCGTTCTGTGGATTGTCTTGTTAGTGTCCTTTGAAGCAGAAACATTGTTAATTTTGAAGTCCTTTTTTTTTTTTTTTGGTTGCTTATGTTTTTGGTATAAGATCTAAGAAACCATTGCCTAGTCCAAGGTCATGAAGATATATACTTATGATTTCTTCTAAGTTTTATCATTTTAGCTCCTGTGTTTAGGTCTTTAGTCCATTTTGAGTTCCTTTTTGCATATGGAGTGAGGAAAAGGTCCAATTTTATTCTTTTGCATGTGGATATCCAATTGCCCTGGCACCATTTGTTGAAATAACAATTCATTTATCCTTGATCTGAAATTCTCACACTTATAGAAAATATAATCAGATCTAATTGGGTATAAGGAAAACTCATGATTTCTGTGGTTCCTGTGTTCTAGCCAAGTTGACAGCGCTGTATTTTGTTTCCATTACTCTACTGTAATGTATTCCCTCTCCCTTTCTGCACGCTGAAATCACACCCATCCTACGAAATGCAATTTGGGTACTATTACGTTCTATAGTTACAAATTATAGCTTGTTAATACTTTTCAATTCTGTTACCTAGCACCATCCAGTGTGCAGTTATGGGTAGATAAGACATGAGTAAGGAAATTGTAAGGAAATTGAGGCATGTTAATTTACTCAGTTCCACAGCTAGTTAGCTGTGAAACTCAAATTCCCCTTTTCTAGAATCGTGTTCTTTGAGTTCTCCTACTGCCTTTCATTGTAGAGCCCTCCTTTACAGGACCCTGTTCTTCTGAGATCATCTCTCCTTTCTCTGAATTCCCTTGTGTGTAAGTGGGGAAGAATCTAGGCTTTAAATATATATGCCCTTCAACCAGTGTGCTCCCTTTTATCTGTTTTAATATATACTGGTATTGCTCATAAAGACTTGGGGAAGGAATAATTACTGCTTCTTCACTCAATCATTACCATGTAACATGGAGTTTGGGTTCCCTAAGAGGACCTCTGAGACCTTCCAGCATTTTTCTTCAGCCTCTTTTCTCACTCATTGTTCCCTCTGTCCTCCAACCACATGAAACTACCTGTGGTTCTTTCCTATATTGCCCACTTTCTTACCTTTGCTCTAGTTCTTTTTTTTTTTTTCTTTTTATTATTTTCTGAATTGAAAAAAATTCTTTTTAAGACTAGTCAAGTGCAGTAGTGAGAAAGGGGGAAGAGTAGAACAAGGAGTTTGATTTGGTAACTGAATGAACAATCAAGATAACTCCTTACCTTCGGACCAGCCTGCTCTAATTTTTTACCCTCTGTAATAATATGTGATTATGTTTATATAGTGTCTTCTTTTTCACCAAGTTTGGTAATGAGATCCAGTTCAGTTCTATATTGTCTGGAGTTTACCGGTTTCCTAAGTTGCTCTTGTGACTGCTAGCAAAGTAAATTATGCCCAATTCAGATCAGTATTGGTAAGCTGTAAGGACATAAGAATAAGGACTTCATCTTTATTTTTTCCTCTATGTACTGTTAAACACTACTTCATGTCCAGGGTTTTTATGTTGTCCCTGGGGGTTCATTTGAATATGATCAGTAACTCATATAAGTTTAGTTGTAAATGCGAAATAATTTTCTTAACCATAGGCTCTTAAATTCCTGTTGACTCTATTCTTCCCTTTGTACCCCATAACAGAGCTGATAGACTAGAGGCAGGAAGGGGTTGTATATACTTCAGCTGCAGAGATAAATGTATATGGCATGTGTTAGTTATAAATGGAAAAGTTAGCCTGCAAATAATGACGTAATTTCTATAACGTAGTAGTGGCTTAATTCAGTTTGCCATAGACTTAGGCAAAGCTCAAATCAAAGTATACTTGTGTCCTTGCTAGTATAAACCATTTTCTATCTTTAGTAGTCTTCTTAGGATATAGCAAAACTTGACCCATATATACTAAGCTAGCAAGGCAATTTTGACCTATTTTTGTTTAATGCAACATCCTTTTATTAGGTATCAGGATGTCTGTCCATTTTGATTACTTTATGACCAGACCAAGATTTGACTTTTGCCCCCCATTTTAAGGAAAGTTCTTTGTTTCTTCTTTATGATTTGTCCTTTTCCTCCACAAATTAATGGCTAAAAAACAGATGCCTTTCCCAAATCAGTAGCTAAAACAGCTTGTGGATGCTAGTAAATTGTAAATTCTCTAAGGGGAAGAAAGTGTGTATAGACTTTGGCGTTTATTTGCCTTGATTCTTTTTGTAGCACTGTCCTGGAAATGTTGTTAAATGATGGTGATGTATGTGTAATTGTTTTTAATGCAGATTGACAGATTTGGAATGTAGTATGTGTCACCAGTGGAAGTATTAAACTTTTCTTCCAAACCTGAATATCCTGGGAATCTTGGAGCAGAAGGTAGAACATTTTATATTGCGGTTATGGCCACTCAGTATCCAGCTTCTAAAATGTGGGGATATAGCATAGGAGCCCAGAGACTGGACATTATGTTTATTGCTAATAGCATCTGGAATTGGTTAGGCTGCATTGGATGAAGTGAAGGAACAAACACTCTGATTTTCTCTAATACTGTCACATTGCAGCTCACCCATACCCTTACTTTATTGCCTCATGACTTGTCAGAGGCTACCATCTTTCTGTTAGGTATCTTCACCACTGCAGTCACAGCACCTCAGTACCTGAGTTGGAAGACAGGGTGAACATTTTTCCTCAACTACATCTTTATTTTTTTTACGTGGTTAATTGTTTGGGGCAGGGGCAAGGTAATACTGTGCTCACAAAAAGGCTGTCCCTTTCCCTGTAAGACACCACTGTGCTATAGCAGATGTTGATAGCAATATTACTGTATGTAATTTTGCCTGGGTTGTGGGATGGTGGTGGCTAGAGATCAGATGGACTGGGAAAAGATGTCGAGAAATATTTGGGTCATGGAGATAATGCTGCTTCTCTTTGTATTTAGAGTCTTGGATTCTCTTCATCTGCTGCTTCCCTTTCTCTTTTGCCTGTTTATCCTGTGGGTTTTAGCTCCTTATTTTCTTTAGCCCACAAAAATAATAAACCACTTGATTGCATAAGCCTACCCTTAGGCTTGTATTTGCTTTCACTATAACTACAGTGGCACATATCCCACTGAGTGTGAGGAGCCCATATTCTCTGACATCATGACAACTTATTGTTTAATTCATGACATTAATTTGGCAAATATTCCAGTTAATGTTGGGTTTTATGCCTTTTTTGTTCCTTTTAGACTTAAATCTCAAAAGTTTGAAAACTTTTTATGTGATGTGATTTTTAGTCTGCACAAATACTGATGTTAATCCTTTTTCATCCAGAAAAGCAAATTCACATTAATGAGTGCTCCATATGAAGGCCCAATAACACTTTTTAAAAAAAATATTTTTGAAGGATTTTCCCTCTTCTTATCAGGATAAGGAAGAGGTAGTAGGGTGCTAGACGAGTAAAATAGTGTACATTCATGGTTGAGGGTTTGTCCCTCCCTCATCCTGTTGGCTCTATGTCTAATTTGTTGGTCTGTTGAGAGAGGAGCTGCAAGGATTAAGTCAGGCAAAGAGACATGATCGAGCCATGTTTATTGTTTGTTGGTAAATGTACAGGAGGACCCAAATTACCACTAGAAGATTGAGTGGTGAACACAGAAATCAACAAGAGGCTGTAGTTGGATGACCTTCATGACCAGTCACTCTAATAGTGCTGCATCTAGCCTCAGTGTAGCTGCCTTACTGTTGAAAGACTGTACTCATGGGCTCGGGTGGCTTTATCTTTGAGTAGTGCTGGAGATACTTAGTGTTGCTTTTTAAACTTTCCTCCCAATACCTGCTGTATTCCTAGCATCCTGACATGAAGAATACTTGCATATGTTACTTCTTAGAGTGCCACTTAGGTTTTTGGGAGGCACCTTGTTGTTGCTCCACACTCCTCCTACTGGTCCAGAAAAGGTTATAATAGACATAAGGTTGATGTCAGTCAGGACAATGCTTCCCAACTCCTTTTGTGTAATGGCACACAGAATAACAATCTTTGTATAGTACAGAGGAAAATGGATTTCTCACCCTGCTGTGGTGGTTACTAAGGGGATCAATATCTCTTTACCATTTAAATTACCTGGAAGCTCTAGGTTAGGGTCTGATTCTGCAGGACCTTGAGTCTGCAGAACAATGTCTGGCTTTAAGTTTATCCTTTAACAGGCCATTGGGGGTTTTGAGAAGGAGTTAACGTGCCCGCAATGGAATTTAAGATTAATCTGGCAGCAAGGTGTAAACTGGATCCGAGAAAGAGGAACCCAAAAACCTGGTAGATCAGTTAGATTATTGGAGCAGTTGAGGTGAAATGATACAGTTAACTTGGGTAATAGAAATAGGAATGAGACTGAGAAGATAGATTTTCAAAAATACTGTGACACTGTGAAAAGGTGAAATCAGTAGGACTTTGGCAATTTGTGGTGGAATGGGAAATGGAGAGTGAAAACTCAGAGGTAGTGTGGATGAACGTAGGTGGCTGGGAGATCAGAGGGTGAGGGAATAATTGGTAGAAATAAGTAATGTAAGTATAGAAACAGGGATGGGCGCAGTGGCTCACGCCTGTAATTCCAGCGCTTTGGGAGGCCAAGGCGGGTAGATCACATGAGCCCAGGAGTTTGAGACCAGCCTGGCCAACATGGCCAAACCTCATCTGCTAAAAATACGAAAATTAGCTGGGCGTGGTGGTGCACACCTGTAATCCCAGCTACTCGGGTGGCTGAGGCACGAGAATCGCTTGAACCCGGGAGGCAGAGGTTGTAGTGAGCTGACATCGCACCACTGCATTCCAGCCTCTGGGTGACACAGTGAGACCTAGCCTCAAAAAAAGAGTATAGAAACAGGTTTGGGATCTAGTAGATATACATATTTCAAAATATGTAAGGATACTAAGCCATGTAACACTACAGAGAAGTTAGGAGTGTGTATGTGTTGGGGGGTATTTCCCAAAAGATGGAGCGGGAGGGTTAGCATTACTCTTGTGAGTTTACTGCAATTCATGGTGTGGCCTTTAGCTTTGTGAGCTATACCAGGGTGGAGCAATCTTTCAAGCCTAGATCCACAGTGATCAAGCTCATGCGACTGGTGCATAAAACCAGGAAAGTTAGCTTATTCATTTACAGTGAGCCATAACTAGCACAAAGATTGCAGTACTGTGTTGACATGACTAGTATGTTCTCTTTCAGGAGGCAGATAGACTCACGTAGGAATCAAGACATAATCATTAAATTGTTTAGTAAGTGTGGTATGACAGAGAAGAGTTGGATGCTGCTCAAATGTTGAATGACCATCGTCTCCACAGTAGGGGGTAGATTTGTTAGTGCACTGATTGTGGTTCACACTTTTTTAGACTGTACATTGGATCCTTCAGTGTCCTTATGTATCAAACCCGGACAAGAAAATATCTTTTCTTTCAGTGGCTCTAAAGAGAAGGGAAATATATGTTCTCAAAGTATACTATGCTTACTTGTCTGAGAAAAGTTTCCAAATCAGTCTTGACTTCCTGGAGAAAACTACTTCCAGGGGCTTGGGTGACTAAATATAGAAGGCAGGGAGAATGAGTCCAAAGAAAGAGTAGGGTGACTCCTAGGTTTCTGCCTAGGGCTACTGAGTACTTTTCCTAAGACAGAAAATCGAGTAGGGGAGCAGAATCAATAGTAGATCGTGTCAGGAAGGTAAATTTAATTTTTAAAAAATGAGTAGGCAGGGTGCGGTGGCTCATGCCTGTAACCCCAGCACTTTCCGAGGCCGAGGCAGACGGATCACCTCAGGTTGGGAGTTCGAGACCAGCCTGACCAACATGGAGAAACCCCGTCTCTATTAAAGATACAAAATTAGCCGGGCATGGTGGCGCATGCCTGTAATCCCAGCTACTTGGAAAGCTGAGGCAGGAGAATCGTTTGAACCCAGGAGGTGGAGGTTGCAGTGAGCCGAGATTGCGCCGTTGCACTCCAGCCTGGGCAAGAAGAATGAAACTCTGTCTCAAAAAAAAGAGTAAAGTTTAAAGTTCCAGTGGTCCATCCAGATGTTAATATATGTCGGAGGCACTTGGTATGGTATGTAAGAGAAAGATTTGTGTCATGCTGTATGACACAATTGAGGGTTATGTACCAAGCAGAGTTTGTGTTAACTCATTTAATCTTCACAACAACCCTATGAATTAAGAACTGTCAGTAACTGTTTTACAGATGAAGAAACTGAGATACAACTAGGTAAGGAGCAAATTTGTGAGTTATTAGCATGTAGATATTGGTTAAATCATACCAGTGAAATGGACCCATGTCGTCTTGTCATTTACCTTAAGATAGATACTGGGCTGTTGAAATATTTAGGATCCTTGATTATTCTAGTGAAACATTTTCTTCTGGAGCAAATAATCAATACTTCAGTTGTCAGATTTTAGAAAGTATGGTCTTAAAAGGCAGACACTTGGTAGATTAAGGGGGAAAAAATCATGTAACTGTCCTCCAAAATTAAGATAATCCTCTGAAAGAGATGCGGGAAACACGTGTCCTCTTCATACTTCTTTGCTTTAATAGCCAACTCAGTCCTTTACAGTACTCTTATTTTGGACTGTTAATACTCTAATTGATGACTTCTTTTATTCCATTACTTCTTCCTTCCCACTCTAAAAAAGTTTCTTTTAGTAATGATCTGTGAGTGGGAACTTCTGTCTTTCTGGAAACGTCTTTATGTTTTTGCACTGTTTTTGTGTGGTGCTTTAATTGGTTACAGAATTCTAGTTGACAGTTGTTTTTCTCCGCACTTTGAAGATACTTACTTGATTGTTTTCTGATGAAAAATCAGCTGTCATATTGTTGTTTCTTCCTTTATGGTAATGTGTCATTTCTCTGGTTGCTTTTAAGAATTTTCTTGTCTTTGGCATTCTGCAATTTTACCATGATCTAGGTATGATTTTTTTTTATCTTGCTTGGGATTTATTGTGCTTTTCCTATCTCAAGGTATTTATCCCATTACTGGAAGTCTCGGCCATTATCCCAGAATAACATCTCATCTTCATTCTTTCTGTTCTCTCCTGAAATAGCTGTTGGCTATTACCTTAGACCTTCTCTTTCTATTCGCATCTTATAATTTTTCCACTTTTTTTGTCTTATTCTTTATTCTGTATTCTGAGTAATTTATTCAAATATGCCTTTTGTTGTATTAATTTTCTTTGTCCATCTCCAATTTTAAAGTTGTTTTCATTTTTTTTTATTCTAAAAGCCCTTCCGCTTCTCCCACCTCCAAGCTGCCTTTTAAAATTCACTGTATATATGGTTCATTTCTCCTGGCTTCTGTTTTTCTTTTAAAATCTTTTTGATTGTTTTAGTCAGGAAAAATTTCAAACTTAGGTAGAGGTGAAGAAAATCCTGTAGTAACCCTATGTATCCAGCCTCAACATCTTTAAAAGATTATTTAATTATTTTCAGCATATTTATGTTTTATTATACACAGTTTTAAAGCTCTTGGGAACTGACTATCCTGTTTGTGTCTGCTGACGCCTCATGATAGAGAATCCGTCCCTTGAGTATTTTTGTTATTTTTGTTTGTTTGTTTGTTTGTTTGTTTGATTTGGAGTCTTGCTCTGTTGCTCAGGCTGGAGTGCAGTGGTACAATCTCAGCTCACTGCAAACCTGTACCTCCTGGGTTCAAGTGATCTTCCTGCCTCAGCCTCCTGAGTAGCTGGGATTACAGGCACCCGCCAACACGCCTGGCTAATTTTTGTAGGGACGGGGTTTCGCCATGTTGGCCAGGCTGGTTTCGAACTCCTGACCTCAAGTGATCCACCCACCTCGGCCTCCCAAAATGTTGGGATTACAGGCGTGAGCCATCGCACCCAGCCTGTTATTTTTAATAGCGTGGATGTTGCTTTTTTTTATGGCACTTGTGTGTACCTTAGATTGTGAGAATCTCTCTGTTTACACAGTAGTTTTGATTATTTGTGCTGGGCACACTGTGCTCCAGCCCATTTTTAACATTTTCAGCTTGTGTTTTCATACATCATGCATGAAATAAACGTTTGACTAGCACCTGCACAGAAGAACATAGGTTCGAGTTTCTGCTTTTTATGGGAGACTGCACCCCCAAAAACCCAGGAAGTAGATTTCTGGCTACTTCTCAGCGATGACAAAGTTTTTCTAGGGTCCTCACCCTCCTCCACACTGTTGTTGTGTTGTAAACTTTCACTTATTGCTGTAGCTTTCTTTCCTCCTATCTAGCGCCTCGATGTATTTCCCCTCTTTTCTTTGAAGCTCTACTGTATGTTTTTTCTATTTTTATTTAAAGTATTTCTACTTAGCATTTAGATTATTTTTAGTAGAAGAGGGAGGTATTCTCCGTAAGCTCAGTCTCACTGTGTTGCCGGAACCAGAAAGTCATGTTTCTGTGAATCTATTTTAAGGTTGTGAGTCACACATTTCTTAAGTACTCCATACTGAAAGTGAATGCAGTGTGTTTTAATCTGATATACTGCTCTTTATTGCTCTAAAATTAGTAACATTTGGCCAGGCTCGGTGGCTCACGCCTGTAATACCAGCACTTTGGGAGGCTGAGGTGGGCGGATTACGTCAGGAGTTCGAGACCAGCCTGGCTGACATGGCGAAAACCCCGTCTCTACTAAAAATACAAGAAATAGCCAGGCGTGGTAGCTGGTACCTGTAGTCCCAGCTACTTGGGAGGCTGAGGCAGGAGAATTGCTTGAACCCAGGAGGCAGAGGTTGCAGTGAGCCGAGATTATGCCACTGCACTCCAGCCTGGGTGACAGACTGAGACTCTGTCTCAAAAAAAAAAAAAAAAAAGAGGAAGAATTTAGTAACCTTTAAAATGTGTTACCATTTCATATGGTCAGGTAGACAATAAACACAAATTCAGACTTGCATTTCAACTAAAAGTCTCCTCTTTGTCTATTTTATTTGTGCTGAAATCACAGTCATATTCACTTGCGTTTCTCATGTCGGTCAGAAGTGTTGGTACTGTTTTATCTGATTTAATGTAATAGAAAAATGCCAGGTACGATGGCTCACGCCTGTAATCCTAGCACTTTGGGAAGCCGAGGGGGGTGGATCACGAGGTCAGGAGTTCGAGATTAGCCTAGCCAGCATGGTGAAATTCAGTCTACTAAAAATACAAAAAAAAAAAAAATTAGCTGGGCATGGTGGTATGTGCCTGTTAGTCCCAGCTACTCGAGCGGCTGAGGCAGGAGAATCACTTGAACCTGGGAGGTGGACGTTGCAGTGAGCCGAGATCACACCACTGCACTCCAGCCTGGGCAACAGAGCAAAACCCTGTCTCAAAAAAAAAAAGAAAAAAAAAAGTAATAGAAAAATATTAGGCCAGGCGTGTGGCTCACGCCTGTAATCCCAGCACTTTGGAAGGCCAAGATGGGCGGATCACAGGTCAGGAGTTCGAGACCAGCATGACCAACATGGTGAAACCCCATCTCTACTAAAATACAAAAATTAGCCGGGTATGGTGTCGCGCACGTGTAATCCCAGCTACTTGGGAGGCTGAGGCGGGAGAATCGCTTGAACCCGGGAGGTGGAGGTTGCAGTGAGCCAAGATTATGCTACTGCACTGCAGCCTGGGCGACAGAGTGAGACTCTGTCTCAAAAAAAAAAAAAAGAAAAATATTAAATGCAGTTGTGTTGCCAGACAGGCTGTTTACATATAGTTTCATCTGAGAGACAGCTAAAAAATGAACTAATTAGTATATAGAGTTCCTACAAAGCAGTAAGGAAAAACTCATTAGGAAAAGGGCAAAGGATATACACTCACCAACATGGTGAAACCCCTTCTCTAGTAAAAATACAGAAATTAGCCCAGTGTGGCGGCATGTGCCTGTAATCCCAGCTACTCAGGAGGCTGAGGCAGGATAATGGCGTGAACCTGAGTGGCGGAGGTTGCAGTGAGCCGATATCACACCACTGCACTCCAGGCTGGGCAACAGAGCGAGACTCCGTCTCAAAAAATATACACACACACACACAGACAGATGTTCACCTGCATTTATGATAAGGAAAAATGCTAATAAAACTGTAGTAAGGTATTTTTCACCCATTAGATTGGAAAAGGTTTTTTATTTTTATTTTTATTTTTATTTTTATTTTAGTAGAGACGGGGTTTCACCGTGTTTCCCAGGCTGGTCACAAACTCCTGAGCTCAGGCAGTCTGCCTGCCTTGGCCTCCCAAAGTGCTGGGATTACAGGCATGAGCCACCAAGCCTGGCCGGAAAAGGTGTTTAAAGTTTGTTACACACTGGGTTCAGAAAGATGTTGAGAAATGGGAACATTTATGCATTGCTAGTGGGAGTATAAATTGAAATTAACTCCAGGAAGGACAGTTTAACAATTTATCTTGTGGATCAAGTGTACATTTGGTGCATAGTTGGAAATACCAAGATTGGAAGCAGCTTAAGTGTTCCTCAGAGGAAGCTAAATAAATAATTAGGGTGCCCATACAGTAGAATACTGTACATATAGTGTTATATATAGAATGAGGCAGCTATTAAATATATGGACATGGAATTATCTCAGAGCGCTTACTAAATGGAAAAGCTAAGGTGTAGAATAATGTGTAGTGTGCTAACATGAGGGAGAGGGGAACATACATAGATTTTAAATGTTTTGAATCCTTAAAAGAATGTACAAGAGGCTGGGCGCGGTGGCTCAAGCCTGTAATCGCAGCATTTTGGGAGGCCACAGCGGGCAGATCACTTGAGTCAGGAGTTGGAGACCAGCCTGGCCAACATGGTGAAAACCCCCCTCTACCAAAAAAAAAAAAAAATTAGCCGGTCATGGTGGTGCACACCTGTAGTCCCAGCTACTGGGGAGGCTGAGGTGGGAGAATTGCCTGAACCCGGGAAGCAGAGGTTGCAGTGAGCCGAGATCGCACCACTGCACTCCAGCATGGGCGATGCATTGAGACCCTGTCTCAGAAACAAAACAACAACAACAAAAAGAATGTACAAGAAACTAGTAAATGATGGCTGCCTTGGGCAGGGGACAAGAATTGGACATATCAAGTGAGGATTTTTTTAAAAAAGTATTCCCTGAAGGAGCTTAGAAACAGAGCAGAGGCTGGGGTGTGGTGGCCTCATGCCTGTAATCCCAGCACTTTGAGAGGCTGACGTGGGAGGATCACTTGAGCTCAGTAGTTACCAGCCTGGGTAAAATGGCAAAACCCCATCTCTACAAAAAAATACAAAAATTAGCCAGATGTGGTGGTATGCGCCTGTGGTCCCAGCTACTTGGGAGGCTGAGGTGGGAGGATTACTCGAGCCTAGAAGTTGCTGCTGCAGTGAGCTGAGATGATGCCACTGTATTCTAGCATGAGCAACAGAGTGAGACCCTGTCTCAAAAAAAAAAAAAAAAGAGAGAACAGAATGGGGAAACTATCATTTTTTCTTAGGAATTTTTGAGTAGTCTTAACCTATTACACATTATGACTTTGATCAAAATAAATAAAATAATTCACATATCATTTCAAAGTAGTATTCTGTATGAAATTCCACTTCTGTTGCATCCATTTCAACATGTTGCCAGGCCATGGCTGATGTTCATTTGACAAATAATGAGTCCTACTATGTGATAGACACTGTGCTACATTTTGTGAATGAAAAATAACTGAGAAAACATTTTTATTGAGTTCATCTGCTTAAGAGTTTGCCGTTTTGGTTTAGTGCTTCAGAATTACTGTAGATTCTTAAAACTGGAGAATTTTTTTTTATTATAACCATCGCTCTGTATCTGAGGGGAATTGGTTTCAGCACCTCCTTGAATACTGAAATCCACACATACGCAAGTTCCTTCTTCAGCCCTCTGGAACCTGTGGGTTCAAAAAGCCGGCCCTCCTTACATGCAGGTTTTGCGTCTCCTTAATACTGTGTTTGTGATCCATGTTTGGTTGTGGTTGTAGAACCTGCTGATAGGGAGGCCTGACTGGAAAAAATCCGTAGAAAAGTGGACCCATAAAGTTCAAACCTGTGTTCAAGGGTCAAATGTGTTTTGTAGAAGAGGAGATGAAACTGAGGAACTTGATCTAAACTCATACTCTAAAACCAAATTACTGGCCCAGTGCTTATTCCACTGAGTCAGTCAAATATAATTCATAGTGAATACTGTGAAATATTGGTGTCTTTAGTTCTCTTTGTGATTGAAATTTCTTTCTTTTATAAAGAAAGTCACCTTCAGTGACTTTCTACATCTTAGTGCAGATAAACCTTTTCAAATGCCAGTCTTCGCCTTGGAATACCTTTTCCCCCCGTATTTTCTGTCTCTCGTTTGTTACCTTAAGAAAAATTCTTCTAACTCCATAATTAAATAATTATTTTTTATTTTGAGCTCCCATAGCACTTGTATATACCCGTTCTCTCAGTGTTTCTGCTCAGGTGGGGAGCGTAGCACTGACTTTGGACAGAGGTCAGTGGTGCTACACATCCTTTAACACATAGGAGCCCAGGCCTGTGTAAGGAATTGTCCAGCTGTTCTTTCAGTTAGGTAAAAAACTTAGAGGAGCTATCTGAGGCCAAAGCCTAATTTGGCTTTACATTTAAAGACAAAGTTTTAGTTTATGGGTTTTGTTGTTGTTGAGATGGAGTGTCACTCTGTCGTCCAGGCTGGAGTGCAGTGGCGTGATCTCAGCTCACTGTGACCTCCTCCTCCTGGGTTAAAGAGATTCCCTTGCCTCAGCCTCCCAAGTAGCTGGGATTACAGGTGTACACCACCACGCCCAGCTAGTTTTTTAGTATTTTTAATAGAGGGGAGTTTCACCATGCTAGCCAGGCTGCTCTCGAACTCCTGACCGCGAATGATCCATCTGCCTCAGCCTCCCGAAGTGTTGGGATTACCAGGTGTGAGCCACCATGCCTGGCCTATTTTATGGTTTTAATAACATACAGAATTAACCAGGAATGCATCTACTGTGTAAAAATCAAGGAAAGCCAGGCATGGTGGCTCATGCCCGTAATCACAGCACTTTGGGAGGCTGAGGCAGGAGGATCATCTGAGGTCAGGAGTTTGAGACCAGCCTGGCCAACATGGAGAAACCCCGTCTCTTCTAAAAAAAAATTAGAAAAATTAGCCAGGCATGATTATGCGTGCCTGTAATCCCAGTTACTCGGGAGGCTGAGGCTCAAGAATTGCTTGAACCTGGGAAGTTGGGGTTGCAGTGAGCTGAGATCGTGTCACTGCACTTCAGCCCGGGCAACAGAGCGAGACTCCAGCTCAAAAAAAAAAAAAAAAATTCAAGGGAGAATTGTACTTTGTTTTGCTTGTAACTTGACTGGTCAGGCCATTCATGATATTTGAACAGATTGTAAGTCTGTATTTGAAGGTTGTTTGTTGTTGTTGATTCTTAGAGGCAGATATCTGACTACGTTGTGTTTATACTTTAGCTATATGAATGTTTACCTATTGAAAATACTGTTTTATTAAAAATTACTTTGTTCCTTATACCTTAGGAGATAAATGTACATTTTAAAAGTGTTCCTCAGTCAGGTGAGGTGGCTTATGCCTGTAAGTTCAACACTTGGGGAGGCCGAAGCAGGAGGATCACTTGAGGCCAGAAGTTCAAGACCAGCCTAGGCAACATAGCAAGACTGTGTCCCTACTATATATATATATATATATATATATATATATATATATATATTTTTTTTTTTTTTTTTTTTTTTTTTTTTTTTTTAAATTAGGCATGGTGGTTCACACCTGTAATCCCAGCATTTTGGGAGGCTGAGGCAGGAGGACCACTTGAGCCTAGGAGTTACCAGTCTGTGCAAGATGATGAGACCCTGTCTCTCCAAAATATAAAAACAATTAGCTGGGCGTGGTAGCCTGTGCCTATAGTAGGGCTAAGGTGGGAGGATCCCTTGAGTCCAGGAGTTCAAGGATGCAGTAAGCTGTGATCACTGCACTGCACTCCGTTCCAGGCTGGGGGAGACAGCTGGGTGGTGGGACTCACCTGTACTCCTAGCTACTCAGGAGTAGCTGTTTAAAAAAAAAATGTGCGTAGGTGTATTATTAGCTACTAGTTTCATTTTAACTTAGTTAAGGAGGCATAAAATGTTATTAAAGGACTTATTTTTATTTATTTATTTATTGAGACAGGGTCTTGCTCTGTCACCCAGGCTGGAGTGCAGTGGTGTGATCATAGGTCACTGCAGCCTTGAACATCTGGGTACAAACAACCCTCCTAAGTAGCTGGGACTTACAGGCATGAGGCACCATGCCTGGCTAATTTTTTAATTTTTGGTAGAGACAAGATCATGCTTAGCTGCCCAGACTAATCTGGAACTCCTGGCTACAAGTGATCCTCATTCCTTGGCCTCCCAAAGTGCCGGAATTTTAGGCATGAGCCACCACACCTGGCCAGGAGTTATTATATTAAAGGATAAGTGAATAGAGGAGGAGGGAAAGGATATTTACAAATTAAAAGCTCTAATGTATCATTACTAAAGTTGCTTTATTTTTTGGCATTACTGAGGTTAATATTATGGTTCGTTGTCTGAATTAGTATCTGTTCATTTGATATATAGACAACTTTTTGTTTTTATTAATCTTAAGAACCAGCCAGGCATGGTGGCTCATGCCTGTAATCCCAGCACTTTGGGAGGCCGAGGCAGGCAAATCATCTGAGGTCAGGAGATCGAGACCACCCTGGCCAACACAGCAAAACCCCGTCTGCTAAAAATACAAAAAGAAATTAGCCGAGCAAGGTGGTGAGTACCTGTAATCCCAGCTACACAGGAGGCTGAGGCCGGAGAATCGCTTGAACCCGGGAGGCAGAGGTTGCAATGAGCTAAGATCACACCACTGCACTCCAACCTGGGTGACAGAGTGAGATTCTGTCTCAAAAAAAAAAAAACAATCTTAAGAACTGCTCTTAGTTATGGATGGCATCACGTGTGTGGTTCTCAGTGTATGCCTAAGGAAGTTTTATTACCTTTTATATGAACGTTAAATGGTACACCAGGATGATTCATTTTTTACCTTTTAAGTATTGAAGTAATAATTTTGAATTATAATATTTTTTGTTTGTTTGTTTTTTTGAGGTGGAGTTTCACTCTTGTTGTCCAGGCTGGAATGCAGTGGTGCAATTCTGGCTCACTGCTCACTGCAACCTCTGCCTCCTGGGTTCAAGCAGTTCTGCCTCAGCCTCCCGAGTAGCTGGGATTACAGGCGTGCGCCACCACACCCAGCTAATTTTTGTATTATTAGTAGAGACGGGGTTTCACCATGTTGGCCAGGCTGGTCTCAAACCCTTGACTTCAGGTGATCCACCCACCATGGCTTCCCAAAGTGCTGGGATTACAGGCTTGAGCCACCATGACCGGCCTGAATTATAATATTAATGTCTTATCTACAGGATGACCACACAATGTCTTCCAAAGTGGGATATTTCTAAGAATGAAAATAAATAGCATTAATAATTGCAGATTTGGTTGTAGACCACCACAATTGAGTGAATTATCTCAATAAAGCAAGTCACAGAAATTTTTGGTTCCCTACAGTGTATAAAAGTCATGCTTACACTATACTGTAGTCTGTTAAGTGCACAATAGCATTTTGTCTAAAAACCAGCGTATGTACCTTAAATAGAAAATACTTAATTGCCAAGAAATCGATCATCTAAGCCTTTAGAAGTCCTTATCTTTTTGCTGGTGGAGGGTCTTGCCTCCATGTTGATGGTTGCTGACTGGTTGGGGGTGGCCGTGGCAATTGCTTAAAATAAGACAACAGTGAAGTTTGCTGCATCAGTTTGTGCTTCCTTTCACAAAAGATTTTTCTTTTTTCTTTTTTCTTTTTTTTTGAGACAGAGTTTCGCTCTTGTTGCCCAGGCTGGAGTGCAATGGCGCGACCTCGGCTCACCACAACCTCTGCCTCCCGGGTTCAATCAATTCTCCTTCTTTAGCCTCCCAAGTAGCTGGGATTACAGGCATGCACCACCACACCCAACTAATTTTGTATTTTTAGTAGAGATGGGGTTTCTCCATGTTGGTCAGGCTGGTCTTGAACTCCTGACCTCAGGTGATCTGCCCGCTTGGGCCTCTCAAGTGCTGGGATTATAGGCATGAGTCACCACACCCGGCCCTCAAACGATTTTTCTATAGCATGTGATGCTGTTTGATGCCATCTCAGCTAGAATAGAATTTCTTTCAAAATCAGAGGCAATCCTCTCAAACCCTGCCACTGCTCTATCAACTAAGTTTATGCAGTGTTTTCAGTCCTTTGTTGTCATTTCAACGGTGTTAATGGCATCTTCACCAGAAGTAGATCCTTCTCAAGAAACCACTTTCTTTGCTCATCCATGAGAAGCAAGTTCTCATCTGTTCAAGTTTTAACATGAGTTTGCAGCAATTCAGTCACATCTTCAGGCTCCATTTCTAATTCTAGTATTTCTCTTCCTGTTTCTACCACATCTGCAGGTGGAAGATTTCCACTGAAATCTTAAAAGTCCTCAAAGTCATTCATGAGAGTAGAAATCAGCTTCTTCCAAACTGTTGTTAATGTTAATATTTTGACTTCTTCCCATGAATCACAAATCTTCTTAATGGCATCTAGAATGGTGAATCCTTTCTAGGTGGTTTTCAATTTATTTTCCCAGATCTGTCAGAAGAACCACTGTCTATGACAGCTATGGCCTTACGAAATGTATTTCTTAAATAATTCCACTTGAAAGTTGAAATTACTCCTTGATCTATGGGCTGCAGAATGGATGTTGTTTTATGTGAGCAGGCATGAAAACAGCATTAATCTTGTACATCTCCCTCAGAGCTCTTTGGTAAACAGGTGCTGCATTGTCAATGAGCAATTATAATTTGAAAGGAATCTTTTTTTTCTGAGCAGTAGGTCTCAACAATGGACTTAAAATATTCAGTGAAGCATTTTGTAAACAGATGCCGTCATCCAGGCTTGGTTGGTTGTTCCATTTGTAGAGTGCAGGCAGAGTAGATTTAGCATAATTCTTAAGGACCCTAGGATTTTTGGAATGCTAAATGAGCATTGGCTTCATCTTAAAGTCACCAGCTGCAATTAGCTCTGAAGAGTCAGCCTTCCTTTAAAGCCAGATACTGACCTCCTATGAAAGTACTTGATGGCATCTTCTGGTATGAGGCTGTTTCCTCTACATTGGAAATATGGTATTTTGTGTAGCCATCTTCATTCATCAGTGATATTAGCTAGATCTTCTGGATAACTTACTGCAGCTCTACATTCGCACTTGTACCTTCAGCTTGTACTTTTATGTTCTGGAGGTGACTTCTTTCGGTCAACCTCATGAATCAACCTCTCCTAGCTTCAAATTTTTCTTATGCAGCTTCCTTACTTCTCTCAGCCTTCACTGAATTGAAGAGAATTAAGGCCTTGCTCTGGATTAGGCTTTGATTTAAAGGAATGTTGTGGCTGGCCTCAGCTTCTATTCAGACCACATAAAGTTTTCTCCATATCATCAATAAGTCTGTTTTGCTTTCTTATCATTTGTGTGTTCACTGGGGTAGCACTTTTAATTTCCTTCAAGAGCTCTTTCTTTGCACTTACGACATTGCTGTTTGGTACAAGAGGCCCAGCTTTAGCTTGTCTTGGCTTTCGACATGCCTTCCTCACTAAGTTTAATTATTTCTAGCTTTTGTAAGTAAGAGACATGTAACTCATCTTTTCACTTGAACACTTAATTAAAGGCCATTGTAGGGTTATTAATTGGTCTAATTTTAATATTTTTGTGTCTCAGGGAATAGGTAAGCCAGAGGAGACAGAAGAGATTGGGAGCACCCCATTGTTGGAGCAGTCAGAACAGACACAGCATATATCGATTAAGTTTACCATCTTGTGTGGGCATGCATTCTGGTACCCCAAAACAATTACAGTAGTAACGTTAATGACCACCGATCACAGATTGCCATAGCAGATAAAATAATCATAAAAAGTTTGAAATATTGGGAGAATTACCAAAATGTGCCACAGAGACATGAAGTTGAGCACACGCTGGTGGAAATTGGCTCTGATAGACATGCTTGATTCAGTGTTGCTACAAACCTTCAATTGGTTAAAACAACAAAAACACACCACAGTATCTGCAAAAGAGCAGTAGAGCAAAAGACAATAAAATGAGATCTGTCTGCTAGGACAGTGGGCTTAAACTGGAATGGTCCTGGGCAGCCAGGTCACATGGTCACTTTACTACTCCAGTATACCTCATTGTTAAAATGTGGTTGTAGAGGTTTGGAATTTGGTATAGGATTAAATGAAAAGTTTTAACCTTGTGGATACAAGGATGTAAGGATCTGATTAGGCTTTGCAACTTGAGTTTGACTGATGTCTTCTGTGTGGTGTCCGCTAAATCCCACAGCATATAGGATCAGTCGCATTGGTTATAAGGTTTGCTTCTGGCTGGGTGCGGTGGCTCATGCCTGTAATCCCAACATTGGGAGGCCAAGGCAGGCGGACCACCTGAAGTCGGGAGTTTGAGACCAGCCTGACCAACATGGAGAAACCTTGTCTCTACTAAAAAAAAAAAAAAAAAAAAAAAAAAAATAGCCCGGCATGGTGGTGCATGCCTGTAGTCCCAGTTACTCGGGAGGCTGAGGCAGGAGAATTGCTTGAACCTGGGAGGCAGAGGTTGCGGTGAGCCGAGATCATGCCATTGCACTCCAGCCTGGGCGAGATCGCACCATTGCACTCCAGCCTGGGCAACAAGAGTGAAACTCTGTCTCAATAAAAAAAAAAAAAAGGTTTGCTTCTATCTCTGAAAATTTTTACTTCATTCCATACTTCATTTTTTTGAAAATGAACTTAACATGGGCACCAGAATGGGGTTGATTCATCATTCTTGGATTCTAAGTCTTAACAATTTTTTTTTCTTTTTCTTTTTTTTTTTTTTTTTTTGAGACGGAGTTTCGCTCTTTTGCCCAGGCAGGTGATCTTGTCTCACTGCAACCCTCTGCCTTTCAGTTTCAAGCGATTCTCCTGCCTCAGCCTCCCGAGTAGCTGGGATTACAGGTGCCTGCCACCACGCCTGGCTAATTTTTGTATTTTTAGTAGCGACGGGGTTTCACCGTGTTGGCCAGGGTGGTCTCGAACTCCTGACCTCGTGATCCGCCCACCCCGGCCTCCCAAAGTGCTGGCATTATAGGCGTGAGCCACTGTGTCTGCCCCAACAATTCTTAGAGTAACATTTAAAAATAACACAAGGACACTTGACTGTTTAATGCATTCATTTTATTAATGATCGAAAATATTTCCATAGATGAATTGATGTTATATGATCAACTTGGATTAAGTCTTAGGTGATTCACTGCCTCCTTGGTTAAGGCAACAAATCCTTTATGAGATTTAATTCTAACAGGTATAGTCATAAAATGGTAGTTTCTGAGACCAGAGACCTTTAGATCATAATAGTCTCATCACATAGTTACAGAGACAGACACTTGAGAAGGTGTGATTTCCTACAAGATTATAGAGCTAACGATAGTATAAAAGTTCCACAAATTACAATCTAATTTCTAAAACTCATATATTCTGACACATAACACAGAGTTACTCTGTCCCTTTTTTGTTTTACTGATTAAATCTCTAAGCTGGGCACCGTGGCTCAGGCCTGTAATCCTAGCACTTTGGGAGACTGAAGAGGGCGGATCCCTTGAGGTCAGGAGTTCGAGACCAGCCATGGTGAAACCCTATCCCAGTTACTTGGGGAGGCTGAGGCCAAAGAATCGCTTGAACCGGGAGGCGAAGGATGCAGGTGAGCTGAGATTGAGCCACTGCGCTTCAGTCTGGGTTGGCAGAGTGAGACTCGGTCTCAAGGGGGAAAAAAAAAATCTCTAGCTTAGATTTGGCTTTATCTTTCTTAGAAATGCTCCATTTTAGGGTCTATTAATATGCTGGTTAACTGATAATATAGAAATAATGACTGATATGTGTATCCTAAAGTTAGAGATTCAGCATGTTAATAGTGTGTTTGCTAATGAACCTCAGTAAACTATTAGGAAAATGAAACTTCTTAGAACATTTTTTTGCTTCCTGTTATTTTGCGTGTATTTTAAGGCTTTTCATAACAGTTACCTACTCTTTCTTCAATAGAGTAGCTTATTTACTCTGTAAAATGGAAATCGCTTATAAATGAATTTAGAATTAAAAGATTAATTTGTTGAGTGTTACAGAATTTTGCCACTGAAACCAAATAAATTATTTTGAAAAAGTGGTTGAAGTGACGGTAGGATTGTTTTATACAATAGTTAACTCTTGAAGATCGTATGGGGGTTTTGTTGTTCTTCTGGAAGCCTTTTTTTCCTAAGATATGGGGGTGGGGGAAAGGAGGAATAGTTACTGTTCTAAATTTGCATTAATATTATTTCTCAACAGTTTCATTTCTTATATTATTCTTTATAGCTTTTGTGTTATAGTCTATTGTTCCCATCCTATTTTTCTAAGATTAAACTTATTCTGAGTTCCTTTAGCATTTCCTAAAGCAACCTCTATAATAACTTACATTCTTTCCTTTCACTTTCCTTGTTTCTTTGGTCTAGAGTGTTCCAAATTACTAGTTCATCTTTTATTGTGGGTAGTACATTGACCTCTTAGTTTTCAAATTCTCAAAAAGGAACACACTACCATCCACATTTTACCCTCAGTCAAGTAACACTGTCAGCACCAGAGGGACCTTCAGTCTTAGCCCACCAAAACTCCCAAGATAATAAAATTTGCTAACGAGTTTACAAGGGGGAGCTCCTGCTTAATTGATAAGAATAACGTACAGAAGAAATCAGTGGGGGAACATCTAACTATACTCCCGTCTGGTGACTTTTTTTTTTTTTTTTTTTTTGAGATGGAATTTTGCTCTTGTTGCCCAGGCTGGAGTGCAATATCTCAGCTCACTGGAACTTCTGCCTCCTGGGTTCAAGCAGTTCTCCTGTGTCAGCCTCCCAAATAGCTGGGATTACAGGCATGTGTCACCATACCCGGCTAATTTTGTATTTTTAGTAGAAATGGGGTTTCACCGTGGTGGTCAGGCTGGTCTTGAACTCCTGACCTCAAGTGATCCACCCATCTCGGCCTCCCAAAGTGCTGGGATAACAGGCATGAGTCACGGCACCTGGCCCTCGCTCCTGACTTCTGGGAAAGACTTTCAGGGAGTTATGTGTCAGTTTGGGGTTTTTGGTCTCTGATCCGTGTTTTTTACAATAATTTTAAAATATTATACATTTATAGGCTATATTCTATCTGGCATTAATAATATTTGGTATTGATAATACAGATACAGACTTGATTATTTGGGAAAGACATGAAGCAGACTCCATTATGTCTTTTAGTTGAGCTAAAGTATACATCTTTACTACTGATAGTATATGGAAAGACGGAACTATTCTGTACCTGTTGTTTCCTTCACAGAGAGCTAGTGGCATCTGACAAAGAACCATGATACCTGGCTGAAACTCCAGGATGGAAGTAATGCCCAAGTCACTTTGTAAAAGCCCAACACTGTAAATCATACGTAATGGTTATATGCAAACTAGTAGTCAAAGTTAATAATTTTAGAAAGAAGAGGTTAGCTCATAAGTGGCTGTGTTGTAATGAATGCAGTAGCTGTTTGGCAGCTTTCTGAATCCTTGGAAGGCCCTTTGTCCACAGTCCTTGAGAACACCCACACATCTAGCATGAGTGACTCAGGAGAGACTAGTGCTAGAATGGAAATTTCTCTCTTCCCTACTCCTCACCCTAAGCCATTGTTCTAGTCAGACTTTTCTCAGCCCCTGCTCTTACAAATCTACCACAGTTAACAGAGCACTAGGTCTTAAAGGTACTGAGTAGCTTTTTTTGTGACCATAAATAATATCTTCACCAGAGCTGGCATCTTTTTGGAGATCCTGTGGAATTTCATTGTAACTGACTGACTCACTTGGAGGAACAAGAAAAGTGAGAGGCATCTTACTTTACATTAGAGTTCCTTGGTGTGGGTACAGGCAGAGGTGGTATTTCTCTCGGTATAAATACTATGTTTGCCTTCTTTGATACTACTTCTCAGAATCCACTCATTTAAAGATACCAATGACTGAGTCAGTTTGAGATCTAGAACTTTTTTTGTGACTATCTCACTATTGCCTCCTACCCTCCTCCTTCCACCACAACCCTAAATTCAGTTCATAAAAATAGTTTTTAAATTGAAAGTCATCCATAATACATGAAAATGGTAATAGAGGAAAAAGTTAAAGTAATATAATTTTTTAAGATTCGAGTGTCTCAGTTTATTAAAAAACTATTAAAATTATATTGGTGATGTTGAGCACAATAAATTCTGAAAAACTGATTTGTCTGTTGTTTTTACAGTTAAGAGTGTAGTGATACTGGAGCAGCACTTGTCACAGTTGCCTTTAATTTGGGTGTGGCCCTAATGACCTCTTTTGCCACACTCCTGGCTCAGCAACTTTCCAACTTGAGCCACAATTTTGATACTCATGACTTCTATAATGCATAAACTTCTGAGACTTCGATACATAATTTTATACTAATTTTTTGTGCGTGCGTGTGTGTGTGTGTGTGTGTGTGTTTTAACTTCCTCTGGCCTCAGGCCCTTAAAAAAGTGTGTGTGTGTGTGTGTGTATATATATATATATATATTTTTTTTAATCTATTTAAAATATTTTTTCAATTAAAGGATTTTTAATGTTTTTCTGGTTTTTTTCTTTTAGAGACAGACAGGATCTCTTTTGCTCTGTCTCCCAGGCTGGAATGCAGTGGCACGATCATGGCTCACTGCAGCCTCCACCCCCGGGGTTTAAGCCTTCCTTCTGCCTCAGCCTTCCAAGTAGCTGGGATTACAGGTGTATGCCACCACACCTAATTTTTTTAAAATTCTTTGTAGAGACAGGGTCCCATTATGTTGCCCAGGCTGGTCTCAAACTCCTGGGCTCTCAGGCAATCCTCTTGCCTCTGCCTCTACTTCCCAGAGTGCTTGGATGGTAGGTGTGAGCTGTTGTACGCAGCCTCTGTTTATTTTCTTTAAAAATAACTTATGGGCCAGGCGCAGTGGCTCACGCCTGTAATCCCAGTACTTTGGGAGGCCGAGGTGGGCAGATCACTTGAGGTCAGGAGTTTGAGACCAGCCTGGTCAACATGGTGAAACCCTGTCTCTACTAAAAATACAAAAGTAAGCTGGGCGTGGTGGTGTGCGCCTGTAGTCCCAGCTGCTCGGGAGGCTGAGGCAGGAGAATCATTTGAGAATCACCACTGCACTCTAGCCTGGGCAACAGAGTGAGACTTTGTCTCAAAAAAAAAAAAAAAAAAAAAGACATGGATGCAGTGATTGCATTTTGTTAGACCACTTTTAGTCAGATAAACAAGAAGAAAGTTCTTGGTTAGAATTGTATATTTTTAAATTTATAAACAGCCTTCCTTTTCTTTAGCAGTTATGTGAATTTGACTCAACCTTACTTGTTAATTCTCCAGACTTGCCAACTTGGTATCATGGATGGTATTTTATATAATATTAACTGAGCGTATCTGTGGTTATTTTTCCAAAATGTAAAAAGGATCTTCTCTCTTCCCTGCTTTAAAACGTTCACTAGTTTCACTTTTCCTAGAGCAGTGCTTTTCAAACTGTGTACCTAGGCTGATACTAGCTAACATTTACTGAGTACTTAACATGTGACACTATTCCAGGCTTTGACATCTGTTACTGGTTTTATTCTCAAAACAAACCAATGAAGTAGGTATTAGTATCTTAACATTTTTATGAGAATTTCATTTTGCTTTGTAATATTTAATACAAAAAAGCTTTTTTTGTTTTTGTTTTTGTTTTTTGAGATGGAGTCCACACTGTCACCCGGGCTGCAGTGCAGTAGCATGATCTCGGCTCACTGCAACCTCCACCTCCCAGGTTCAAGCAATTCTCCTGCCTCAGCCTCCTGAGTAGCTGGGATTACAGGTGCCCACCATCACGCTTGGCTAATTTTTTGTATTTTTAGTAGAGACGGGGTTTCATTATGTTGGCCAGGCTGGTCTCGAACTCCTGACCTTGTTATCTGCCCGCCTTGGCATCCTAAAGTGCTGGGATTACAGCCGTGAGCCACCGCGCCCGGCCCTAAAAAGGTTTTTAAATGGATGACCTAGCATCAAGAAAAATGGAATCTAAGAAGATTTCTATCATATTTGTCTTTTGTGACTTTTTATACTCCAAGGCATAGCATACCATGTACTAGAAGTGAAAATTTCTTTGTATGAAATTAGGGACAAAAGACATACTCAAGAACTTTTTTAAAAAAATAATTAGATTTCGTAGACCTAAAATTATTCTTTTAAATTGCTGTGCAAGTTTCTAAACCTCTTACTCTCGATTCCTGTATTTACCTCATTTTAGATGGATACTTGAATGCAAAGGGCACTGAGTAGCACTATTCTCCCTCGTACTTGATGTTTTAAACATTTTGTTTCCCGTCCCTAAAATGAGTGCACATCCCTGTTTTCTGTTTGGTGCATTTCTACTTTTCCTTCTTCATGCCTCAAATACTCTTTCCCTGGGAAGCCTGTCTTAACTGGAGGCCATCTCCAGCAGAGCTACTCCATCTGTGTGCTTCCTTAGCACCGTATTCACATCTTTCTTAGTTCTTGGTATGTAGTTGGTGTACTTACAGACGGTGAGCTTCTTGAGGGCAGGGGCCTGATTTTAAGTCTTCTCTATATCCGTTATAGCACCTAGCAGGTATGAGTAAATGTTGAATGAATGGATGAGTGAACAGATAGGCTGTTTCAAATTACAATGTTTGGTGTAATCTAGAATCTAGCCTTACCATTAGAAACTATAGGCTACATCATTTAAAGCCTCCCAGGGCAACTAGTGGCAACAACCTAACCCCTGCTCTAAGAACATGCTTCAAGTCCAGGCTGGTATGGTATAGTATTACTGTAGTAGTAAATGATTGAAATGCCCGCTAGGCAGAAGTTTTATCATTTAATGATAATGCACAGTAGGCAGAAGTTTAGTGCCTAATGTTCTGTCTTATTTATTTCAGGAATTGTTGGATAAATATTTAATAGCCAATGCAACTAATCCAGAGAGTAAGGTCTTCTATCTGAAAATGAAGGGTGATTACTTCCGGTACCTTGCTGAAGTTGCGTGTGGTGATGATCGAAAACGTAAGTTTATTTGTTATATGGGCAAAAGTAGAATATAAAAAAAAGAAATGGGGATAAATGGGACACTATGACAGTATACGTAGTCTTCAGGCTCTTTGTGACTTAATAATTGAATGTATGTCAAGAAAATTAGTATTACCTTATGTTCTCAAAAATGAAAATTGGATTATAAATTTACATCACATGCTCTTTAAAAAAATTAAGCTCATCTGTGAACTCTGTAATCTCATATGGTATTATTTAAAACAGGATTAATCTTTTATGCTTTTTAGAATTTTGGTTCACCATATTTTTAGCTCCAGAGTTTTTTGTGTAAACTTTATGAGTGATTCTGCATTTCACATGGCCTTTCTATTATGCCTTAAAACTTCAGATCACTGGAAATTACATACAGAACGTGGAAACAGGTTGTTGTGCTTTTGCTGTTTGTCATATTCATTATCGTCTATTTTAAGGGGTCATAACATTGACTGCTAATTACATATAATCAGATTTCTGAGGAGAGGTGAAATGAGTGTGTTATTGCTGGTGTATAACTTGCTCCAACTTCACAGTAAGTTTGAATGACTCATGGTTAGGTTTTACTTGAGAAGGTTGAATATACAGGAACTGTTGATTAATCAAGTAGTGGTCATAAAAATAGATTTTAGTATTAAATACCTTTTTTTTTTAACCTAGACTATCATAGAAAACATGGATATGAGAAAAAGTGACCGAATTGCCTAACTTGATAATAAAAAAGTGAAGTGAATTTATTTGCAGTGAATGTCTCTTGGGATACTGGCAGCTGAATATAAGATAGATCTCATTAAATTTAGTGTATGTGCTTGCTACCAGATTTATCAAGTTCTAGGTATTAGAAGTGTCAGTCCTTATTTTTTCCAGTAAGTTTGTTGTTTTGTTCTTAATTTTGCCCTGTCTACAAAGATATACCCCTACAAATAGTTACTATGATCTGAAAATGAGAGTTTTGCCATCCTAAATATCAGTGTAACTGAATATATAAAGAGAACTTGTACCTGAGAAACTGTTATACCTTGCTATAACAAAATCTATATACTAAACTTACTTATTCTGTTACTGATGTGTAATTTCTGTTGCCATGAAGGTAAGCAGAATTGGACATGATACGGGCACGGAACTGTACATTTAAGTATCAGAAAGCCAAAGAGAAGTATTTGGGAGATTGAGACATAGCTGTAGCTTTAACCTGATTTAACCCTTAGGAGCTCATTGGCACTTTCAGGTCTCACACGTAGTCCTGTGTACATTCTGATAGGCTGCGATTCATAGATAGGCTGTCTTTATAGCCTAATTGCTGAGACACTGGTGCTTCCTAATTTGCCAAGCTGCAAGAACTTCTTATTGCATGTGGGCTGTACCAGTCAGGGATTAGATCAATAAATGTGCCATTTCAGAGGAAAGAAAATGAACATAATTCAGGTCATAAAGGGATAGCTTAATTCTCTTACGTCAGTATCTCTAAAGCTGTAATAGGCCAGTGGCCTCATACAGAAAACTACCCTTTTCAAAACATGGGTATAATCAGATTAGTGTTGGTAATACTGAACATTTTTTGAAGGGGGAGTAACATTTTAATTAGGCTAGTAATCAAACTCTGGTCAGAGCAGATTTTGTCCTATTTATTGAAACTTTTATATTGCCTTTCAAATAATACCACTTGATACTAAGAATCAGTATTTCTGCAAATCAGAAAAATAGAGATTTTGGTGTTGATGATCTTTGTAAAGTTTACATTATTTAGGGAAAGGGTATTCCAGTCAAATTATTATTATTATTATTAATTTTGAATGGAGTTTTGCTCTTGTTGCCCAGGTTGAAGTGCAATGGCGCGATCTTGGCTCACCGTAAGCTCCGCCTCCCGGGTTCAAGTGAGGCTTGTGCCTAGCCTCCCAAGTAGCTGGGATTACAGGCATGCATCACCACTCCCATCTAATTTTTGTATTATTAGTAGAGACGGGGTTTCTCCATGTTGGTAAGGCTGGTCTTGTACCTCCAACCTCAGGTGATCTGCCTGCCTCAGCCTCCCAAAGTGTTAGGATTACAGGCGTGAGCCACTGTAAATTATTCCAGTCAAATTATTTTTAATTGCTGCATTTCCAAGTAATAGAATTAAAAGACATAAAATAAGAAAATAGTTTTAGCCTAGGTATGGAAAAAAGTCTGATTTACTATAATATCTCATGTTTTTTTTCCATTAAGCTGTTTATATGTAAGCAACATTCTAAACTGGTTTTTTGTTTTGTTTGTTTGTTTGAGACAAACTGTCACTGAGGTTGGGAGTGCAGCAGCATGATCTTGGCTCACTGCAGCTTCAACCTCCTGGGCTCAAGGGGTCCTCCCACCTCAGCCTCCCAAGTAGCTAGAGCTACAGGCACGCACTACCATGCCTAGCTATTTTTTATTATTATTATTTTTTGTAGAGACAGGGATAAGATCTCCCTGTGTTGCCCAGGCTGGTCTTGAACTCTTCAGGTTCAAGTGATCCCCCTGCCTCACCTTCCCAAAGTGTTGGGATTAGAGGCATGAGCCACTGCACCTGGCCATAAACAAGTTCTTAAATACCCAGTACACAATATTGTTTTTGTTTGTTTGTTTTTGACACAGAGTATCGTTCTGTTGCCCAAGCTGGAGTGCAGTGGTGTGATGTCGGCTCACTGCAACCTCAGCCTCCCAGGTTCAAGCGATTCTCATGCCTCAGCCTCCTGAGTAGCTGGGATTACAGATGCCCGCCATCACGCCTGGCTAATTTTTGTATTTTTAGTAGAGATGGGGTTTCGCCATGTTGGCTAGACTGGTCTTGAACTCCTGATCTCAAGTGATCCACCCACCTCGGCCTCCCAAAGTGCTGGGATTATAGGCGTGAGCCACCGCGCCTGGCCACGATAATGTTTTTTGTTAGCTACCATGATTTTAAAAGACCCATACAGAGAAAAAATCTTGGTTCTACCAAGAGCTAGTAGCATATGTTCAAGTTGTTAATGTACTGTGTACTGGATGGTTATTTTTAATATTGCACTTCTTATTTTTCGCTCTTCACAGAAACGATAGATAATTCCCAAGGAGCTTACCAAGAGGCATTTGATATAAGCAAGAAAGAGATGCAACCCACACACCCAATCCGCCTGGGGCTTGCTCTTAACTTTTCTGTATTTTACTATGAGATTCTTAATAACCCAGAGCTTGCCTGCACGCTGGCTAAAACGGTAAGATGTGTGTCCAGGAAATACGTACTTTAGCTACAGTTATTTGAGATACCAGGTATGTTAATTTATAGGTATTTTACTTGGATACCCAGGGATGATTTCTACTATATTTATTTTGAAATCTCCTCTTTTTCTTCCCATCATGATTACCTACTCCTACCCCTGACACCTTACTCTACCCTATGATTATAAGCAGTGATGTGCCTACAGAGCATACTGAGCAGAGTAATCAAAGAAGGATAAATGATGTTAAGAAGGAAACATAAAAGATTAGAAAGTCATGCCTGCCAGGTTTGGTTACTAGAATAGCTGTGCATCAGCCACATTCCTCAAAGTGGCTCAAAACGAGAGAATAAAGAGGACCCTGTAGAGATAAGTACTACTTAACTGGAAAGAAGTCTGTTAAGCATTGCTGCTGTTCCGTTGTCCTGTGAAAGAACCAAGACATGCTTGTTTACTAAGTGTATAGTTTTATAAAATTCCAGTCATACTCATAAGTTCTTAAACTGGGAGTGTGAGAGAATGGTTCTGTTGAGTTTGTTGATGGTAGAACATAAGGTGGGTGTTCACTTATTTTGTAAAAATGGTTTGTAATTGTAGAATAACCAGTTTTCGTCAATGCACATATTTTACCATGGATATTAATATTTATCAGGCTTTTGATGAGGCCATTGCTGAACTTGATACACTGAATGAAGACTCATACAAAGACAGCACCCTCATCATGCAGTTGCTTAGAGACAACCTAACAGTGAGTTGTTTACTCTTTTAATTTTATTTTCTTTTCAGAAACAAAAGTATTTATATTTTATTTTGGACTTCGTGTCTTTTAGGGAAGATACATACGAGCTGAAAGTATGAGATACGTGTTAGTATTTTATGGGACGAACATTATTTTGTAGGCAGGTTTTCAAGTTGAATAGGCATTTTATCAGACCTTCCTGAGAAGGTTCTAACATGATAGGAACTCAATATTAATATTACTATTTCATTGGGATGAAGATGTTGATAAATTATGTTAATAAAGAGCTTATCAAGTTTCAATATTTTGGGGCAAATCAGCTATAGCCAGTTAGGGACTATCTAAATATCTACGCTTTCTTAAAATCACAGGAAGTACCTTGTTCTAATAAAAGTTTACTTTGTGAATTGTGCATGATGTTCTACAAGCATTTAGGGAGTAAACCTATACCTAAACTTACTCCTTCTCTGCTTCTAGGCAAAAGCTTCTGTTTTGTTTGTCTTTTTCTCCCTGCTTCTTAGATAGGCAATTGATAAAGGAAGTAATCAAGAAAAAGTACAGCTTAAGCTTTACTTTAACATTCTTTTGTAGGTTCAAGTAAATTTGATAGGTAAAATCTTAGACTTCACAGAAGGAAAAAGAAGGGAACAAATCTTTTAATATAGATCTCGTCCTCCCAGCCCCCTAGTTTGGTGCTTTATCATTTACTAGATAGGATTTTTTAAATATTAGCACCATGTCTATTCAATTTTGCTGAATAGGGTAATTATGAATCCACTGAAAGGGGAACGAAGACCCTGCATTTCTAGCCATGAGAAGTGCCTGTGGTTGTGAGGGGACAATGGAAGATGATCAGCAAATAGTTCTACAGAGGAAGAGCAAATTAGGCAGTTATACCTCTTCCCAGATGTATACCTTGGAGCTAACTATCTTTTAATCGGTTTTGTTTTGTTATCTCTATTATGGAGACAGGTCTTTGGGGGATTTTGTTTTGTTTGTTTTTATTTAGTATCTTCATAATAATCTAAGGATTATGTAAGATTCTGGCTTTTCTGAAATTAACACTAATGTCTTGCTGTTGGTCTAATAAAGTGCAATTATAGTCAATAAATACTGACTTCTCTTCTTCACTTCATCTTCCTATCCTAAAATCAGAGAGATCCTGGAAGATCCACTTAGTTTTAACATTCTGTCTAATTCAAGAACCCTGTCTATACATGCACACATTGCTTCCCTGTAGCTTCCATCACCCACTTCTATTTAATTCTTGGAGAAACACAAAGTAAGTCTGCTTTTCCTATAGTTTAGCCCTTCACACACTTGAAAATTGTTAACCATGATTGTGGCTTTTTCCTCCCTGTGAAAATGTTTTGCTTTATTAGTCTGTAATAATAATGCAGTAGTGCTTTCAAGAAGAGCATTGGGCTGCTGGGAATAGAGACTATCACTTTGCTTATTCTGAAAGTAGAGTGCCTTTTTAAAAAAGTTTCTCTTTTTTTTTTTTTTTTTTGAGAAAGGATCTCACCCTGTTGCCTAGGCTGGAGTGCAGTGTCATAATCATGGATCACTCCAGCCTCAACCTCCTGGATTCAAGCAGTCCTCCTGCCTCAGCCTCCTGAGTAGTTAGGACTGTAGGCACACACCACCCCGTACCTGGCCAATTTTGTTTTTGAAATTTTTTGTAGACGTGGGATCTTGCTATGTTGTCCAGGCTGTTGAACTCCTGGCCTCATGCGATCTTCTCATCTTGGCCTCCCTACGTGCTGAGATTACAGGCGTGAGCCACTGTGCCTGGCCAAATGCTTTTTAAATAAAAAGGAAGCTATAAAACCATGCTCCAGTGGTATATGTATGTATGTATGTATGTCATTTTGTAAGTGCATAGTGAAAGGTCTGCAAGGATGTACTTTGGGAAGGTGATGGTCTTTGGGGTTTTGAGAGAGAACTTCAGTCTTAGTCAAGATCTCCATTGTTTGAGGAATTTACTACTCTTGTAGTTAATTTTGATATAACAATACTACTTAGTGTAATTGCCTAATCTAGAAATAGTAACTTAATATGATTCTTCTTTTTCTAGCTTTGGACATCAGACAGTGCAGGAGAAGAATGTGATGCGGCAGAAGGGGCTGAAAACTAAATCCATACAGGGTGTCATCCTTCTTTCCTTCAAGAAACCTTTTTACACATCTCCATTCCTTATTCCACTTGGATTTCCTATAGCAAAGAAACCCATTCATGTGTATGGAATCAACTGTTTATAGTCTTTTCACACTGCAGCTTTGGGAAAACTTCATTCCTTGATTTGTGTTTGTCTTGGCCTTCCTGGTGTGCAGTACTGCTGTAGAAAAGTATTAATAGCTTCATTTCATATAAACATAAGTAACTCCCAAACACTTATGTAGAGGACTAAAAATGTATCTGGTATTTAAGTAATCTGAACCAGTTCTGCAAGTGACTGTGTTTTGTATTACTGTGAAAATAAGAAAATGTAGTTAATTACAATTTAAAGAGTATTCCACATAACTTCTTAATTTCTACATTCCCTCCCTTACTCTTCGGGGGTTTCCTTTCAGTAAGCAACTTTTCCATGCTCTTAATGTATTCCTTTTTAGTAGGAATCCGGAAGTATTAGATTGAATGGAAAAGCACTTGCCATCTCTGTCTAGGGGTCACAAATTGAAATGGCTCCTGTATCACATACGGAGGTCTTGTGTATCTGTGGCAACAGGGAGTTTCCTTATTCACTCTTTATTTGCTGCTGTTTAAGTTGCCAACCTCCCCTCCCAATAAAAATTCACTTACACCTCCTGCCTTTGTAGTTCTGGTATTCACTTTACTATGTGATAGAAGTAGCATGTTGCTGCCAGAATACAAGCATTGCTTTTGGCAAATTAAAGTGCATGTCATTTCTTAATACACTAGAAAGGGGAAATAAATTAAAGTACACAAGTCCAAGTCTAAAACTTTAGTACTTTTCCATGCAGATTTGTGCACATGTGAGAGGGTGTCCAGTTTGTCTAGTGATTGTTATTTAGAGAGTTGGACCACTATTGTGTGTTGCTAATCATTGACTGTAGTCCCAAAAAAGCCTTGTGAAAATGTTATGCCCTATGTAACAGCAGAGTAACATAAAATAAAAGTACATTTTATAAACCATTTACTATGGCTTTGTAACAATTGCATACCCATATTTTAAGGGACAGGTGAATTTACTACTTTCTAAAGTTTATTGATACTTCCCTTTTATGTAAAATGTAGTAGTGATACCTATATTTCCACATTGTGCATTGTGACACACTTGTCTAGGGATGCCTGGAAGTGTATAAAATTGGACTGCATTTCTTAGAGTGTTTTACTATAGATCAGTCTCATGGGCCATCTCTTCCTCAGATGTAAATGATATCTGGTTAAGTGTTATATGGAATAAAGTGGACATTTTAAAACTAGCAAAGTTAATTATGTGATTGTGAGTGCCTTGGCTGTTATTAGAATTGTGCTTCAGTGGATATTCAAAAGGAATGTAAGAGTTCAGACACAGATACTCCTCAACTTAAAATGGGGCTACACCCTGATAAACCCATTGCAAGTTGAAAATACGAAGTCAAAACTGCACTGAATACACCTGACCTAATGAACATTATAGCTTAACCTATCCTACATTAAATGTGCCCAGAACACTTAGCCCTACAGTTGGGCAAAATCAAAGAACATGAAGCCTACTTTATACTAAAGCGTTGGATCTCTCAGGTAATTTGTTGAACACTGAAAGTGAAAACCATTGATTGTATAGGTACTTGAAGTATGCTTTCTACTGAATGCCTGTCATTTCCACACCATTGTAAAGTCAAAAAATTAAGTTGGGGACTCTATGCTTCTGTTTGTAAACATTCAATCTTACTATTAGTGAGTTCAAAATAATTTTGGTTTTATAGTATCACAATAGCTATTATTTTACTAACCAATCTCAGATTAGTAAAATAACTGAGACTGAATGACTTGAGAACTGATTTTTAAGTCAGAAGATAATCTGAAAAAATAGCTATGTAGGATTCTTCTTGATCCTAAAATGTGAATATGAAACAAGGCTTCATTTATAGTTGTTTTCTTTTCTTTTCTTTTTTCCCTTTTTTTTTTTTTTTTTTTTTTTTGAGACAGAGTTTCACTCTGTTGCCCAGGCTAAGAGTGCAGTGGTGCGATCTTGGCTCACCACAACCTCCGCCTTCTGGGTTCAACAGATTCTCCTGCCTCAGCCTCCCGAGTAGCTGGGATTACAGGCACCCGCCACCACACCCGGCTAATTTTTTTTATTTTTAGTAGAGACGGGGTTTCACCATGTTGGCCAGGCTGGTCTTGAACTCCTGACCTCAGGTGATCCACCTGCCTGAGCTTCCCAAAATGCTAGGATTACAGGCATGAGCCACCACGCCCGACCTATACTTGTTTTCTAAGGGGAAATGAAAAGGCAGAATTCAGTAGGACTCTGGTATCCCAAAATTTAAATCAGGACACTACTTTTTAAATAAAAATCATAGTAAAAATAACATTTTGAATTGAGAAAAAATGATCATTTCTTAAGACCAGTAAAATGGTATGTGCTGAGTAATGAATTATGTTATCAAAGTGGCCTTAAAGAATAGATTATTTTCTAGCCAGGCGCGTTGGCTCATGCCTGTAATCCCAGCACTATGGGAGGCTGAGGCGGGCAGATCATTTGAGGTCAGGAGGTCAAGACCAGCCTGGCCAATATGGTGAAACCCTGTCTCTATTAAAAATACAAAAATTAGGCTGGGCACAGTGGCTCACACCTGTAATCCCAGCACTTTGGGAGGTTGAGGCGGGTGGATCACTTGAGGTCAGGAGTTCAAGACCAGCCTGGCCAACATAGTGAAACGCCATCTCTACTGAAAATACAAAAAAATGGCTGGGTGCAGTGGCTCACGCCTGTCATCCCAGCACTTTGGGAAGCCGAGGTGGGTGGATCACAAGGTCAGGAGTTTGAGACCAGCCTGGCCAACATGGTTAAACCCCATCTCTACTAAAAATAGAAGAAAAGTAGTGAGGCATGGTGGTGGGCACCTGTAATCCCAGCTACTCAGGAGGCTGAGGTAGGAGAATTGCTTGAACCTGGGAGGCAGAGGTTGCAGTGAGCCGAGATCGCGCCACAGCACTCCAGCCTGGGTGACAGAGCAAGACTCCGTCTTGGGGGAAAAAAAATAGCCAGGTGTGGTGGCACATGCCTGTAATCCCAGCTACTCAGGAGGCTGAGGCAGGAGAATCACTTGAGTCTGCAGGGCAGAGGTTGCAGTGAGCTGAGATTGTGCCACTGCACTCCAGCCTGGGTGACAGGAAGACTCTGTCTCAAAAAATAATGAAAATAAAAATTCAAAAATTAGCCAGCCTTGGTGGTATAGGCCTGTAATCCCAGCTACTTGGGAGGCTGAGGCAGCAGAATCGCTTGAATCTGGGAGGCGGAGGTTGCAGTGAGCGGAGATCACGCCACTGCACTCCAGCCTGGGTGACAGAGCAAGACTGTCTCAAAAAAGAAAAAAAAAAAAAAAGATTATTCTCAGCATTTAGTCCCAACTTGAAACGTCTCCTTGCTTTAGAAAAGCTCTGCATCTTTTAAAAGCGGGCTCAGCCTGTGGTATCTCCTTTGGACTGCTTTTTGGGCTTCCTTGCACTAGAGGAAGAGGATATAGAATACCGCTAAGAACTCAGTAGGAGAGAGGACACCTTTCCTGAGGAAAAGAGTGTAAGTAAAGTTTTGGGATGGGGGGAGGATTTAAATCTATCAGCTTTGTCTTTAAGTTTTTAAATTATTTTCTGAGATCAGAAATTTTAAATATTGCACCTATTTTGTAGTTAGAACTTGGCAGTTTTTTCTTAATGGCATTTAGGTAGATATTAATAATAATTTTTTAAATTGCATTCTAACAGAATAGAATCGAGAGATTTTTATTTCAACATATTTGTACATTCATTTGTTAATCTTTGGTTGGCAAAGATCAGTAAGTTCTTTTGACACGGTTGGTAGAATATACTCATACCTTGTAGCTTAAATATGTATCAGTAGAGACTTCTTAAAAAATGGTGAAAATATTAGGAAGGCCATTTAAAGATGCATAAAAACTACAACTGAAGAGTAAAATAATTTGAGAAGATCAGAATCTTGGTCACTGATTTTGAGATGGGCTAATTTTTAGGAGTTGAGTCATTCAGAAATATTAGGCCTATTACAGACGAACAGACGTGACTTTTTGTCCAATGATGAGTCTCACTGTAGGTTCATGTCATTAGATATATTTTAAAAGTAACAATCATTCTTTATGGTTTAGAAAGACTTTCACTTTAAACTGATGAAGGCAATTTTGCATGTTTACTTTTTTTTTTTTTTTTTTTTTGAGACGGAGTTTCACTCTTGTTGCCCAGGCTGGAGTGCAATGGCACAAACTCAGCTCACTGCAGCCTCTACCTCACGGGTTCAAACGATTCTCCTCCCTCAGCCTCCTGAGTAGCTGGGATTACAGGTGCCCTCCACCGCGCATGGCTAATTTTTGTAGTTTTAGTAGAGATGGGGTTTCGCCATGTTGGCCAGGCTGGTCTTGAACTTGTGACCTCAGGTGATCTGCCCACCTTGGCCCCCCAAAGTGCTGAGATTACAGGTGTGAGCCACCGCGCCTGACTGCAATTTTGCATGTTTTATTCTGCCTTATATCTCTATCACTCTCCCATGTAGAATTTGTATTTGGTAAGCTTTGCCTTCTCTGGAATTAATGTTATTTAGCTAAACAGTTTACGTGTAGCAAGAACTGCATATACAGCAGTGATTTTTACTGTATCTTTTGTGTTCAGCAAATATTTAGTGTTGTTGAAATTGCCTACAGTAGTTAGTACGGTAACGTGCTGTACGTGTTTGTAGCCTAGGAATATAGGCTTTACTACATAGCCTAGGTGTGTAGTAGGCTCTGCCATGTACTTGTGTAAGTACATCCTGTGATATTTGCACAACGATGAAGTCGCCTAACGAGGCGTTTTTCAGAACATACTCCTGTTAAGTGACACCACTGTGTAGATGTCAAGATCATCATGAAATCGAATTTGGGGCAAACTTGCCAGTTTACTCCTTAACCCACACTTCATTTTAAAGTGGCTATGCTGGCCAAGCACTGTGGCTCGTGCCTGTAATCCCAGCACTTCAGGAGACCGAGGTGGGTGGACTGCTTGAGCCTAGGAGTTTGAGACCAGCCGGGCAACATGGCAAAACCCATCTCTACAAAAAATACAAAAATTAGCGGGGCATAGTGGTGCACGCCTGTGGTCCTCGCTATTCAGGGGGCTGAGGTGGGAAGATTGCTTAAGCCCGAAAGATTGAGGCTGCAGTGTGCCACTGCACTCCAGCCTGAGCAACAGAATGAGACAGTGTCTCAAAAAAAAAAAATTTCTATGCCAGCTAGGTGCAGTGGCATGACCCTGTTGTCCCAGCTATGCTGAGGTAGGAAGATCACTTGAGCCCAGGAGTTTGGGGCTGTGGTGCTTGATGATCATGCCTGTGAATAGCTACTGCACTCCAGCTTGAGCAATGCAAAGAGACCCTGTCTCTTTCAGAAGAAAAAAAAAGAAAAGGTTATGCCTTCAGAGCTAATGCTTTGGAGGTGGCAAGTAATAATACCCGGGAGGAAATGCTGGAAACTGCCCCTAAAATTATAACACCTTAGCATGTTTATACAGCCCTTTTAGTTAGAAGGAACCAAGGTTTATTGAAGTCTTTTTGGATACCTGGTCATGTACTATGCACATTCATATTTAATCATCTCAAGTGCCCTTAAGTGACAGAACATCTGATCAGAAAAAAATGAAATTATGGCTGGGTGTGGTGGCTCACGCCTGTAATCCCAGCACTTTGGGAGGCCGAGGCGGGCGGATCATGAGGTCAGGAGATCGAGACCATCCTGGCTAACACGGTGAATCCCCGTCTCTACTAAAAATACAAAAAAAATTAGCCGGGCATGGTGGCAGGCTCCTGTAGTCTCAGCTACTCGGGACGCTGAGGCAGGAGAATGGCGTGAACCCGGCAGGTGGAGCTTGCAGTGAGCTGAGATCACACCACTGTACTGCAGCCTGGGCGACAAAGCGAGACTCCGTCTCAAAAAAAAAGAAATGAAATTATTAGCTCAAAGTTATGTATGTGAGCCTTGTGCCATGGCTCACGCCTATAATCCCAGTACTTTGGGACGCCAAGGCAGGTGGATCTTTTGAGCCCGGGAGTTTGAGACCAGTGGACAACATGGCAAAACCCTGCCTCTACAAAAATACTAGCCAGGCATGGTGATGCACGCCTGTAGTCCCAGCTGCTTGCCAGACTGAGGTGGGAGGATCACCTGAGCCCGGGAGGTCAAGGCTGTGATAAGCTGTGATTGCACCACTGCAGTCCAGCCCCAGTGATAGAGTGAGACCCTGTCCTAAAACAAAAACATTTATGTACGTGTCTATTAGGTAGCCAACTAGAGGTTGAACTCAAGACGCCATACCAAGTTAATTTCTGTGCCACTATTGCCTGCTGTGAGTACTTCACCATCCTTACTATGGCAAGTAAATAACGCTATTCTTTTTTTTTTTCTAGCATCTTTGGAGATGATTTTTGTTTTTCTTTTCTTTGACTTTCCCCTTAGTCTGTCAGTTTTGCCCTTTGGGGAAAACCTCAAAAGGGGCAGTGTTACAACATCCTGGGCCTAACTCTCATCTTACGATTATAGAAATGAGCCCAAAGAGACTGCAGACTTGGCCAAGGTCCTAGCAACTAGCTAGTGTTTGGCCTGAAACTAGACAAGAATCAGAGGCAAATAACTCCAAATCTCAATCTCTACTGGCTAAATTAAAAAGAATTCTTAATGAAAATTGTTTTTTTTCCTTGCCACTCAGAAAATGAAGGCTTTAGTTCATATTTATCTGGTAAGTTTTTTTTTTTTTTAAGGCATGAGCCCTCTAGTTACTTTCTGAAAGTAAGGAAATAAGCATTTATCATCCAGCATTGCTTGTCACATTTATTTTACATGCTTTACACCAAAGGCCCTTATATAATCAATGTTATTTGCATGCTCAATGCTGCAATATAGTGGAAAGGCCATCAGCCAGGGTCCCGGGCCAATCTTCCCACTCACTGGCAAGCTACACGGAATCTTGGGGCCAGCATCTTCACTTCTTAATAGGCATGTTTTTTAGGCATCCTCACAAATAAAACTCAGTTTGATAACAAAGTTTTATTAGAAGGTTTCTCTTGATTTCTGGAGGGGGAAACTGAAGCACCGAAGTTAGTGACATGACCTAGGACTTGGGCTTCATAGCCAAGTAGCGGTGTCAGGATTTGAACCTGGGCAGTCCTACTTCAAAGTTAGTACTCTTAGCAACTGTGTTATGTTGCCTTTTTTTTTTTTTTTTTAAGATTACAGCAATTGATCAGTGCTTTTTAACCTCTAGTCATGACCAACTGGTAACAAACTTCATGGGTGACAGCCAACTTTTTTAATAGAAGGGAAAATATGTAGCATGTTATAAGGGAAATAATACTTTGTGAAACCAATTTCAGTTTATACATGTATGAAAAGTGGGTTGTGATGTCAAATTGATTTCAAATAAGTTTGAAAGCCATTTCTTATGGATGGTCTTAAAGATTTCTGCAATCCATCTCCTAGGACTGTAAGTTGGTCATAATTTTACTGTTGTGAATAATTCCAGAAGTTTTTTTCATGATGGCATTGTTGAGTCTCTTCCACCTACAGCACTGTGACAATTTCTACTTCAGAATTTGCTGAGCCATGAGTATCCCTTAATGCCCTTCAGAAGAAAGGGGAGACTTCCACTTTTGAGAGTGATATTTTCATTACACATTACTGAATGGGTTATGCAGAGTTTAACTTTCTTATCTGTTCTTTGTCCTCAGACACTATTTCTGCAACATATCATAGCCTGGGCCTCCACAGAAGCCATGGTGGAGTTAGAATTTATTCAGCTAGCAAAGAGGCTAATAAGGGCTTTCTTGGGATACGAATTATTAAGTAGGCTTGAAACTGGGTTGAGCCCTGAGTAAAAGTCAGGCAATACAACGGGCCTTACTACACTAGGCTCCTAAATTCTTTTGAGCTGTAACACAGTTTCTTCAGGAATATCTGGGGTTCTTACTCAAGTGCTTATCAAAAGAGTTGTTTAATTACTGTAATTTTAGCTAAAGACTTTAGGAATTTTCTTGCTGATTTGACATGTGAAATTGCATACTGTAGACTTGCAATGCTAGGCTGTGGCAAGCTGGCTTAATTCATTTTATTTGGATGTTTACTTTGCTCTTGCTTATGACGTGCTACTGAGGGCAGTAGCTGCCACTGCTAACTAGGCTACTTAGGATGCCCTGTCATGGTTATTTTTTTTTTAATAGTAGAAACTTGCCCATGTAAAAGAACTACACATTTTGCCAGGCACGGTGGCTCATGTCTGTAATCCCAACAGTTTGGGAGGCCGAGGCAGGCAGATACCTGAGGTCAGGAGTTCGAGACCAGCTGGCCAACATGGTGAAACTCCGCCTCTACTAAAAATACAAAAATTAGCCAGGCGTAGTGGCATGCATCTGTCGTCCCAGCTACTCAGGAGACTGAGGCAGGAGAGTGGCGTGAACCTGGGAGGTGGAGCTTGCCGTGAGCCAAGATCGCACCACTGCACTCCAGCCTGGGTGACAGGGCAAGACTCCGTCTCAAAAAAAAAAAAAAAAAAAGAAAAAGAAAGAAAGAAAGAAATAATTGGCCGGGCGCGGTGGCTCACACCTGTAATCCCAGCACTTTGGGAGGCCGAAGTGGGCAGATCAGAAAGTCAGGAGATCAAGACCAGTCTGGCCAATATGGTGAAACCCTGTCTCTACTAAAAATACAAAAATTAGCCAGGCATGGTGGCAGGTGCCTGTAGTCCCAGCTACTCAGGAAGCTGAGGCAGGAGAATTGCTTGAACCCGGGAGGTGGAGGTTGTAGTGAGCCGAGATCACGCCACTGCACTCCAGCCTGGGTGACAGGGCAAGACTGTCTCAAAAAAAAAAAAAAAAAAAAAAAAGACACATTTTTCTTCCTGTGACAGCTTACACTTGAGGATGTATAGATAACAATGTTGAAAACTAGAAAAAGTCCCGGGTGCGGTGGCTCACGCTTATAATCCCAGCACTTTGGGAGGCCGAGGCGGGCAGATCACCTGAGGTCAGCCTGGCGAACATGGTGAAACCCCCGTCTCTATAAAAAAAAATAAAAAATTAGCCAGTGTGGTGGCAGGTGCCTGTAATCACAGCTACTTGGGAGGCTGAGACAGGAGAATTGCTTGAACCCGGGGGGCGGAGGTTGCAGTGAGCCGAGATTGTGCCATTGCACTCCAGCCCTGGCAACAAGAGTGAAACTCCGTCTCCAAAAAAAAAGAAAACTAGAAAAAGTTTAAGTCCAACTGAGATTTAACTTCCAGTGTAGCCTGGTTTTCTTTCTCCTGTCAGAGGTATAGAGGAGTTAAAGCACTGAATTAAGCTAGATTAACCTTCACTTTCCTGTGGAAGTGTGTACTGGAAGCTGGCATTCATTGCAAAGATCTCTGCTATTCAGTAATCTTGTGGGCTCTACTCTCCACCATTGTATGGGAGTAACTCAGGTCCTTTAGTCCTTGAAGGAAGCCAGACTATTTGTTTCTCATTTTCTACTGACATTACCAGGTTTTTTACCTATCTGAAATTTGTTCTGAGAGTTCTTTCTCCATTCTAGCCCTGTGGGTCTTTAGATAAGGCTCTGTGTTTCAGCCATGTCGCCATGCCATTCTCCTTGACAGGTGGTGCTTTTTTGGGGGGGGTTGGGGAGGAGGGTAGAGACAAGGTCTCACTATGTTGCCCAGGGTGGTCTTGAACTCCTGGCCTTAAGCAGTCTTCCCACCTCGGCCTCCCAAAGTGCTGGGATTACAGATGTGAGCTACTGTACCCAGCCTGTGTATGTGATGTTCTTTCAGTTATTCCGGAACTTGGTACGCACCTTGGAGGATTCATTGGCAAGATTTTGGAGACCACTGTGTTCTAATACTGGTGGCAACATCACAACTTGGGAGCTAGGAAAATAAATGGGACAAGATTATTAACGCTTTTTGGAGCTAGACTTGTCTATTCCCACAACTATGTAACATGAGAGATTGTGTGATCTAGAGATAGAAAGGACCAGCCAGAAACTGGGTGCAGTGGCTCATGCCTGTAATCCCAGCACTTTGGGAGGCCAAGGCAGGCGGATCACTTGAGGTCAGGATTTCGAGACCAGCCTGGCCAACATGGTGAAACCCCGTTTCTACTAGAAATACAAAAGTTAGCTGGGCATGGTGGCGTGCACCTGTAATCCCAGCTGCTTGGGAGGCTGAGGCAGGAGAATTGCCTGAACCTGGGAGGCGGAGGTTGCAGTGAGCCGAGATCGTGCCACTGCACTCCAGCCTGGGTAACAGAGCGAGACTCCATCTCAAAAAAAAAAGAGAAAGAAAACCAGCCTAGAAGTCAAAGATCTGGCTTCCATGGTCATTCACATACTTGTTAAATATATTGAGCGCTTGTTATGAGTCAGGGACTGAAGTAGGTACCAGAACTTTAAACTTCACTACTTTATAGCTATGGCTTTAATCTCACTGAGTTTCTGTTTTACCTTTTACAGATAAAAGGTGGACAATCTATCTAGCCTGCAAGCCAATGTGTGAAAGTATTTCCAAGTGTAAAGGGCTGTGGAATGTATGTAGTGGAACACTCAAGTGGGAAGGAAGTTAGCAGGATAGCCTAATTTTGGAACTAGAAAGTTCTAATAAAGTGAAACCAGTCTTGTGGATAAGAAAATCAACAACACTGAGCAGACCTATTGCCCTAGATTTTCAAGGGCATAGTCACAAAAAGAAAATGACGGTGTAACTTGGGAATGCGAAGTTAAAAAAAAAAAAAGACAATTAAGCTGTGGTTTTGCTTCTAATTAGCACTCTCTGATGGAATACAATGGGAAAGGTCATTCTGTTGAAATAAGTAAAGAAAAATCAGGACCCAGAGAACAAGTGCTAAAAGGAAATGCCTTTGACCAAAAACTCAGTCACTTACCAGCAGTTAAGTCTTGACTAAGGAGTTTTGATTCAGTAAGTCTGAGGTAGGGCCCCATAGAGCATTTGTATTTTTAACAAATTGATGCTGATGCTGCTGATCAGGACCTGGTACTTTGAGAACCACTGCTTTAAGGAAGCCTCAATAATGAAGGCCAAAGTAAAGATCGGGTGAGTTTCACAGCAGAGTAGTAAAAATAAGTCAGAGGGCTGGTTGTGTCTGTAGTCCCAGCTACCAGCCACTAGGGAGGCTGAGGTGGGAGGATCATGAGGCCAGGAGTTCAAGGCTACCCTGCACTATGATAGTGCCTATGAATAGCCACTGTACTCCAGCCTGGGCAACATAGCGAGACCTCATCCCAAAAAATAAAAATAAGTCAAAGGATTTTGGGTCTGAGTCCAGCACAGTGTTGAAATCTGTGCCCGAGGGTCTTCCTCTTCACCAACTGAAATTAATCGGGATATATATATATGTAACAGCATAGGTGGCTCGTGTTAACTCTGTCCCCACCCCCTTTATTTAGTCACTGCCCATGTTGACTCTTTTGTATTAAAGTAAAAATACAGTTTTATTCAAATCCTGACCAGATAGATTTCGTGATGTGAAAAGATGCCAATGAGATGAGTTTGAGAACTGGTCCTTAAGGTCTGTAGTAAAGAGGCCAGGGATCTGACTGGCAGAGAAATATGAGGTCAGACATCTGCATTTAGTATTCATGTGAGGTCAGTGTTGATGGAGATTAGCCTAAAGCTTGAGACAGGAAACCAGGGATATATACAGAGGATGGGCAGGAGGCTCAGCAACTTGTTTGGGCATCATGTGAGCTGGCTAATGGTTGTAAAGGTCAGGTGAGTCAAAGTAAGAACCCAACTGTCCTATTGCAAGTTAGAGCATTTGAGTTCATTCCCTCTATTCCTCTTCACTGGTCCCTCCAGTTTCTACATGGTTGATTTAAAGCAAACATGAAAAAGCTTTCACTCTTTTTTTAAAGACATAATAGTAATAATATGTAGGCATTTAGTATTGTGTTGATGCATTTCATTTGTTTTTAGGGTTCAGGGCTGTAGAGAAAGAATCAGCAGAAAACTATTTCAGGCCAAACCACAAGTGTTTCTTGCAGGGGAACAGATAACCTGAAGTGATCTCTGCAAGTCTTGCTTAAATTTCCAGTAGATGGCATAGTGAAAAGGGTAGAGAAGTAGCATTTTAGTCTTTGTTGGCCATTTCCAATCCTGTGTTTGGCAGCAAAGCATTTGAAGACATAAAAGAGTTGGCCTTGCCTCTCAAGTTTATAGTGTGGGGAGACAAAATGAACACATGGGACATCACACACGCTAAAACTCAATGCCCGTTCCATGGCGGCAGCTCAGATGCAATCCAGGAATGAAACATACACAGTTTGTAAAGAGAACTGTCAGTTTCAGAATGGGAGAAGAGTGCATCCTGGAGGAACGCGTAAGAAGTAGGATGATTCAAATAGCATAGTATGTTGTCCAGGAGTTTTTTTTAACCACCTGCTACTAGGAGTTCCCAAAGTAATAGGAACTTCCTTAGATGGTTGTTAATGAAGGGAAATGAAGTCAGATGTCTCTGGATTTGAATCTTGACTCTTCATAGTTGAGTAACTTTGGACAAGTCCCCTAATCTGTAAAACAGGCATAATGTTTCAAAGGATCGTTATAAGACTATATGAGATCATTTACGCATTTTGCATGCAACAGATATTTGATGATGACAGCCATCAGGCTAGGTGAACAGAACAGAAGGACCCTGTGCCTAGCACGTAATAGGAACTCAGTAGATACCTCCTAAATGTACCAGGTTGTTTCATGCCTTTATAGTATTTTAGTTCTTTTTATTCTTTTTTCTTTTTTTCTTTTTCAGATGGAGTCTCGCTCTGTTGCCCAGGCTGGAGTGCAGTGGTGTGATCTTGGCTCACTGCAACCTCTGCCTCCCGGGTTCAAGTGATTCTCCTGCCTCAGCCTCCCGAGTAGCTGGGATTACAGGTGTGTGCCACCACGCCCAGCTAATTTTTGTATTTTTGGTAGAGATGGGGTTTCACCATGTTGGTCAGGCTGGTCTCGAACTCCTGACCTCATGATCTGCCTGCCTCGTCCTCCCAAAGTGTTGGGATTACAGGTGTGAGCCATGGCAACCGGTCTTTAATTCTTTATTATGCGGTAATTTATTTTTCTTTGCTGAAACATTTCAAAGCAAATAACACATTATGTTCTCTCATTACTACATAATTCAGCATACATTGCTAAAGAAATATGCAGCCTGGCACAGTGGTTCACGCCTGTAATCCCAGCACTTTGGGAGGCCAAGCTTAGTGGATCACCTGAGGTCAGGAGTTTGAGACCAGCCTGACCAACATGGTGAAACAAATATGTATATAAATATATTTATATAGCTGGGCGTGGTGGTGCACACCTGTAATCCCAGCTACTCGGGAGGCTGAGGCAGGAGAATCACTTGAATCCGGAAGGTGGAGGTTGCAGTGAGCCGAGATCACACCACTGCACTCCAGCCTGGGCGACAGAGCAAGAATCCATCTCAAAAAGAAAAAAAGAAAAAAAATTAAAATACTATAAAGGCATGAAACAACCAGGTACATTTAGGAGGTATCTACTGAGCTCCTATTATGTGCTAGGCACAGGGTCCTTCTGTTCTGTTCACCTAGCCTGATGGCTGTCATCATCAAATATTTGTTGCATGCAAAATGCGTAAATGATCTCATATAGTCCTATAACAATCCTTTGAAGCATTATGCCTATTTTACAGATTAGGGGACTTGTCCAAAGTTACTCAACTATGAAGAGTCAAGATTCAAATCCGGGAGACGGAGGTTACAATGAGCCGAGATCGTGCCACTGCACTCTAGCCTGGGCAACAGAGCAAGACTCCATCTTAAAATAAATTGGGAGACCGAGGTGGGTGGATCACGAGGTCAGGAGTTCGAGATGAGCCTGACCAACATGGTGAAACCCCGTCTCTACTAAAAATACAAAAATTAGGCGTGTGCCTGTAATCCCAGCTACTCAGGAGGCTGAGGCAGGAGAATTGTTGGAACCCAGGATGCGGAGGTTACAGTGAGCTGAGATCGTGCCACTGCACTCCAGCCTGGGCAACAGAGTGAGACTCCATCTCAAAAAAAAAAAAAAAAGCTAGATTGGTACATTTCCCTGCCTCAAAAAGAAATGCCTGAGAAATGGATTCTCATGAAGTTCACTTTGATATTAGTCTCCCTTACTAGTGATGGTTTTGCAAAATTAAAGATCTTTAGGAGATGATTGGAGGGCTTCACCAGAGATAGGATCTGATTCTTTACAGCTTGGTCCCTGTAGTGCTATTCAAGTTATTTCTCATCCTTTTCCTGTTTTCAGATCAATTGGCTGTAGGACTTAAAGTTAGAAGGAACTCTAGTGGACACTGCTGATATTTGCCTACTGAACATCTGAAAACTTTGTTCCCCCGTGCTGTTGTATGAGTCTTAGCAGGAGACAGAGCCAGAGTCCCATCACCTGGCCATTGGAATGCAGGCTTGTGAACTAAGTTCAGCTGACTGGATGCTCCCACCCAGGACTCAGAATCCTGAGGGAAGGGATAAAAAAGGCAGGAATGTTTGAGGATATACTCTTGGTGATATGGACAGTCCAGTGGTGTCTAGAAGGCTGTATTTCACGGTAGCAGTGCTGGTGGTGATGTCCTTCCAGACCACTGGGCATGGCTTTGGCTGAGTCTCCACTACCCATTTCCCATGACTCCTGTTTTCTGAGTCTGGTGTTTCAGCTTTCTCATCAATTATGTGAACTGCTAGATAGCCTTCCAGTAAGCTCTTTTTCTGCTTAGCGTGAATTGGTTCCTTTTGTGCATGACTAGAAGGCCTTAAGTGATAAAGGGTTTGGAAGATTTGGCTTGCCCTTGACTTCTGAATTTTCAGCCAAGAATTCCTTCCTGCTGTCCAGATAGCAGAATGAGCAGCTTCCCTAAAGTGAAGGAAAGCCTATTGCTAACATATTCCATCCTAAGCGAAGAAACTTCCTGATTGCTTGGGGGGAGATATTACTTCTAATGTAATAATGGGTACTAATGATTTTCTTCTGAGTCCTTTATAGGTTAAAATCAGATGAAGAGAGCTTATATACCCAAATTAAGCTGCGCCACCCCCCTACTTTCTGGGGTTTTTTGTTTTGTTTTGTTTTCTTTGTTTTTGGGTATTTTTTTTTTTTTTTTGAGACTGAGTCTCACTCTGTCACCCAGGCTGGAGTGCAGTGGCATGATCTCGGCTCACTGCAACCTTTGCCTCCCAGGTTCAAGCGATTCTCATGCCTCAGCCTCCCGAGTACCTGGGATTACAGGCACCTGCCACCATGCCCGGCTTATTTTTTGTATTTTTAGTAGAGATGGGGTTTCATGATGTTGTCCAGGCTGGTCTCAAACTCCTGACCTCAAGTGATCTGCCCACTTTGGCCTCCCAAAGTGCTGGGATTACAGGCGTGAGCCACCGTGCCGGGCCAGGGTTTTTTGTTTGTTTTGAGGCAGGGTACAGCTCTGTCACCCAGGTTGGAGTGCAGTGGTTCACAGCTCACTGCAACCTCCACCTGCTGAGCTAAAGTGATCCTCCCACCTCAGCCTCCCGAGTAGCTGGAACTACAGGCTCACACCATCACACCTGGCTAATTTTTGTGTTTTTTATAGAGATGAGGTTTTGCCATGTTGCCCAGGCTGGTCTCAAATTCTTGAGCCCAAGCGATCCATCCACCTTGGCCTCCCGAAATGCTGGGATTACAGGCATAAGCCACCATGACTGGCCTCATCCACCTACTTTCTTAAAGGCAAATATCCCTCTACCTCACAAAGAGTTAAGAGCTCTCATCTGTGTAGGAAAGCATTGTGCCCTCTCATGTCTCCCAAAATAGATGTCTAATTTCTTTGAATTTTGCCTTAAATGCTCAACTTGAATGCCTCGTTATTGAGACACTGGAGGTGGCAATTAGTGAATGACTAGCCTTCCAGCTGCTCCTTTTGAGTATATTGTGCTGGGTGGATGATCCTGTTACCAGCAAATGTTGGATTGCAAACTCATCTGTCAGGTGGCAATCAAAAACTAGCCTGGAGGCCTGGGCACAATAGCTTACACCTGTAATCCCAGCACTTTGGAATGCCAAGACAGGAGGATCGCTTGATCTCAGGGGTTCAAGACCAGCCTAGGCAACATAGTAAGACCCCTGTATCTACAAAATATAGAAAACAGCCAGGCCTAGTGGCATGCGCCTGTAGTCCCAGCTACTCAGGTGGTGGGGGGATCACTTAAGCCGGGGAGTTCCAGGCTACAGTGAGCTGTGATCATACTATTGCACTCCAGTTTGGGTGACAGAGCAAGACAGTTTCTTTTAAAAAAAAAAACAAAAAAAAACTAGCCTGGGCTGGGCATAGTGGCTCATATCTGTAATCTCAGCAATTTGGGAGGCCAAGGTGAGAGGATCACTTGAGGCCAGGAGTTTGAGACCAGCCTGGTCAACATGGCAAGACCCTGTCTCTACCAAAAAAAGAAGTAAAATAAAAATACTAACCTGCCTCTGACAGGGCCTGCCTGAAGAGATGCCACTGTTTAGGCAGTTGAGCCCTGGACTGGAAACCAGAAGGTCTGGGCTGTCATTCCTGCCCCTAACTTGCAGTGTGCTTTGGGAAAATCCCTGAGTCTCTTTTTCTGTAAACTCCAGGAAGACATAGGGTTCTACTAGACGGTTCAGGAGTGCTTCAAACCCAATAGCTCTGTAGACTCCAGGAAGACATAGGGTTCTACTAGACGGTTCAGGAGTGCTTCAAACCCAATAGCTCTGTAGACTCCAGGAAGACATAGGGTTCCATGAGAGGGTTCAGGAGTGCTTCAAACCCAATAGCTCTGTTTTCATCCATTTTATACAATACGATCCTGCAAAAGATTTATTTTGCAGATAGGGTACTATAGCTAAAAGAAAAAAACCCCAAAACACAAGAGCTTGAAAACATCATCGGACTAGATGGCAACCACATTCCTCTGTATATTTCAAATTCGCATCTATGTTATTAACTGAAGTTTTTATTTTTATTATAATTTTTTTTGAGATGGGTTCTTGCTATGTTGCCCAGGCTAATCTTGAACTCCTGGGCTCAAGCAATCCTTCTGCCTCAGCCTCCCTAAGTGCTGGGATTACAGGTGTGAGCCACTGTGCCCAGCCTAACTGAAGTTTTTATTTTTTATTTTTATTTTTTGAGACACAGTTTCGCTCTGTTGCCCAGGCTGGGGTGCAGTGGTGCGATCTCAGCTCACTGCAAGCTCCGCCTCCTGGGTTCACGCCATTCTCCTGCCTCAGCCTCCCCGAGTAACTGGGACTGCAAGTGCCTGCTACCACGCCTGGCTAATTTTTTTGTATTTTTAGTAGAGACAGGGTTTCACTGTGTTAGCCAGGATGGTCTTGATCTCCTGACCTCGTGATCTGCCCACCTCGGCCTCCCAAAGTGCTGGGATTACAGGTGTGAGCTACCGCGCCCGGCCCTGAAGTTTTTAATGGATGTATGCTTTCAAATTATTTATTGAACAAAGCAGAATGTAAATAATCAATATATAACTAGATAGATATGATGAGCAAACATTGCAGGCTGCCCATGATACCAATAATGAGCCAACGTTGTGATTCTGCACTAACTTACTTGTCTTTCAGAGTAAGCCAATAAATAAATGGTAATGTTCCCCCAACGTAACCTCTTTATATTCTGGTTCTTCAAGGTGATCAGTCCTTTGGAAGCAAAGCACAGAACTGCGTAGTGACCACACATATCAGAATTAGGGAACTTCTGACTCACACCTGTAATCCCAGCACTTTGGGAGGCTGAGGCCAGAGGACTGCTTGAGCCCAGGAGTTCAAGACCAGTCTGCGCAACATGGCAAAACCTCATGGTGGCATGTGCCTGTAGTCCCTGCTACTCTGTGGGCTGAGGTGGGAGGATCGCTTGAGCGCAGGAGGTCGAGGCTGCAGTAAACCATGTTCATACCACTGCATTCCAGCCTGGGCAACAAAGTGAGACCCTGTCTCAGAAAACAAAACAAAACAGAATTAGAGGACTTCTAAGCTCTATATTAAGCAGAGAGGCACACTGGCTGGGCAGTTCTTACTCGTTTTGCATACATAATCTGAACAGTATGGAAGCAAGAGTGCTTTTTTCTGTAGTCCAGGTTTTAAGATGTTTTCATAAGCAGATCTCATTGATCAGGATCCTAGAGCCTGCCCTCTGGGCTCCCAGTCGGAGTGCCACTGTTAGCTTGTAGCCTGTAAACTCTGGGGACATTTTTCACAATAGCTGCAATGTGAATGCCACCGTCCTCAAGGCAGGGGGTCTAGAGTAGCAGGTTAGCAGGTTCTTTTTTTTTTTTTTTTTTTTGAGATAGGGTTGCATTCTGTCACCCAGGATGGAGTGCAGTGGCACGATCTCAGCTCACTGCAGCCTCGACCTCTCAGGCTCAAGTGATCCTCCTGCCTCAGCCTCCTGAGTAGCTGTGACCACAGGCATCCACCACCACGCCCAGATTTTTGTAGATAAAAAATCTACAAAAATTTTTTTATTTTTTGTAGAGACAGGGTCTCACTATGTCTGGTCTTGAACTCCTGGGGTTAAGTGACCCTCCTGCCTCGGCCTCTCAAAGTACTGGGATTATAGTCATGAGCCACTGTGTCCAGCCCAGATTCTTTTTTTTTCTTTCTTTTTTTTTTTGAGACGGAGTCTTGGTCTGTCTGTTGTCCAGGCTGGAGTGCAGTGGTGCAATCTTGGTTCACTGCAACTTTTGCCTCCCGGGTTCAAGCGATTCTCCTGCCTCAGCCTCCCGAGCAGCTGGGGTTACAGGCACATGACACCACATCCAGTTAATTTTTTTTTTTTTTTTTGAGAAGGGGTTTTGCTCTTGTTGCCCAGGCTGGAGTACAATGGCGCCATCTCAGCTCACTGCAACCTCTGCTTCCCGGGTTCATGTGATTCTCCTGCCTCAGCCTCCTGAGTAGCTGAGATTATAGGCATGTGGCATCACGCCCTGCTCATTTTGTATTTTTAGTAGAGACAGGGTTTCTCCATGTTAGGCTGGTCTCGAACTCCCAACCTCAGGTGATCTGCCTGCCTCGGCCTCCCAAAGTGTTGAGATTACAGGCGTGAGCCACTGTGCCCAGCCAATTTTTGTATTTTTAGTACAGACAGTTTCACCTTGTTAGCCAGGTTGGTCTTGAACTTCTGACCTCAAGTGATACACCCACCTTGGCCTCCCAGAGTACTGGGATTATAGGTGTGAGCCACCGTGCCCGGCCCTGGCCCTGGACCTGGCCCCGTTTCTTAACAACCTGATAACCTCCTCTTTTTCCTAAGCGAGGTGGGTAAATGATCCATTCTTGTATAAGGATGGGTTTACCTGTCATCAGGCAGGACTCGCCAAGCCTAAATTTGTTTCTTGACTTAATAAACTTATTGAGCATTAACTATGGGCGGGGCACAACTCCACTGGGTTCCAACCAACATCTCTCTGGAAAATTACTGAGCAGTTTCAAAGATATAAAAGCCACTTACCCCAAGATCCTGACACTTTCCGTTTAGGGCCTTGATTACCCAGGGCTTTGCTGCTTTTCTTTCAGTCTCTCGCCGTGTGATCTCTTGGTCATCTTATGACTCACAAGAGGCTCCCTGCCAATGGGCAGGACCAGGGAGAGGAGAGAAGGAAAGCAGGCCAGGCACACAGCTACTTATTAGTAGCCTTGGCAAAGTGAGTGAGGAGGTTAAATTGCTGGGCTAGGTTGAAAATTGGGAATTACTTGTGGATTTTATTGTTTTCCCTCTAGCAAGGATAAACTGAAATTTGCCAAAAAGCAAAGAACAAATCATTCAAAACTGTTAACGAGTTACTATATTTTCCTGGGACAGATTCATAAAATAAGGTTCTTTAAATGGAGTCAGTCCAATACCAAGCTTTCTCTTGACAGTATGTCTGGCCCAGGACAAGGAGGACTTTACCCCAGGCTAAGAACAGAAGCAAAGAACATGGGGAGAGAGGAGCAGCATACATTTGGGTCCAAACCTACTGTGACTTGGTCTCAAGTCTTCATGGAGAAAACTGGATCAGGTGAAGAAGAAGAATTAAATCAGGCCAGGCACAGTGGCTCATGCCTGTGATCCCAGCACTTTAGGAGGCCAAGGCGGGAGGATTGCTTGAGCCCAGGAGTTTGAGAACAACCTGGGCAACAAGGCAAGACCCTATCTCTATAAAAAAATTAAAAAATTGGCTGGGTGCAGTGGCTCACGCCTGTAATCCCAGCACTTTGGGAGGCTGAGGTGGGTGGATCACCTGAGGTCGGGAGTTTGAGACCAACTTGGCCAACATGGTGAAACCCCATCTCTACTAAAAAAAAATATATATATATATACACACACAAAAATTAGCTGGATGTGGTGGTGCGCCTGTAATCCCAGCTACTCAGGAGGCTGAGGCAGGAGAATGGGGTGAACCTGGGAGGCAGAGGCTGCAGTGAGCTGAGATCACGCCACTGCACTCCAGCCTGGGCAACAGGGCGAGACTCCATCTCAAAAAAAAAAAAATTAGCTGGGCCTGGTAGCACGTGCCTGTGGTTACAGCTACTCAGGAGGCTGAGGTGGGAGGATCACTGAGCTCGGGAGGTCGAGGCTGCAGTGAGCCATGTTCACACCACTGCACTCCAGCCTGGGTGACAGAGCTAGACCCTGTCTCAAAAACAAAAAAGAATAATGATTAAATCACAAGAGATTTACTATCAGAACTCAGAAGTAGCCAGGAATAGAAAAAGATGTAATTTTACAGTCTCCCTGCTCTCTGCTGGTTACCTGACTCCATCACCCTATGTAAGAATGGCTTTGAAGGACCAAATATTTGCATAATTGACAGCTTGATTTTGGACTCTGGCCTCCAGAACTGTGACAAAATAAATGGGATCTTTAAAAGACTAAGACTACTAAAAAATGGTGCAGACCTGCAATCTACAAATCAGAATGTTCAGATGCCAGTGAGTAGAACGTTCAGATGCCAGTGAAGGATGCTTAGGTTTTTCATAGCTGGATACATAGAGCAAGGATATTCCAGGCAAGAGGAATTTCAGGAGAAAAGGCAGAAGGGCAGAAGGGGAGGTAACCTTAGGCTGTGTTCCATAAGCATTGTAATATTTTCTTAGCGCTGCTGTGATAAGTTGTCACAAACTGGATAGCTTAAAATAAGATAAATGGCCAGGTGCGGTGGCTCCACCTGTAATCCTAGCACTTTGGGAGGCCGCAGTGGGGTAGATTGCTTAAGCTCAGGAGCTTGAGACTAGCCTGGGCAACATGGGAAACCTTGTCTCTACCAAAACTAAAAAAACTACCCAGGCGTGGTGGCTGGCATGTGCCTGTAGTCCCTGCTACTCAGGAGGCTGAGGTGGGGGTATTGCTGGAGCCCAGGAAATCGAGGCTGCAGTGAGCCGAGATGGCGCCACTGCACTCCAGCCTGGGTGACAGAGCGAGAGAACCTGTCTCAAAAAAACAAAACAAACAAACCAAAAAATAAAAAATAAAAATAAATAAAATAAAAACCAAGAGAAATTTATTCTCTCCGTTCTAGAGGCCAGAAGTCCAAAATCAGGGTGTCTGCAGGGCCATGCTCCCTCTGAAGGCCCAGGGGAAGAGTCTTTTCCTTGCCTCTTCCTGGCTTCTGGTGTCGTGGCGCTCTTTGGTGTTCAGTTTGTAGGTGTATAACTCTAATCTCTGCATCCATCATCTCACGGTGCTCTCTCTGTGTGTCTCTGTGTCACTTCTCTTCTTACAGGGACATCAGTCATTGGATTTAGGGCCCAGCCTAATCCAGTATGACCTCATCTTAACTTGATTACATCTGCAAAGACCCTGTTTCCAAATAAGATCACATTCATAATACCAGGGGTTAGGACTTGAACTTATTTTCTTGGGCAGGGGAGACACAATTCTGCCGCTATAAGCATTAAATTGTCTAATTTATTTAGATGAGGGAAATTGTGAGGTATCTGGCTGTATGTCAGATAATGATATTTGTTTCATAAATAACTGTTAACTGCCTTAGGCAGAACACTTATTTGATATGGAAGGTAGTAGGGTCCTCACCTTTACGAACTTGTGCTTTGGTAGAAAATACCAAAATACCATCAAGAAGCAACAATGCAAGATAAAATGAAGGACGGGCTATAAAAGAACCAAGAAAAAGCCCATGGATAGGAGACATTTAGCTGGTGTTATGGAAGACAGGTAGAGGTACTGGTGGAGAGGAAGCAGAGGTAAGAAAGTCACTTCAGGTATTATGGGAATGATAGGGACTAGTTCAAAGGAGAGAGAGTGAGGGATTGAGCTGGACAGTTTCCTTTAACACCACTAAGTATATTAACTATTGCTTCTGCAGAGTTTTTGTTTTTTTTTTTTTAAGTGTAGTAGCAGTGTCTCAGCTCACTGCGACCTCTGCCTTCCAGGTTCAAGTGATTCTCCTGCCTCAGCCTCCCAAGTAGCTTGGATTACAGGCACATGCTGCCACGCCTGGCTGATTTTTGTATTTTTAGTAGAGACGGGGTTTCACCATGTTGCCCAGGATGGTCTTGAACTCCTGACCTCAGGTGATCCACCTGCCTCAGCCTCCCAAAGTGCTAGGATTACAGGCGTGAGCCACCGTGCCCAGCCGAGAATGAAATATTTAAAATAGCTTTATTTGACCTAAAGAGTATAACAGTAATGTGACTAAATGCAATGTAGTATCCTGGGTTAGATCCTAGAACAGAAAAAGGACATTAGTGACAAAATTGCAGTCCAATTAGTGGCTTCCAGGGACTGGGAGGAGGGGGAAAGGTGGTTTAATGGGTATGGGGTTTCCTTTTGGGGTGATTAAAATGTTCTGGAATCAGATGGTGGTGATGATTGCACAGCACTGTAAATGTATTGAATGTTGATGGTAAATTTTGTGTTATGTGTATTTTATCATAATTTTAAATTTAATTTAATTATCTATTTTGAGACAGGGTTTCACTCTGTTGCCCAGGCTGGAGTGCAGTGGCACAAACATGGCTCACTGCAGCCTTGACTTCCTGGGCTCAAGTGATCTTCCTGCCTCAGCCTCAGCCTCTTGAGTAGCTGGGACCACAGGCATGTGCCACCATGCCTGGCTAATTTTTTTTATTTGTTGCCCAGGCTGATCTTGAACTCCTGGGCTCAAGCAATCCCTCCTTAGCCTGCCAATGTGCTGGGATTATAGGAGTAAGCCACTGTGCCTGGCCCCAAAATTTCTTAAAGACCGTAAGGCACATTAAAAAATAAAAAAATCCGGCCAGTGTGGTGGCTCACACCTGTAATCCCAACACTTGGGAGGCAGAGGCAGGCAGATCATCTGAAGTCAGGAGTTTGAGACCAGTCTAGCCAATATGGTGAAACCCCATCTCTACTGAAAATACAAAAATTAGCCGGCCATGGTGGCACAAGCCTGCAGTCCCAGCTATTTGGGAGGCTGAGGCAGGAGAATCACTTGAACCCGGGAGAAGGAGGTTGCAGTGAGCCAAGATCGCACCACTGCACTACAGCCTGGGTGACAGAGCAAGACTCCGTCTCAAAAAAAAAAAAAAAATCCAAATGTCTGCAGTTTAGTTACTAGTATTGTACCAGTATTATTTTTTTAGTTTAACAAACATACCATGATCATCATGGTCAACATTTAGGAAGCTGGGTGAAACAGGAACTCCATACTATCTTTGCAACTTTTCGGTAAATCTGAAATTTTTCTAAAATGAAAATTTATTTTAAAAAGTTAATGTGGGCCAGGCGTGATAGCTCACACCTATAATCCCTGCACTTTGGGAGGCTGAGGTGGGCAGATCATCTGAGGCCAGGAATTCAAGACCAGCCTGGGCAACATGGTGGAACCCCATCTCCACTGTTATACAAATATAAAAATTAGTTGGGCATGGTGGTGCACGCCTGTAGTCCCAGCTACTCGGGAGGCTGAGGCACAAGCAATCGCTTGAACCCAGAAGACAGGGGTTGTAGTCAGCCGAGATTGTGCTACTGCATTCCACCCTGGGTGGCAGACCGAGACCCCATCTCAAAAAAAACACAAACCCAAAAAGTTAACGTGAAAAAAATCCATGATCCTTATTTTTCCTGATGCATTTGGGTGTTTGTGTGTTTATATATATCTATCTTTTAGAGTATAATTTCTTTGAGGCCAAAGGTATAATGTGTATCTCTTTGGTATAATTCTTAAAATATTAGTAAAATTTTCAGAATTTAAACATTGAACAATCAAGTTCGGTTTTTCTGAAGAGCCCTAAGTAGAACAGCTTTTCAATTAAGGTCTCTGGCTGCTGTGGAACTGGAGGGTAATTGGTGAGAGTCTCCTCTCTGGGGCCTGTCAACCCAAGAGTAATGACTTCTGGCCACTTCAGACCTGAGGTAATTTCAAACCAGCACAAGTTTCCATTTGTTCTCTTTATCTAGTCTGCTCTCTAAGTTCAGTTATTCATGTGGTTCAATTACCCCGAGATCTCAAGGGAGAGAGGCAGGGATTTAAGAAGGAAAAGAACAGACACAGCTCCATATTTTATGTGGCATACAATATGTAGGATGTATGATACTTCTGCACACAATGGTGGTTCATATCAGTGGGATGTGGTGGCTCACACCTGTAATCCTAGCACCTTAGGAGGCCGAGGTGGGTGGATCGCTTGAGCCCAGGAATTCGAGACCAACCTGGGCAACATGGTGAAACCCTGTCTCTAAAAAAAAAAAAGAAAGAAAGGAGACTTTATAACAATTAAAAAAAATTCCCCCCAAAATCATCTGTTCATCAGTGAGGATCTGCAGATGTCTCTGCTTTGTCCCATGCATATTTGTCATTTTTCTAAAAGGTTGATTTTGCCCGGGCACGGTGGCTTATGCCTGTAATCCCAGCACTTTGGGAGGCCGAGGTGGGCGGATCATGAGGTCAAGAGATTGAAACCATCCTGGACAATATGGTGAAACCCCGTCTCTACTAAAAATACAAAAATTAGCTGGGCGTGGTGGCGCATGCCTGTAGTCCCAGCTACTCGGGAGGCTGAGGCAGGAGAATCACTTGAACCCGGGAGGCGGAGGTTGCAGTGAGCTGAGATCGCGCCACTGCACTCCAGCCTGGCGACAGAGCAAGACTCCGTCTCAAAAAAAAAAAAAAAAAAAAGGTTGATTTTTTCTAAAATGGGTTAAAATTTCTTAACCAAAACCTTAGAAATTAGAGTTCTTGGCACATGACTTTGTATAAAGTCCTATTTTTCATTAAGTGGCATCTGTTGTCTTATTTGTGGGTTGACTCATACTTAAAGCGACTGCTTTCCACAGATTTGTTCATCAGCAAAAAAGCATACAAATGCAGGAATAATTACCATTTTAGAAACAGTGAGGATGGCTCTATCCATCTATAAAAACTGGTGGGGTTGGTGTAAGACAAAATTGGCTAATAAGAGAAATAGAGCTAGAGAAATAGATAGAAGGAAACAAAACACCCAGCCAGAACCAGTTAGTTCTCTGGTCATTTAGACAAGGTTTTACTGGTACTTGTGTGGGTTTGGTAGTTAACTGCAGAACCATATGTGGCTCATGTGTTTAATAACTGCAAATGTTTACTCTTAAATTCACTTGCGGTATCTAAATTATGAATAATTAATTCCACAGCATGGGATTGGGGAACCTCAGGAAATATTTTTAATTATCTTTATTAAATCCTAAATTAAAAGCATCACTTCAGGTGTTAAGAACCCAGGATCCCATCAACTTGTTTACGTATTTTTTTGAACAGATGATAGTGGCTGTGTAACAAATTACCCCTAATTTAGGAGCTTTAGAACCACGAACACTTATCTCCCAGCTTCTGAGGCTGAGGAATCTGGGAGTAGCTTAGTTATAGTCAGATGGTAGGTCAGGGGCTGCAGTGATCTTAAAGCTTGCCTGGGGCTGAATTCCTTCCAAGCTCACTCACATAGTCTTTGGCAGCTCCTTGGTGTTTGTTGGCTGCTGACCTGTTCTATTGGACCTCTCCATAGTTTTCCTGAGTGTTCTCATGACATGAAAGCTGGCTTCCCCCAGAGTGTGTGATTCAAGAGGAAACAAGCAAGCAAGAGAGCACCTGAGATGGAGGACAGAGTTTCTTGTGTCCTAACCTCAGAAGTGACATCACTTCGGCTGCATGCTAGTGGTCACAGACCAACTATGGCCCAGTGTAGAAGAGGAAGCAGGCATCATTGGGGGCCATCTTGGAGGCTGGGCTACCACTGTGGCTGTCAAATCTTTGAGGTATTTATACTCTATTGGAAAACTTTAAAATAATGACCTAACAGCTTTAATTTTAAATGTCAGTATTTATGCTGAAAGTTTCATAATTTGCTACTACTACGCTAATGATGAAAAACTTTAAAGATACACCTAGGGGGTATATAGTTGTTTTTTTTTTTGAGATGGAGTCTCCCTCTGTCGCCCAGGCTGGAGTGCAGTGGCGCTATCTCGGCTCATTGCAACCCCCACCTCCAGGGTTCAAGTGATTCTCCTGCCTCAGCCTCCCAAGTAGCTTGGACTACAGGCACGTGCCACTGCGCTGGCTAATTTTTTGTATTTTTAGTAGAGACGGGGTTTCACCGTGTTAGCCAGGATGGTCTTGATCTCCTGACCTCGTGATCCGCCTGCCTCGGCCTCCCAAAGTGCTGGGATTACAGGTGTGAGCCACCACGTCTGGCCAGGGGGTATATAGTTTTAAAAAATTATTTTGGTGCTGAGTGCAGTGGCTCATACCTGTAATCCCAGCACTCTGGGAGGCCAGGAGTTTGAGATCAGCCTGAGGAACATAGCGAGACTCCACTTCTATAAAAAAAATGTAAAGATTAGCCAGGTGTGGTGGTGCATGCCTGTGGTCCCAGCTACTGAGGAGGGTGAGGCTGGAGGATTGCTTGAGCCCAGGAGGTCGAGACTGCAGTGAGCTGTGATTGTGTCACGGTACTCCATCCTTGGCTGCAGAGCCAGACCGTCTCAAAAGATAAAAGAGCCGGGCGCGGTGGCTCATGCCTGTAATCCCAGCACTTTGGAGGCCAAGGCGGGCAGATCACGAGGTCAGGAGATCCAGACCAGTCTGGCCAACATGGTGAAACCCTGTCTCTACTGAAAATACAAAAATTAGCTGGGCATGGTGGCGCACAACTGTAGTCCCACCTACTTGGGAGGCTGAGGCAGGAGAATCCCTTGAACCTGGGAGGCAGAAGCTGCAGTGAGCCAAGATCATGCCACTGCACTCCAGCCTGGCAACAGAGCAAGACTCCGTCTCAAAAAAAAAAAAAAAAAAAAAAAAAGATAAACTAATTAATCTATCCAGTGCCCCTCTTACCATATTCCTTTGGCTCTTTATCTCCCCCACGTGGTGCTCTTTTATCTTAAAAGTATGCACAATTGATAAATGAAAGATGAACTGCAAATTGGAATAATTTGGGTCCTGATTTGTGAATTGAAAAGATTACTTGAAATTTGGAATGTCCCTGGAAATCTAGGACTTCTGGTTATTCAGGCCAGGCGCGGTGGCTCACGCTTATAATCCTGGCACTTTGGGAGGCCGAGGCGGGTGGATCACCTAAGGTCAGGAGTTTGAGACCAGCCTGGCCAACGTGGTGAAATGCCATCTCTACTAAAAATACAAAAATTAGCTGGGCGTGGTGGCGGGCGCCTGTAATCCCAGTTACTTGGGAGGCTGAGACAGGAGAATCGCTTAAACCTAGGAGGTGTTCAGTCGGTTGTAGTGGGCCAAGATCACGCCATTGCACTCCAGCCTGGGCAATAAGAGCGAAACTCTTTCCCCCACCACCCCCCCCCAAAAAAAAGAAAAGAAAATGGATCGGGATTTTTTTTTTAAACGGCATTTACTAAACAGCTAAGTACCTTCTATGAGCAAGGCACTGTACAAGAGCTGTTGGGGATACCAAAATAATACAATCTACGATCTACTAAAGTTACAAGCCGGACATTATGGTGACTGGATGTTCAGAAAAGAAACCAGATGACATTATTATGGTACACCAAAAAAGCCCCCCAAAAACCGTACTCAACTGTCACATTCTTATGGAATACAATTTTTACAGATTGTATACAATTTGCATGTGAAATTCTGCTTACTTTTTGACTAGGTATGCCACTAATGGGTATGTTTAATAAAGATATTTTATACTTCAGATGTACAGACCAGGTCCGGTTAATTTTAGCCAACAATGTATTGTTGAAAAAGACGCTGATATTTTACTGCGGCAAACCACCATTAACATAAATTTTAACCACAGTTTGAGTATTTTATTAGGAATAAGCCTTGAAACTTGAATAGGACTAGTATTCCTAACAATTTACCGTTTCATAATAAAGGCTGTCTCACTCTTAAGTGGAAAACGTATTATGTCCTACTTTTATAAACTTTGGTTGAACTAAATAAAACAGCAACATGTACCCAACGTTTTTAGACTGTTTTATTCAGTACCATAAACATTCACTAAACTATACAGAGCTAAAATCATGCAAAAGATTGCAAAACAAACTGCCTTGGGAAATTTCCAGTCTAAGCTAAATGGACCAAGTATAGGATTGAATTTTAAGAAGTTGGTGGGAAGATTCCAGCTCTTGTACTCACAGGTAAGGTCCTAGGATTCTATTTGTTGAAGTGTCTGCAGACCCTCTCCCTACAGCAGGGGCGTGGAGCAAATGTGCATTCAGGAAGTGCTTATTAGTCCCCCCAAAACCTTTTTCGTGACGACAGACGGATGGAGGCCTCAGACGACTCCGGCAGTAGGACCCTGAACCAAATGCCTGAGCTGCGCTCGAAAGGCTCGTCTCGCAGGAGCTGGCGAGTGGCACGGGCTTCGGTGGCCGGGCTCGGGGCTCGGGGCTCGGGGCCCGGGGCCGGGGGGGGCGGGGGGTCCGTGCCCAGGGCACTCTGTGGCTCGATTCATGTCCCCGCCCTCCCACCTGAGCACACTGGGCAGAGAGCCTGCGGCATCGGGCCAGTCGCGCCTCCTCGTCCGCCCTGGGCAGGTCGCTGGGCCCCAGGCCGCTTTCTACAGCTCCTTTAATAAAATGGACAGCAGGGGTCCTAACCAGACGTGGGCATCAAGACAAAGGAGGCGGCCAGACGCGCTTGAGGGCCTGCTCGCTAGCTCCCGCCCCCCCATTCCGCGGTCACCCGGGGACAGAGGCCAGGCCGGACTGGGTGGAGTTGGGACTCATACGTCTGCGTCCAGGAAGGCGCCGGGCGAGCCCCAGCTAGACGTGACGGGCGGGGCCGAACACGGCAGCGGACCAGAGGCCCGCGGCGCACCGGCGTGGGGCGGGGCAAGCGGAGCCTCCCGGGATGCCGCGCGGCAGCCGGCTTCCGGCTGTGGGTGGTGCGGGGGACAGCGGCGGCCGGAAGCTGGCTGAGCCGGCCTTTGGTAACGCCACCTGCACTTCTGGGGGCGTCGAGCCTGGCGGTAGAATCTTCCCAGTAGGCGGCGCGGGAGGGAAAAGAGGATTGAGGGGCTAGGCCGGGCGGATCCCGTCCTCCCCCGATGTGAGCAGTTTTCCGAAACCCCGTCAGGCGAAGGCTGCCCAGAGAGGTGGAGTCGGTAGCGGGGCCGGGAACATGAGGCAGTCTCTCCTATTCCTGACCAGCGTGGTTCCTTTCGTGCTGGCGCCGCGACCTCCGGATGACCCGGGCTTCGGCCCCCACCAGAGACTCGGTAAAGACCCAGGGGAGTTGGCTTAGGCCGGCGCCTGGAGCGCTCGTTTGAGGGAAGAGCAGGGGAGCTGGGTCTATCAGGTGTTTGGGGGCGGGGTATTGGCGATGGTGGCGCGTCCCTAAGTTTTCAGTGTAGAAGGGGGTGTGGCTCTCGGAGTTTGGGGAAAGAATAAAGGAGATGGGCCTGTCTCTGAGTGGGAAAGGGCTACTGGACGGGCTCCATGTAGTGACTGAGCGCCTGAGAGGGGTTTGCTCCCTAGCTTTGTGTTCGGGGAGGGTGTTGGGAAAGCGGTAAGGAGTAGGGTGGCTGGATCTTGTTTGGAGAGGGAGATGTGGTCAGGGTTCTTGCCTTAGTAGGGAACAAATCTAGTGTTGTGTGTTCCTACCAGAGCCAGAAAGGAAGGGCCCAAAGCTCCAGAATTCTTCCTGGTCCTCGAAGGAGGGAACTAGAATTTCTGCTGTAGGAGGTACTTATGCAGTAATCTCGTTGGGAGGCGGAGACTGGAGTTGGAGTCTTAAGAGTTGTGTTTTTGCGAACATCCTAAGCACGTTCTTGGTTATTTCAATTGTAGCTTATTGGAGGTGCTTGGGAGATGGGGGGAGGCGGAAACCTGGTAAGCCAACTCGTGATGCTGCCACTATGAATGCTTTCCTTGCACTTTTAAACAAAGAAATTATCAAGAGTGACGAGTTTGATGAATTTAGAGGCTAGAAAGTAGAGGGTTCCTATTTCATTAGATTTTCCAGAGAGATTGGATTTTAAGGATGGAGATGCATTAAGGGATCTGAACTTTGGTGGAAGTAAGTTTGCGTGAACTTTTAGTGTATTTTAAAATCCTTTTATCTTTCAAAAATTGACGTGTAAGATACTTTAATTAGTAATAAAGTGTGAAATAATGTTTTCCCAGTGTGTGAAATTGTAGGCTTGCATGGTTGTACTGGTTCCCAAATTTCACCATGATACCATGTGTAGTATTTTTTTTCTTTATATTTAGTGGACAGAAATTGTAATGGATTGGTATGGATACTAAAGGTGTTGAGAGTGTTATCACTTGAACAGCTGTCTTATGATTCTTTCCGATTGAAATGGATTACAAGTGACTAATGAAAGGCAAGGGATCTTGTTAGGAAGTGCTGAGAAGTGGTAAGTCAGTACAAATTGAAGGACATTTTGAGGTAGGATTGTGGTTAGGATGGAGGGATAGGGTAAGGGTCTTCATTTTAAGGATAAATGTTAGTAAAAAGAATAAATATGTATTTTGAGATATTAAAATTATATTTGCACCACCCTGACACAACTGTTTCACTTATGTTATTAATCTGTTGTTCGTAGGTAAAAATAAGCATGAGTCCCAAGGAAGCATACAGTTTAAAGAGAAACATTACTTTCTAGATCAATTCATAACATTTGCAGATCGTAAGGTTTTTTAGACCATTTTTTTTTTCCAAGACAGAGTCTTGCTCTGTTGCCCAGGCTGGAGTGCAGTGGCGCGATCTCAGCTCACTGCAACCTCCGCCTCCCGGGGTTCAAGCAGTTCACCTGCCTTAGCCTCCTGAGTAGCTGGGATTACAGGCATGTGCCACCACGCCCAGCTAATTTTTGTATTCCTAGTAGAGACGGGGTTTCACCATGTTGGCCAGGCTGGTCTAGAACTCTTGACCTCGTGATCCGCCCACCTGGGCCTCCCTAAGTGCTGGGATTACAGGCATGAACCACCGCTCCTGGCCCATGTGTTTGTTTTTTATTTGCAAAATGCAGACCACCTGTGCCAGAAGAATGCATAGACTTTTCTTTTTTCTTTTCTTTTCTTTTTCTTTCTTTTTTTTTTTTTTTGAGGCAGTGTTTTGCTCTTGTTGCCCAGGCTGGAGTGCAATGGCGTCATCTCAGCTCACCACAACCTCCGCCTCCCGGGTTCAAGCAATTCTCCTGCCTCAGCCTCCCAAGTAGCTGGGATTACAGGCATGTGCCACCACGTCCGGCTAATTTTTTGTATTTTTAGTAGAGATGGGGTTTCTCCATGTTATTCAGGCTGGTCTCGAACTCCTGACCTCAGGTGATCAGCACACCTCGGCCTCCCAAAGTGCTGGGATTAAAGGCTTGAGCCACCAGGCCCGGCCTCTTTTTTTTTTTTTAAACGAAATATTTGAAGGACACACAAGTATTATACGTGGCATTGGAAATACAAAGATCAGACGATATCCATCTTCAAATGGTTATAGCATAGGGAAATAGACATTCATTTAGGACACTTCTAAAACAGCATAGAGGAGAGTGCTAGAGTACGTTATAGCAAGTGTTATCACCAAATGAATCTTAGAGATCAAGTCTAGTTTTCAAATAAAGGAGGAGGAAAATGAGTCTCAGGAAGATGCTGTCAGTTGTCAATGATGAACATAGGCCTTGTGGGTATTTTTCTTTTGAAGAATGACTTTTTTTTTCAGTTTGTTTGACAGCTTACAATATAATTTGTTACTTAACCTTACCATTAGATTGAGTTGGTCAAGACTAGCAAATAGTTTCATAGTTGAAAAACATGCTTTATTATTTATTTTTTATGTTTATTGTCCTACAAATACTACTATATTGCAGTACTCAATATCGATTAGGCATATGACAACATTTTTCTGAAAGGCAAAAAATACCTAATAAAATGAAGCCTGGTTTTTAGAGTCCTCTATGGGTCACCAAAAATGATTTCAATTGAACTGTTATGAATTGCATAATTTAGGAAAGTTATGAGTCATATGAGCTTAGTCATGATGATATCTTGTTGAAGTTGCAGCTGGGGTGTATAAGTCTCACTTTGATTTCAAAATCGTTTTCCCTTTGTGTTACTTTTAATAAAAGAGGATGTAGTGGGTGGGAGGAAAAAATATAGGTCACAGATGAGGGATGAGAAAGTTTGTATCTGAAACATGTATTTTCAAATTTACCTTGAGGTTATTGGCATGGGGATTCTCCATATTGCAGTGCTGATTTCATTATTGACAGCACCATTTTACTCAGTATTTTGACATCTGGCTTTCTCTTTTGATGTTAATTTTGCTTACTGGCTGCATTCCTTTGAAACCTAAATGCTTAACTGCCCTAACTGCTCCAAGGGAGATTTAATGTAACTCTGCTTTATATTAGTCTAAGAGATAAACCATATTTCAAGAGTAGAATGGAGAGGAATTAAGCAGATAATTGTGATGGGGAAACTGGAGAGATCCTTTTGACTTTCACAGGATTTCCTAGAACATTAAATATAGGTTTCCTCCAAGGCCAATTGTGGTTGATTTTTGGATCCTTCACCATTTTCTATTTGTGAGATAATAAGTGTATACAGCTGGAAGTGTAATGTGAAGAAAGTCTGAAAAAGATTGATAGGAAAGGAGGACAGGAATGGGCTTCATTGAGGTAACGGAAGTGAAATGAAAGGCTTTTCATATATGGGTTGAGCATCCCTAATCTGAAATGCTCCAAAATTTGAAACTTTTTGAATGCTGGCATGACAGCACACATTACCCCTAACACACGATTTTTTCACTGTTAGTGGTATATTTTTTACTGTGTAGTACTTATGTGTGAATAGGTATAACAAAACGATTACTTATTGTAGCATGTAAAATCAGTCAGGAATGATGGTGATGCCAGACAACCACAGATTATTTATGTGGGTGGCCGAGACAGTGACACCTTTGCTTTCGAATGCTTCGTTGTACACAAACTTTTTTTCATGCAAAAAAAGTTACTTAAAAATATTGTTTAGGCCAGGCGCGGTGGCTCATGCCTGTAATCCCAGCACTTTGGGAGGCCGAGCTGGGTGGATCACGAGGTCAGGAGATCGAGACCATCCTGGCTAACATGGTGAAACCCTGTCTGTACTAAAAATACAAAAAATTAGCCAGGTGTGGTAGCAGGCGCCTGTAGTCCCAGCTACTCGGGAGGCTGAGGCAGGAGAATGGTGTGAACCTGGGAGGTGGAGCTTGCAGTGAGCCGAGATCGCGCCACTGCACTCCAGCCTGGGCGACAGAGCAAGACTCCATCTCAAAGTAAGTGAATAAATGAAACATAAATGAATTTTATATTTAGACTTGGGTCCCATCCCCAAGATACCTCATTATGTATATGCAAATATTTCAAAATTTAAAAAATTCTGATGAATGAAACACTTCTGGTCTCAAGCATTTTGGATAAGGGATGCTCAATCTGTATCTCTTTATTTACTCCTAAAATCAGCCAAGGAAATGGGCATCTCTCCGTTCCCCCCCTTCCTTTTTTTTTTTTCTTTGTTGTTACATGAGTTGTACTGGTTTCACTTCATTTGACAGTGTTCTGCTAATGACTAGACGTGTATCTCTGACCTGGACTTGTTCTCTGGAGTTCATATTCAGCTGCCCATTTGGCACTTCAAATATAACATGTCCAAAATTAGTTACCTTTTTTTTTTTTTTGAGACAGAGTCTCACTGTCACCCAGGCTGGAGCGCAGTGGCGCAATCTTGGCTTACTGCAACCTCCACTTCCCAGGTTCAAGTGATTCTCGTGCCTCAGCCTCACGAATAGCTGGGATTACAGGTGTCCCCCACCACGCCTGGCTAATTTTTTTTTTTTTTTTTTTTTTGTATTTTTAGTAGAGATGGGGTTTCATCATATTGGACAGGCCTGTGTTGAACTCCTGACCTCTGGTGATCCACCTGCCTCAGCCTCCCAAAGTGCTGGGATTACAGACGTGAACCACTGCCCCAGCCAGTTACCTATTCTTTTGATTACAAGAATGAGTAGCTGGACACAGTGGCTTACACCTATAGTCCCAGCACTTTGGGAGGCTGAGGCCGGCGGATGACTTGAGGCCAGGAGTTCAAGACCAGCTTGACCAACATGGTGAAACCTGTCTCTACTAAAAATACAAAAATTAGCCAGGCGTGGTGGTGCGTGCCTGTAATCCCAGCTACTGGGGAGACTGAGGCAGGAGAATTGCTTGAACCCGGGAGGCAGAGGTTGCAGTGTGCCAAGGTTGAGCCACTGCAGTGCAGCCTGGGCAGCAGAGTGAGACTCCATCTCAAAAAAAAAAAAAAAAAAAAAAAAGAATGAGTATCGGATACAGGTTTAGCCTAGGACTAGGCAGGGCTGCTGGTAATTGTGGAAGTAGTCTCATTGCCTAACCTGAAACTTGCATCCTGGTTACTGGTCTTGCTGGAGAGTCTTGGCTCAGGTTACGTCCCAGGTCTGTTGAGGAGCTCTTGATAGGGAATTAGTTGAAGCAGCTCATACTCTATCCTCCTTTACTGGTATAAATCCATAAAATTGTTTAGTTCCCAGGCTCTGGGGTCCCTGGCCTAGCAGAGAGCACTGCTCCCTTTTTCTCATTCCTTAGTCCCAACAACCCGCACCTGACACTTACTACACGTGGCCTGCTTCCCTGTCCTGTGTGTTTTGGGGGGTGCTGAAGAGGAAGGCTCCTGTGTCTTCAGCACAAACACAATAAACACTTCACAGCAGTACTGGCTTTATGTTTTCCATTTCTGATATCAGAAGTAGGAGCATGACATTGATAGTGTCATTTTGGGGGAACTTTTCGTACTTCATGCAGCAGAGCAGTGAAGAGTGAGCTGAGTGCCTTGGGGTTCTGCAGTACACTCTCAAGTAGTATTTTAGGAAAATGCAATTTGCTGAAAAAATAAAAGAAATTAATGTAAAAAATCCACAAGCTGGGCGCGGTGGCTCACGACTGTCATCTCAGCATTTTGGAAAGCTAAGGGGGAAGGATCACTTGAGCCCAGGAGTTTGAGACCAGGCTGGGCAACATGGCAAGACCTTGTCTCTACAAAAAAATAGAAACAAAAATTAGCCAGGTGCGGTGGCATGTGCCTGTGGTCCCAGCCACCCGGAGGATTGCTCATGCCCAGGAGGTTGAGGCTGCAGTGAGTGGTGATTGTGCCCTGCACTCTAGCCTGAGCAACAGAGCGAGACCCTGTCTCAAAAACAAAACAAAACAAAAACCCACACGTTTCCAGAACCTTCTCATATAACACTTTATTTACATTGTTCTTAAATACGTGTGGGACGGTTATATACATACCACTATACTTATGTGTATATATGTTGATATACACACAAAATTATATACATAATTTTTGTTTGTTTGTTTTTGAGATGGAGTCTCACTCTATCACCTAGGCTGGAGTGCAGTGGCGTGATCTCAGCTCACTCACTGCAACCTCTGCCACCCGGGTTCAAGCGATTCTCCTGCCTCAGGCTTCTGAGTAGCTGGGATTACAGGTGCCTGCCACCGCGCCTGGCTAATTTTTGTATTTTTAGTAGAGACTGGGTTTTACCATGTTGGCCAGGCTGGTCTTGAACTCCCACCCTTGTGATCCACCCACCTCGGCCTCCCAAAGTGCTGGGATTACAGGTGTGAGCCACTGTGACCTGCCATATACATAATTTTTTAAAGTTTCACGATTAGTTTTAGCTTAAAAATGTCAGCTCTGGGCTTAATGAAGAAAATATGGATATACTTTATGTCAATGCATTAAAGTGAATGGCCATAAAAGCTTATCCCAGAGACAAAACAATTCAGATATAAGAGAAGTGGGAGAGTGGAAGGTTTATCTAATCTTCTGTAGGCAACTCCACAGCTACAACCAGAAGGCCATTTTGTTACAGGCCTGAAAGCCCCGTTTTCTTTTTATTCTTCTTTGAAACCTTTAGAAGGAACAAAGTATTGGCTACTTTTTACCGCTGATGTCAGTGTTAAGAATCTTGTGATAACATAGATTTACTCTCCCTGCTGAAAATCACTATGTGGCTCATCAGTAACACAACTAGACATGATGACTTAATGCAAAGGAAGTCCTATGTAAATGAGCAATGAAATTGCAACTGTGTATAAGGAACAAAATAGAATATGAAACTCCAGAATCTTTTGTTTTCATTTCTGTTTCTCCCAAGGCTCTATCATTCAAAACTCCAGAATCTTTCAGCATGCAATTGTCTCCTGATATCAGCCCCTCTCTTGTTTTGTTTTCTTTTTTTTTTTTTTAATCACAGTGAGCCACAACCTAGGAGTCTTTTAGTGGTTTCTACTTGGTTTGCTCTGCAGCCTACCAGCAGATTTCCTACATTCCGGTCTTGTTCCCCTCTAGCCCATTCTCCACACTGCAGTCATAATGAAATTTCTTTCTTTTTTGGGGGGGATGGAGTCTCACTCTGTCACCCAGGTTGGAGTGCAGTGGCATGATCTCGGCTCACTGCCACCTTTGCCTCCTGGGTTCAAGCGATTCTCATGCCTCAGCCTCCCAAGTAGCTGAGATTATACGCACCTGCTACCACGCCCAGCTAATCTTGTATTTTTAGCAGAGACAGGGTTTTGCCACGTTGGCCAGGCTGGTCTCTAACTCCTGACCTCAAGTGATCGCCCACCTTGGCTTTCTCTCTCTTTTTTTTTTTTTGGATTTTGAGACAGGATCTGGCCTCGTTGCCTAGGCTGGAGTGCAGTGGCACGATATCAGCTCACTGCAACCTCTGCCTCCTGAGCTCAAGCCATCCTCCCACCTCAGCCTCCTGAGCAGCTGGGACTGCAGGTGTACACCACCACGCCTGGCTAATTTTTGTATTTTATTTTATTTATTTTTTTGGTAGAGACGGGGTTTTGCTGTGTTGCCCAAGCTTGTCTTGAACTCCTGGGGCTCAAGCGATCTACCCATCTTGGCCTCCCAAGGTGCTGGGATGACAGGCATGAGCCACCACAGCTGGCCTATAATGAAATTTCCAACTTACAGCTATTGCCATTATCCAAAGCCCAGAATCCCTGATTTCCTTCCATAGCCCTTCATGGCCTGACCAGTGCCTGACTCTCCAGCCTCACACTTCATATTCTCTCTGTACTGCTCTGCACTGTAGCCTCATTGAGTTGCTTTCACGTCTTTAAGTGTTGTGTTCTATTTTTTGTGGAATTCAGCATATGTTATGCCCTTGACCTAAGGCCTCTCCTTTCTTTTCCTTCTCTGGGGTGCTGCCTCATCCTTCTGGTCTTCAAAACCGTTTCCCTGGGAAAACATCTTTGACTCAGCAGGCAGGGATCATGCCCCTGCTGTGTCTGTGCATAACTTTCTGTGGCTACTTCTGTCTTGGTCTGTGATGTACTTTATAATAATTTTGGTCTTTCCTCCAGTGTCACAATACTGGAAGTCTGTTTCTTTTTCTCTGTGTTGTATCCTTAGTGCCTGAAAGGTAGGAGGTTCTCAATAAATATTTGTTAAATAATCAAGTAAATGGAGTCTGGTGGAAAAGAGAAAAAATAAGTGTAGAATGTGTGTGCAAGAAAGGAGGGGTAGGGGGATGAAAAAGATAACAAAAGCACATAACAAAACAACAAAAAGCAAAAACAACAAAAAATGCAGATGACAAAAAAGATAACAAAATGATGACTGCTGTGGCAACTTGTAGAAAGTAAGGAAGGTGCTCTCATTCTAGAGAGAAGTAGGCAGCCATTGTAGTTTTTTAAAGAGAGAATATGGGCTGGGCTCTGTGGCCCACGCCTGTAATCCCAGCACTTTGGGAGGCCGAAGTGGGTGGATCACGAGGTCAAGAGATCAAGACCATCCTGGCCAACACAGTGAAACCCCTTCTCTACTAAAAATACAAAAATTAGCTGGATAGGTGGTGTGCACCTGTAGTCCCAGCTACTTGGGAGGCTGAGACAGGAGAATCGCTTGAACCCAGGAGGCGGAGGTTGCAGTGAGCTGAGATCACGCCACTGCATTCCAGCCTGGCGACAGAGTGAGACTCCATTTCAAAAAAAAAAAAAGAATATGGCCAGACACTGAGCTGAGATAGACAGTGCGGCAGTGTCTGGTATTAACTGTAATAAACTCTACTGTCAGAAGCAGGTGGTTTATACTTAAGTTTATTGAGAGAATTGGATATGGATAAGAGATAAACTCTTGGGAAATGGGGAGAAATATAAATTCTGTTGTAAAGCCTGTAAAAAATTGAGATTACTAGTGGTTAGAATTTTGGAAGTGAAGTGCAGTGAAATATTGAGTACCTGAGAGGTTACTTGTTAGTGAAAACACAATAGCAGTAGTACGTAGCTACAGTTTGGCTCCAAAGGAAGAACTGTTTTTACTATAGTTTGTAATGGCTTCAGAATCTTCAATTTGAGATATCCAGTTATTAAAAGAGAATCAATTGCAGTTGAAATGCATTAGTTAAGTATTTTAAAGTGCTTTAGCAAGCTACATTTAAAAAGTGCTTATTATAGAAAATATACCCAAAATAACCAATGATGTTACTGTCTTGTGCTTATTTTTTCTAGACCTATTTTTATACATAGTTAAGATTATACAATATGAATATTTCTGAAATCTATATTTAACATTATAACATATGTATTTTTCCATGTTCTTTCTTTTTTTTTTTTTTTGAGACTGGGTCTCATCCTGTCACCCAGGCTGGAGTGCAGTGGTGCTATCTTGGCTTACTGCAGCCTTGACCTCCTGGGCTCAAGTGATCCTCCCGCCTGAACCTTCTGAGTAGCTGAGACTACAAGCACATGCCACCATGCCTGGCTAATTTTATTTTTACTTTTTGGAGAGATGAGGGTCTCACTATTTTGCCCAGGCTGGTCTCGAACTCCTTGGGTCAAGCAATTCTCTCACCTTGACCTCCCAAAGTGCTGGGATTACAGGAGCGAGCCACCGCCCTCAGCCCCATGTTCTTAAAAACCTTTTGTGAACGACATTTAAAATAGTTGCAGATTTTTTCCCCTGTCTTTGGAAGTGTTACAACATCCAACCATTTCACAGTTACTAATTTACCATCATTCTGGTTTTTGTCCTTGAAAATAAGGCAAGGCTGAATAATGAACATCTTTGTGGCTAAAGTTTTTTTCTTTACTTTGAGTTGTTACCTTCCTTTAGCTTAGTTCAGTGGTTTTTTCTTTTTCTTTTTTGAGATGGAGTCTTGCCTTGTTGCCCAGGCTGGAGAGTAGTGGTGTGATCTCGGCTCACTGCAACCTCCGCCTCCCAGGTTCAAGCAGTTCTCTTGCCTCAGCCTACCGAGTAGCTGGGATTATAGGCGTCTGCTGCCATGCCCAGCTAATTTTTTGTATTTTTAGTAGAGACAGGGTTTTGCCATGTTGGCCAGGCTGGTCTTGAACTCCTGACCTCAGGTGATCCACCCGCCTCTGCCTCTCCAAGTGCTGGGATTACAAGTGTGAGCCACCATGCCCAGCCAGTTCAGTGATTTTCATATTTGAGTGTGTCAGCCTTGCCTGGAAGCCTTGTTAAACACAGACTATTGGATCCCACTGGGCGGATTTCTGTTTGAGCAGGTCTGAGGGGAGACCTGAGCATTTGCATTTTTAACAAATTCCCAGTTGATGATGATGCTGCTGGTTTGGGAACTACACTTTGAGAACTACTGGGCTATATTATTGACAATGAAACTATAATGTTGAGGTTAAGTTCCTAAGTCAGTAGGAGTGATTATGATCTTGAATGAAACTGAGTTCATGTACCAACCTGTATCAGGGAAATTGAAGAACTAAAGGACCATATTGCATTTCAGCACTGAGAATTCGTGCAGTTTGTGAACATGTGAGTGCTGATATGTGCAAGGTTTTTGCTGAGTATTGTGAGGCAAGGATGTTGTAATGAATAAAAAATAGCCCTTTTTGGCTTTTTTTTTCTTCTTTTGAGATGGAGTCTTGCTCTGTCGCCAGGCTGGAGTGCAGTGATGTGATCTCAGCTCACTGCAACTTCCGCCTCCCAGGTTCAAGCGATTCTTCTGCCTCAGCCTCATGAGTAGCTGGGACTACAGGTGCCCGCCACCACGCCTGGCTAATTTTTTGTATTTTGGTAGAGACTGGGTTTCACCATGTTTGCCAGGATGGTCTCCATCTCCTGACCTTGTGATCCCCCTGCCTTGGCCTCCCAAAGTGCTGGGATTACAGGCGTGAGCCACCGTGCCCAGCCCGGCCTTTTTTCCCCCGCCTAGAGATGGAGTCTTGCTCTGTCGCCCAGGCTAGAGTGTAGTGGTGCAATCTCAGCTCCCTGCAACATCTGCCTCCTGGGTTCAAGCGATTCTCCTGCCTCAAACTAGCTGGGATTACAGGCATGCACCACCATGCCCGGCTAATTTTGTATTTTTAGTAGAGACAGGGTTTCACCATGTTAATCAGGCTGGTCTGGAACTCCTGGCTTCAGGTGATCCTTGGCCTCCCAAAGTGCTGGGATTACAGGTGTGAGCCACCATGCATGGCCTCATTTGGGAAACTTTTGATATCAGAATCTTAGGTTTTTCATTAGAGATTGTCAGATTTCCATATTCCTCTGGAAGGTAAAGGCCTAATTGCTAGCATTCTGGAAGCCAGTTAGGGTAGGAGGGTAGGAGGGTAGGGTATTGGGTAGAGGATAAAGAAGGGGTTTGGGAAAGGTGGGGGGTGTCTCTTGGCAGTTGTATGGTTAAATTGAGTTTTTGTTTTATTTAGTGATATGTGTTTTTTGGGTACATGTGATATTTTGATACCTGTGTATAATATGTAGTGATCAAATCAGGGTGATTGGGATACCCATCATTTGAAACATCTTTTCTGTGTTAGGAATATTACAAGTCTTCTAGCTGTTTTGAAGTATACAATAAATTGTTAACTATAATTTCTGTACTGTACTATCAAATATTAGAACTTACTAATCAAACTGTATTTTTGTAACACTAACCACTTTCTGTTCATCTCCACCACTCCCACTTCCCTTCTCAGCCTCTGGTAACCACCATTCTGCTGTCTACCTCCACGAGATCCACTTTTTTAGCTTCCACACATGAGTAAGAGTCTTTCTTTTAAAACTGGTTTTGTGAGCATATTTAACATCAGTAGCAATAAACTTGTATTTTAAGCTCCTGTTGCTGTATTTTGAGGACCTTCTAAGTCCATTGGAAGGATTTTGAATACCATAGTGTCTGCAGTGATAGTTGTTGAAAGAAAGGGAAGGCATCAGTGCAAATATTTTTAGACAGTTTTTAAAGAGACTCAAGTCACCCAATTTGTCTTCTAAAAATCCTGATTTTGGAAGAGGCAGTGGAGTTTCTGTTGATAAAAAATGATTTATAGTTTGTGCTTGGCACTTCCTAATGGATTACATCAGGAAAGATTTATTGTCTGGCACTCTCATTTTAACGATACTACAATTGATTATTAGGTTTAGATGCTAATACCTTTTTTACCTTTATTTCAGAGAAGCTTGATTCTTTGCTCTCAGACTACGATATTCTCTCTTTATCTAATATCCAGCAGCATTCGGTAAGAAAAAGAGATCTACAGACTTCAACACATGTAGAAACACTACTAACTTTTTCAGCTTTGAAAAGGTAATTTGAATTATTCATGGAATAATGTTGGGGCACTGGGGGCTTGGTTTGGCAAAAACAAAAAAGTAAGGGTATCTACTGAAATCTTGGGAAATTACATTTTAAAGATTTGTAATTAATTTCCAGTATAATGCTTATTCTAAAATTCATACTGGGGCTGGGTGCAGTGGCTCACGCCTATAATCCGAGCACTTTGGGGGGCCAAGACATGTGGATTGCTTGAGCTCAGGAGTTTGCCCAAGCTCAGCCTGGGCAACATGGCAAAACCCCGTCTCTACTAAAAGTACAAAAATTAGGCATGGTGACACGTGCCTGTAATCCCAGCTACTTGGGAGGCTGAGGCAGGAGAATCACTTGAACCAGGGAGGTGGAGGCTGCACTAGCCGAGATGGTGCCACTGCACTCCAGACTGGGCAACAGAGTGAGACTCTGTCTCAAAAAATAAATAAATAAAATAAATAAAGTTCATACTGATGAGTATTTTTAAAAAAGTAAATAGATATTGCAGAGGTGTTAATGATGGTAACGATGTTTAGAAAATTCTAACATAATTTAAATTAATTGAATGCTTATAAAACCTTTTGTTTTTGGTGCTACTTTATAACCATCAATCATGTGCTAAATATTATCTTTATATATGAAGAGATAAAGATTTTGTTCAGGACCCCACAGCCTGGTGGTGAGCTGGGTCTAGATTTTACTGTTCTATTTATTTATTTAGCTAACTAGTTACTTAGTTTCCAGGATTCTTTAACCTGCTTCATATTTATTTATTTTTAAAAACAGGGTCTTGCCATGTTGCCAAGGCTGATCTTGAACTTCTGGGCTCAGGTGGTCTTTCCATCTTGGCCTCCCAAAGTGCTGGGATTACAGGTGTGAGCCACCATGCCTGGCCCAAATTTAATATTCTTTCTACATTGAGTTCCTCTTACTTCTTAGCATAAATTGATGGATATGTTCTATTTCAGTAGTAATTTTAATACCACGTATTGTTTTGCACATTGAAATGTTAAATAATTGCAGGCCTCTTTTTAAAGTCTTTAGGAAGCTTTATTCAGTATCAAAAAACAGACACATGGAGAATTGACTGAATTATTCTTTATTTATTTATTTTTTTGAGAGTCTTGCTCTGTCGTCCAGGCTGGAGTGCAGTTGTGTGATCTTGGCTCACTGCAACCTCTGCCTCCTGGGTTCAAGCGATTCTTGTGCCTCAGCCTCTCAAGTAGCTGGGACTACAGGTGCACAGCACCACGCCTGGGTGATTTTTGTTATTTTTAGTAGAGACAGAGTTTCACCATGTTGGCCAGGCTGGTCTTGAACTCCTCACCTCAAGTGATCCACGATCTCGGCCTCCCAAAGTGCTGGGATTACAGACAGGGGCCACTGCATCTGGCCATCTTTATTCTTTATATAGGACAAGCCTTCTCAACTATGTTAAAAAATAAAAGGAATATGTGCGTCTGGTTTAAAAAACAAGCCATGGAGGATATGCAAAGTTTTTACTTCTAACTCAGTTAGACTTCTCAGACCCAGAGAGGTTTCCTTTGTAAACTTCCAATTTTTTGTTTTGTTTTGTTTTTTGTTTTTTGAGACAGAGTTTTTGCTCTTGTCGCCCAGACTGGAGTGCAATGGCACGATCTTAGCTCACTGAAGCCTCCACCTCTCGGGTTCAAGCAGTTCTCCTGCCTCAGCTTCCCGAGTAGCTGGGATTACAGGAGCCCACTGCCATGCTCAGCTAATTTTTGTATTTTTAGTAGAGATGAGGTTTCACCATGTTGGCCAGGATGGTCTTGAACTCCTGACCTCAGGTGATCCACCTGCCTCAGGCTCCCAATGTGATGGGATTACAGGTGTGAGCCACCGTGCCCGACCCAAAATATTTTAATGCATGTTTTTTGCCTATAGGTCTCTGTGTGTGTATAGGTGATATAGATAGCATATTTACCTCATTTTAAACAGCTGCATAAATATTCCTATTGCATAGAATTGTAACAACATACTGACTAATACACTACAGATGGATATTGTTTAACCAAAGTGATTTTTTTAATACAACAAACAGTGCTCTAGTGAGTATCTTTGTAAATGTGTACCTTGATGAGGTGTTTTTATAGGATATATTCCTGGAAGGAGAATTACTGGGTCAAGGATATGTATACTATGTTTATTGATATTGCTCTTTCCTCCCAAAGAGATTTGACAAATTTATTCTTCCAGCAGCAATATATGAGTTTACCTGTTTCCTGTTATCTTTGCCAATAGTAGGTTTATCAGCCTTTAACTGTCACCCCTCTAAAGGGCATGGCATTTTATAGTTGTTTTGATTTTCATTTTGTGTGACATTGAGCATCTTTTTATATATTTGTAAGTAATTTGTTTTATATTTCTGTAAACTGCCTTTTTATCTCTTTTGACTATTTTTCTATTGAATTTGTCTTTCTAACTACTGAATTGTAGCAGTGCTTAGTATATTAAGGAGATTGGTTCATTGTCATGTGGTTATTTTAGGCAAATTTTTAATGCAAATTAATTTTTCCTAGCTATTGCAATTATCCTTAGGTTATTTTTTAATGACTTCTTTTTATTCGATTTTATGTCAGAATATTATAGTATTGGTTATTAGCTTTCAACTTACACCAAATTTGAGCAGATTGGTAATATTAATAGCTACAGTTAATCAGGTACTTATTTTCTGTAATTTACTGGCATTTTACATAAGTTATCTCTAAAAGTGATTCCTTTTTTGAAGGAACAAAAAAAAAAAAATTAAGGCTTAGACAGCTTAGTAACTTGCCCAAGATTACTCAGCTAGTAAATGACAGATACAAGATTTGAACAAAGGTTGGACTCCAAAACTTGTGTTATTTCTGCTATACTGGTGGAGAGTTTGGTGAAGAAGTGGATATAGTAGCAAGAAATAAGTAGGAGCGAAGGAAGAGTGAGGAAACTATAAAATGAAAAGAACTCAAAGTTTAGCTTTTTGGGTTTCTTTGGATTTGAAGTGGCCTGTAGAATCCGTATTCTAGAGGCAAAAACTTCCATAGCCTTACATATTTCTCTTTCAAGTTTCGTAGATGACATTGATTCCCTAAGAAAATATTAAATCGTAGCCACTTGTTATCTTTTCTCTGTGTAAGAAAGCAGGGAAGTATGTAATTTATTTTACAAAGTTTCCATACTAAATATTTAATGGGAAATTTATCTAACAGTCTATGGAATTTTATACCAGGTGTTTTAAAATAGGTTATTTCCTTTAATCCCCAAAACCGTTCAGTTATTAGGTGATATTATTTCCATTTGTAGATAAATACTTAGGATTCAAAGATTGAGGCCAAGGTCGGACAGTGAGTAAATGAAAGTAGGACTTAAGCCAAGTTTGTCAGACTCCAAAGCCCATACCCTTTCTTTTCTATCATATTGCGTCATTAAAGTTTAAAACAAGAACAAAAACAAAGATAGCTGAAGTAATCAGTTTGTATCAGGGCTGAATTAACTCTATGAAACCCCTCATTACTTGATGGTAAATGAGAAGATTCCGTTTTTCGATAGCAGTGGAAGGCAAAGTAATTTAAACCAAGATCATTGCATTAAATTTGGATGTAACTATTAGAGGTTGAAAAAGCATAGAAACACTGAGAGGTTGTATGAAGAGTTGAAGTAACTTAAGAAAAAAAGAAACTTGTTTAAAATTTGCCTTACAAGTTTCATTTCCTTTTTGTTATAAATCAAGAAATTATCAGCTAGGCGTGGTGACTCACACATGTAATCCCAGCACTTTGGGAGGCCGAGCTGGATGGATCATGAGGTCATGAGGTCAGGAGATCGAGACCATCCTGGCTAACACGGTGAAACCCCGTCTCTACTAAAAATACAAAAAATTAGCCAGGCGTGGTAGCAGGCGCCTGTAGTCCCAGCTATTTGGGAGGCTGAGGCAGGGGAATGGCGTGAACCCAGGAGGTGGAGCTTGCAGTTAGCCGAGATTGCGCCACTGCACTCCAGCCTGGGCGACAGAGTGAGACTCCGTCTCAAAAAAAAAAAAAAATCAAGAAATTATCTTATTTTTAAATAACGAAAAAGCTGCGGAGTATATACTGTTTTGATACTTTTTTGATGTTGCCTGAATTTTTTTGGAAAAAGTTAAATGTTTCTCCTAAAAGTGAAATATATCAGATTACTTGAGAAGGTCTAGAACTGATAAAGAAATGAAAGTGATATACCTGACTAAATGGACCATTAAAAATGGTTAGGGTAATAATGTTAATTCAAACTGGTTAGCTGGTCTTTAGTTACTGTAAATTCTTAAGTCAAAAGTCAGAAAGATAAAACGTTAAAGAAATCTGTAAGAAAATGACTTCACATAATTTTGGGAGGATAAAGTAAAAGAAATTTTGACATTCTGTTGGACGTTTTATAACTCAAAAGCTAATATTGGAAAATCAAAAAACATGAATTTTATAATCGCTTGGTCTTTATCTTTAGAAAAGATTCTTAATGTAGCAAATGAAAAATGCAATTCCACTGATTTCTTTCTGAAAAGAACATTAAGTAATGTTGCAACTCTTAGCTTTAAAACAAAATAATAAGACATTTATAATAAGTATGCTTTTGAAAGTTCTCAGCATAACTGGAGGGAAAAATCATAACTGAGAATGTGTGGGAAGATATGTTTTAGGATAGCAGAAGAAAATGTTCCAAGGATTTACGAAATAATGTTCTATTGTCTTTTCCCTTTGACCATTAAAAAACCACAAGCAAACTAAAATTACCTTGTTATGCTCAAAAAGTTAAAAATATTTGTTGCCATGGAGATAGTCCCAGTCTAGATTTCTTTCCGGTAGTTTAAAGACTTTTGCAATCCCATGGGGAAGTAATATATTTTCAGTACAACAGCTGACAAAATTTGTTTCTGTGGGTGAGATGAATAATATACCTTTCTTTGTCTTTGGTGTTCATGGACACATTGAAAGACTATAAATAATACTTGAGAAAGTCTTGCTCACCACTCCTAGTTTTCATGTAAGGATGGAAAGTCATAGAAAACAAAAAGAATAGTAAGCCAATTAAAGAACTGGACTGAAACTCAACAAAAAGAATAGTAAGCCCACTAAAGAACTGAAGTGTATACCCCCTCCCCTCTCCTCCCCTCCCTTCCCCTCCCCTCCCTTCCCCTCCCTTCCCCTTCCCTTCCCCTCTCTTCCCCCTCCCCTTCCCCTCTCCTCCCCCTCTCCTCCCCTCTCCTCCCCCTCTCCTCCCCTCCCCTCCCCTCCCCTCCCCTCTTTTCCTGTCTTCTGGTGCCAATGGAGTCTATATTCTAATGTCTGTCTTAGATACCTTGTATTTATTTTCCTAACTGTAATTGTGGGTTACTTTTTTGCAAGATATGTTGTTTTGAGGAGGAAAAAAAGCACGAGTACTTTTTTTTTTTCTTATTTTGAGCGGGAGTCTCGCGCTGTCAACCAGGCTGGCGATCTCGGCTCACAGCAGGCTCCGCCTCCCGGGTTCACTCCATTCTCCTGCCTCAGCCTCCCAAGTAGCTGGGACTATAGGCACCCGCCACCATGCCTGGCTAATTTTTGTATTTTTAGTAGAGATGGGGTTTCGCTGTGTTAGCCAGGATGGTCTCGATCTCCTGACCTCGTGATCCGCCCAGCTCAACCTCCCAAAGTGCTGGGATTACAGGCGTGAGCCACTACGCACGGCCGCATGAGTACTTTTAAATATAGAAAGCAGCATTTATTAATTTTGCACAGCAATAAGAATTTTCTCATAGTCCACCCAGCTTGATAGAGACAGCATAGTACAGGGTTTTGAAATAAACCAGGTTTATTTCCCAGTTTCACCATTTACTAGCTGTGTAACTTTGAGTAGGTTGATTAGCTTCCAAGCCTCAATTTGTACTTGTGTGAAGTGGGGATAATAGATGCATAGTACCTAACACCAAGTAGGTGTTCAATAAATGGTATATAATAGGATTAGTTTTTGATAATAATTTTTTTAGATAATCAGGATTCCAACTTAACTACGCAGTCATGTGTGTTTCCTTATTCTTCAGTGTTTTCCAGGAGAGATGAATGTATAAGTTCTTTGAATATCTTTACCCTAGTGTGAGTTTATTGTGATCTGCTGTTTTTATAGCTAAATAAATTAGTTCATTTGTCGTTACAGGAGATATATTGCTCTAAGTACCTAATAAGACTTTAGTTGTAACTTGCATAGTGTTTTATTAATGTCAATGCTTCTGGCTTTTTAAGAAAGTTTAATTATGTGAAAATGAGACTTAAAATTTGTGTGCTTAGAGTAAAATATGAATGCATTTTTCTTCAGGCATTTTAAATTATACCTGACATCAAGTACTGAACGTTTTTCACAAAATTTCAAGGTCGTGGTGGTGGATGGTAAAAACGAAAGCGAGTACACTGTAAAATGGCAGGACTTCTTCACTGGACACGTGGTTGGTTAGTATGGAGCTTGTTGGTTTGCCCCTGTGTCTGGTGTATTAGGTCTCCAAATCTAACTTGATTGCATATTCTTTTCTGGTGCAGGATAGTGGGGACGGGGTGTCATAGAAGTGCTATTCTTTGACTTTTCTTTGAGGTATATAAGTTTAGAGGCAGGAACATTCTAATAGAAGGAAATGAGTATTATCTAAATGTCATACTAGCTGGCTGGTTTAATGATTAAAATTAAATTCTTCTTAAGTGATAGGAATTTAACCTTTCTTTTCCTCAGTGACTGTAAGCTTTCTTTATGATATTTTAAACAGGGAAGCTTGGAGATAAAATACTTGGTGATCCTATTACGTATGTATTTGAGAAAATTTATCAAACAAGCAATTGCAGTTTACTTTTTGACCTTTTTCTGCAATGAGAAAAAAAAATGTCATTGAAATCCACAAATAGTATAGTTCCTAGGCCTGTACATTCTAAATCATGCTTTCTGTCTCTCTTAGTTCTTCCTTTACCTAGAAGTAGATAAAATTATTCCAGAAGAAAATCTTAGCAGTTTTGTTTGTTTTGGGAAAGGGATAGGTTTCAAGTGACTAAACTTGAGGCTACCCCTTAGGAGTTGAGATTATCTAGCTTCTTTCTGGAGCCTTTGTTTCTTGTTTTGCAGAGCTCTCACAGTACTAGGCAAATTCCACCCTGAAGGATTTAATTTTTATTGAGAGTAATGCATAGTTTCTTATTTGATGTAAGTATTTTTAAATAATAATTTTTTTTTTCTCTTAAGGTGAGCCTGACTCTAGGGTTCTAGCCCACATAAGAGATGATGATGTTATAATCAGAATCAACACAGATGGGGCCGAATATAACATAGAGGTAAATTTATATGTGAATTTTTTTTCAGTAGCTTATATCTCTGATTTTCAAAAAGCTGCTCAGTTCTGCAAAGGTGAAAAGTAATTATACTTATTTCTTTCCTCTTCGTATTTGAAGTTTTTTACTAGGAAAGTAGACTTTTTAAAAAAGGATAATCTCTAAGAAGCTGTGTTATGATACACCCTGTATTTCTAAGTACCATAATTGAGAGAGTTACATGTGGGATGGATAATAGGAAGAGAAAACTTTCTTTCCCTCCTGACTCATTTTTTAATTCTTTCTCAAATAATAAATGTAAACATCCTCAGAAATGAAAAGTGAAGTATTATTTTTCAATTTCTCTGTTTTTCTGCTAGACACACTGGAAATGCTAGATCAATGAAAGGTGGTAGTTCATAGTCTGAGAAGTTAAAGAGGAAGCTAGGAAAGTCAGGCTGTGGTCACTCTTCCATTGAAAGAGTAGCAATAGAAATCAAGACCACAGTGGCTGCATTGGTTAAGACACATATCTATCTGTCAGATATTAGTCTACAAAACAAAACGTTTCCTCATAATTGTGAATTGAAGTTGATTCTGTGTTTCCTGAAAAATGAGAAGACTCTGGGTGGTGGTGGTGATATCACTAAAATAGATCACCTGTGGGAAAACTGAGTAAGATTGGTCAAAATGAAATGTTCAGGTGTATTTGAGTGCTTAATAGGGGTAAAACAGTCTGCTGGAGCTATATATACTATATGTTTTAATTATATCCAATCTACATGACTGTTAGTCCTTTGACTGTCCATTATTGTGAAAAAGAAACCTATGGCCTTGCAGTATGTTATAGTTTGTTAATGTTTAAGCTATTTAATGTCAATGTTTTGAGGAGTCTGGCCTACCAGAAAGAGTCAGAAATTTAGTAGAAAGTAAAGGAACTAATATTATAAATGCATTCATTCTAGAATAGGCAAAGCATCACTGGAATGTCTTAAATTTGCCTGTTCTTTCAAATCAATTTATTTTTTAAGAATACCTTTATTTTAAAATATATGCTCATTGCAAAATTCGGAAAATAGATTATCTGTACTTGGACAGATAACTACTATTGACATTTTGACAGACATCCTTCCAAATTTTTTTTTCTATGTGTAAATACACAAATAAATATAGTTATACCCACTATTTTTTCCTGCAAAACTAGGACCATACAATATGTACAGTTTGTCTTCACACATTTTTCGTTTAACAATATGATTATGAACCTTTTCGTGTTAATATAGATCTAAATTAGGGTTTTGTTTGTTTGTTTGTTTGTTTTTTGAGACGGAGTCTTGCTCTGTCACCCAGGCTAGAGTGCAATGGCGTGATCTTGGCTCACTATAACCTCTGCCTCCCCGGTTCAGGCGATTCTCCTGCCTTAGCCTCCCAAGTAGCTGGGACTGCAGGTGTGCGCCATGATGTCCGGCTAATTTTTTTTCTTTTTTTTGAGATGGAGTATCACTCTGTCACTCAGGCTAGAGTGCACTGGCGTGGTCTCGGCTCACTGCAACCTCTGGCTCCTGGGTTCAGGCGGTTCTCCCGCCTTAGACCCTTGAGTAGCTCAGACTACAGGCACATGCTACCTCACCTGGCTAATTTTTGTATTTTTAGTAGAGACGGGGTTTCACCATGTTGGCCAGGATGGTCTCGATCTCCTGACCTCATGATCTGCCAGCCTCGGCCTCTGAAAAGTGCTGGGATTATAGGCGTGAGCCACTGTGCCTGGCCTCAACTGTTTTGTTTCTAACTTTTGAAATAAAAGGTATTGTAGTGAACAGCCTTGGGCACACCTTTTGGTGCATGTGTTTAGTTGGAATAGTCTGGATGATAGGTAATAGTCTGGGAAGTTAAATGAAGAAACTGTAGGAAGCTCTGTCTAGGCTGTGCGAGGGCTTCAGATAAACTCCCATAGCTGAGTAGCTTAACACAAGCAAAGTTTTTTCTTACTCTCCTGTGGCTTGATGTGGGTTAGGTGGTTCTCCTCTACTTTGTGGCTTTGACTTTTGGACACATGTCCTCTGTAGTTCTCACAGAAAGAAAACAGAGCTAGAGAATTATACAGGATATTAAGGGCCAGGCTTGGAAATGGCCTTCCGTTCAATACATTCTAGAACACTTTATCTCTGACCTGCTACAAAGGAGAATGGAAAAGATAGTCGTAATTTGAGCTCAGAAAGAGAAAATAGTGTGGTAAATGCACAGCATTGTTTTTGCTGCAGTGCATATGTCTGCTTATTTCCTTAGAATAATTTATTCTTTTTTGTTTTTTTGAGACTGAGTCTCACTCTGTTACCAGGCTGGAGTGCAGTGGCGTGATCTCAGCTCACTGCAGACTCTGCCTCCTGGGTTCAAGCCATTCTCCTGCCTCAGCCTCCCGAGTAGCTGGGATTACAGGTGCGCACCACCACACCCAGCTAATTTTTGTATTTTTGGTAGAGACAGGGTTTCACAATGTTGGCCAGGATGGTCTCGATCTCCTGACCTCATGATCTGCCAGCCTCGGCCTCTGAAAGTGCTGAGATTAAAGGCGTGAGCCACTGTGCCTGGCCAGCTTATTAATTCTTAAGCCAAAATATGTGTCTTTAGGATCCAAGTTAAATTTGCTCAGATTACATTTTTTTTTTTTTAAGATGGCATCTCGCCCTGTCACCCAGACTGGAGTGCAATGGCGCGATCTCGGCTCACCACATCCTCTGCCTCCCAGGTTAAAGCGATTCTCCTGCCTCAGTCCCTTGAGTAGCTGGAATTACAGGCGTGTGCCACCATGCCCCGTTAATTTTTGTAGTTTTAGTAGAGATGGGGTTTCACTGTGTTGGCCAGGCTGGTCTTGAACTCCTGACCTCGTGATCTGCCCATCTTGGCCTCCCAAAGTGCTGAGATTATAGGCATGAGCCACCACGCCCAGCTAGATTACTCATTTTTTTCAAATACTTCCTTTTGGAAAAATAGGAATTCTGTTTCCATCCATACCTTTGTTTCACTAAGTACAAAAATGAGTATAACTAATATTTCATTGTAAGATATTTACTTAGCCAGGCACAGTGGCTCACACTTGTAATCAGCACTTTGGGAGGCTGAGGCGGGTGGACTGCTTGAGCCCAGGAATTTGAGACCAGCCCAGGCAATATAGGGAGACCTTGTCTCTACTCCTCCACAAAAAAAAAAAAAAAAAAAAAATTAGCTGGGCATGGTGGCACATGCCTGTGGTCTCAGCTACTTAGAATGCTGAAGCAGTAGGATCAGTTGAATTCGGAAGGCGGAGACTGCAGTGAGCTGAGATTGTACTGCTGCACTCCAGCCTGGGTGACAGAGCGAGACCCTATCTCACACATACACACACACAAAGATGTTTACTTACAAGTATACTCATCAGATACCTTGAGGGACTTTTGCATGAAATTAATAATGTTTATTGAAAAAATGATTTACTACTTACAGGGGTGATTTTCATACTCTTTATAATTCTTTTGATACTTTTATAGTTCATAAGTGTGGTGATTGGCTGTTCACACACACATATGAGATGTACCACCCTAGAACCTTGTTACAATGTTAGCACATTACCAGTCTGACATGAAAAAAAATAATTCTTTACACTTACCTTGATGCAAAAACATTGTCTATCTGCACTAATATCTTAGGAATATAAGTGAGCAGGAAAAAATATATATCTTATTTTTAACACATCATCATTAAATATTTTGTTTATGACAGTCTTACTTGGTCACTCAGGCTGAAGTGCAGTGGTGCCATCATAGCTCACTGCAGCCTTGACCTCCTGGGCTCAAACAATCCCTCTTTTCTGCCTCCTGAGTAGCTGGGACTACAGGTGCATGCCACCATGCCCAACTAATTTGTTAAATTTTTGTAGAGTGTATCAGATTTTTGATGAGGTCTCACTGTGTTGCCCAGGCTGATCTCAAATGTCTGACTGTAAGCAATCCTCTTGCTTGGCCTCCCAAAGTGCTGGGATTACAGGTGTGAGCCACTGTGCGCAGCCGTTAAATATTTTAAACCGTCACTGACTTTACCATAGCTTACTATTTATATAAATAATCCTGGGTTAAACTTGCATAGTGAGATAATATTTCCCCCAACTTTTATTTATTTATTTGAGATGGAGTCTTGCTCTGTCGCCCAGGCTGGAGTGCAGTGGCGCAATCTCGGCTCACTGCAGTCTCCGCCTCCCAGGTTCAAGCATTTCTCCTGCCTCAGCCTCCCAAGTAGCTGGGATTACAGGCACACGCCACTGTGCCCGGCTAGTTTTTATATTTTTGGTAGAGACAGGGTTTTGCCACGTTGGCCAGGCTGGTCTTGAACTCCTGGTCTCAGGTGATCCACCCGCGTCGGCCTCCCAAGGTGCTGGGATTACAGGCATGAGCCACTGCATCCGGCCTAATTTTTGTATTTTTAGTAGAGACGGGGTTTCACCATGTTAGTGAGGCTGGTCTTGAACTTCTGACCTTGTGATCTGCCCACCTCGGCCTCCCAAAGTGCTGGGATGACAGACGTGAGCCACCATGCTTGGCCTCCCCCAGCTTCTAGTTTTAAAAATGTTCAGCTGGTGCAGTGGCTCATGCCTGTCATCCCAGCACTTTGGGAAGCTGAGGTGGGTGGATCACTTCAGGCCAGGAGTTCGAGGCCAGCCTGGCCAACATGGTGAAACCTCGTCTCTACTAAAAATACAAAAATTAGCCAGGCTTGGTGGCTTGCGCCCGTAATCCCAACTGCTCGGGAGGCCTAGGTGGGAGAATCGCTTGAACCTGGGAGACAGAGGTTGCAGTGAGCTGAGATCGCTCCACTGTACTCCAATGTGGGTGACAGGGTGAAACTCTGTCTCAGAAAAAAATAAAAAAGAAAATGTGCAAATCTACAGAAAGATTAAAAAGTACCCTGTAGTTACAGAAAGATTTTTTTAAAAAATACCCTGTAGCCCTTAAACAATTTCTAACATAATGTCCTGTTAGCTTTCTCTCTTTTTTTCGTGAATCATATGAAAATCATTTGCAAACATCATGACCCTTCACCCCTAAATACTTCTGTATGCATCCTTAGGAATAAAGGCACTCTTTTCTATAGCTGTAATAAAAGTAACATACCTGAGAAAATGACAAGAATTCTACAATATTATCTAATAATCATGCCATAGTCAAAATCTCTAGTCATCCTCAAAATCTCCTTTGTAGATTTTTTTTGGTTTTCCAGTCCAGGATCCAATCCAGTTTTCTGCCTTTTAGTCAATTACTCATCAAATTATTTTTTCCAGCAACTTACTAGTAATAATGGTAATAGCCTTAGCTTTTATTAATAACAACCACTTTTCTTTTGAAATGTTAATATAAAACTAGATTTATTACCTACATAATCTTCATAATCTTCAAGTTAGGTATTATCACTACTTTACCTAATGAGGGAGGTTATGCTCAGGGTACTTGTCCAAGGCACATAGTGAGGTATGGTTGAGGTTTGAACTCAGATATATCTGATCCCAAAGCCAGCTGTCTTTTTCTGTGCTGGACTGACTATACTAGGAAACAATCAATGTGAACTTAGAAATGTTTGACCCAAAAGAAAAAAAATTTCACTCCTATTCATAGGCTAAATGAACTTTACTAAATATGGAAGATTCCTGTAGCCCGGAAGTTGGGTTAGTTAACTTTTGAGATCTCTGCCAACCCTGAAATTCTGTAACCCTTGTTTCTTACATCTGCCTCATACATGGATTACCAAAGATGTATATGCATATAATATTTAACAGTTTTATTGAGATAAAATTCACATACTATATTATTCACCCACTTAATGTATACAATTTTGTAGTTTTGTGTGTGTGTGTGTGTGTGTGTATTTTTGAGATGGAGTCTCACTCTGTCACCCAGGCTGGAGTGCAGTGGCACGATCACTGCAACCTCTGCCTCCTGGGTTCAAGTGATTCTGTGGCCTCAGCCTGTTGAGTAGCTGGGATTACAGGCGCCCACCACCATGCCCGGCTGATTTTTGTGTTTCAGTAGAGATGGGGTTTCACCGTGTTGGTCAGGCTGTTCTCGAACTCCTGGACTCAAGTTATCTGCCCACCATGGCCTCCCCAAAGTGCTGAGATTACAGGCGTGAGCCATCGCGCCCGGCAGTTTTCGTATATTGATGGAGTTGTGCAAACACCACCTCATTCAATTTTAGAACATTTTTATCACCTGAAAAAGAAACGCTGTATCCTTTAGCCATACTTCCCCCTTCCTCCCTAACTCCCCCAGCTCTAGGCAACCAGGGATCTACTGTCTATTTAGATTTGTCTGTTTGGGTCATCTCATATAAATGGAATTACATAACATGTCTTTTGTGTGTGGCTTCAATTTTTTTATTTTTTTGAGATGGAGTCTTGCTCTGTCACCCAGGCTGGAGTGCAGTGGCATGATCTCAGCTCACTGCAACTTTTGCCTCCTGGGTTCAACTGATTCTCTTGCCTCAGCCTCCCAGGTAGCTGGGATTACAGGCTCCTGCCACCATGCCTGACTAATTTTTGTATTTTTTACTAGAGTCGGGGTTTCACTATGTTGGCCAGGCTGTTCTCAAACTCCTGACCTCAAGTGATCCACCTGCCTCGGCCTCCCGAAGTGCTGGGATTAAAGACATGAGCCACCACGCCCAGCCTGTGTGTGGCTTCTTTCACTTAGAATAATGTTTCCAAGGTTCATCTGTGTTGTAGCATGTATCTGTATCTTATTTATTTTTATTGCTGAATAGTATTCCATTGTATGGATAAACTGCATTTTGTTTATTCATTGATTAGTTGTTGATGGACATTTGGGTTGTTTCCACTTTTTAGCTATATTTACATTACTGCTTGTGTTTTCATTTCTCTTGGTTATATACTAGGAGCAGAATTGCTGGGTCATATGGTACTTCTACTTTTAACCTTTGAGGACCTGCCAGACTGTTTTCTAAAGTGGTTTTACCATTTTACATTCTCATCAGCATATGTGAGGGTTCTGGATTTCTCTACATCCTCACCAGTATTTGTCTTTGATCATAGTCATCCTAGTGGGTATACAGGGGTGTCTCATTGTGGGGGTTTTTTTCCCCATTGGGGTTTTGATTTGCATTTCCCTGATGGAGATAAATATATTTTTTGTGTGTCCCCCCACAAACTGCCTGGTTCTGATGAGACCAGTGTTCTTACAGAGAATAACTTTGCTTTGAAACAAAACAAACAAACAGCCTTTTGACTTGGGTAACCTTTGGAGTATGTTAATTGTGATTTACTCTGGCCTTGTAACATTGTAAGTGGAGATTTTGTTTAAAAACTGCGTTCGCTGAAACAAGTAATAAGGTTCAGACCTATTGTTACAAGTTCTGAGTTTTCTTTCATATAAATATGTTTGTTCTTTTGTGTGGATAAAACCTAACGTGGCAAAAAGGTGTCAAACACCTAAGTATTAAGGAAACTAAAATGAAAATGCTGCATGAACAGAAACCTTGTCCAATTTTCATTACTATAGCACCATCACCTATAACAGTGCCAGTGTACAGTAGATATTACATAATATTTTTGAATGAATGAGTGGAAAATGATATGCATTTTTCTCTTCTGCATCCTCTGAAAGATTTCACAACGTGCAAAGTATGTAAGGCTTTATTTATATACAGATAAAATAATCAGAGTTTATAATCTATGTATTTACTTTCCTGCATAGAAACTCCATATGATTAAAAATTGAGATTATTTATTTTAATAACATGACTAATCAGTTTACTTAACCTAGAAATGAATGTTATCTAAGAACAAGCAAAGAATGTTAGAAGAATTTAGTGTTTAGGAATTATTATTGTTTTCCATCTCAGTCGTATATATTTTCTGTTTTAGCCACTTTGGAGATTTGTTAATGATACCAAAGACAAAAGAATGTTAGTTTATAAATCTGAAGATATCAAGAATGTTTCACGTTTGCAGTCTCCAAAAGTGTGTGGTTATTTAAAAGTGGATAATGAAGAGTTGCTCCCAAAAGGGTTAGTAGACAGAGAACCACCTGAAGGTAAGACTTAAAGAGTGTATTTCAAATAAGAAACAAACATACTACAATTGACTTCAGTAGGGGTGGTTGTTATTTGTTAAAAAATAACATGATTGTCAAGTAACTATAGTATTTGGCATGAAAATAAGAGGTTTGTTCCAGAAATTTTCATCTTCTTTTGTTTATAATGTAAGAGTTGAAAACTCTGGAAAATAATGGGAACAACAGAGATTAGACTTTAAAAAAGATTAGGGAAAAGGGAAATGGAGTGATCTGAGGGAAAATATTCCTGCAGATATTTAGAAATGATAAAATAATATGGTGGAAAGACAATCTTTAGAGTTTATAAGAAATTAATTGGTAGTAGGAGGGACCTATATATATACTGCTTAGAATACAAGAAGGTTATATCCATCTTGGGACAATCCATTTAGGGTCATTTAAAAAACGTAACCATCTTGGAATTTTACTGCCCAAAACACCTCTGGTTAGGTTTTTTGTTTTGTTTTGTTTTGTTTTGTTTGCAGCGCGATCTCGGCTCACTGCAACCTTTGACTTCCAGGTTCAGGTGATTCTCCTGCCTCAGACTCCTGAGTAGCTGGATTATAGGCATGTGCCACCAGGCCTGGCTAATTTTTGTATTTTTAGTGGAGATGGGGTTTCACCATGTTGGTCAGGCTGTTCTCAAACTCCTGGCCTCAAGTGATCTGCCCACCTCAGCCTCCCAAAGTGTTGGGATTACAGGCGTGCACCAACATGCCCGGCCAAAGACGGTTATGTTATTAAAATTATATATTAGCATTTTAATATATAAATAAAGAAATTCTTAATTTATTTCACAAGAAAGTTGTCCTATTAAACTAATTTTCAATGTGAATATCTTGACATTTTTACTGTTACATTGGTTAATTCATAAACTTCTTGTTGTAGAATATGACTGACAGCTTCATAGCCCAGCATTAGGTGACTGTTTTACTCTGTTGAGCACTATTTATTTATTTATTTATTTAGAGATGAAGTCTCACTTTTGTCGCCCTGGCTTGAGTGCAATGGCACAATCTTGGCTCACTGCAACCTCCGCACCCTGGGTTGAAGTGATTCTCCTGCCTCAGCCTTACAAGTAGCTGGGATTACAGGCGGGTGCCACCATATCTGGCTAATTTTTGTATTTTTAATAGAGATGGGGTTTCATCATGTTGGCCAGGCTGGTCTCGAACTCCCGTCCTCAGGTGATTCACCCACCTTGGCCTCGCAAAGTGCTGGGATTACAGGCCTGAGCCAACATGCCCGGCCTTACTCTGTTGAGCACTTTTTAAAGTTTCTGTATTGGAAAAATTAAAGAGGCACTTGTCCTTGGTTTTGAATTCTACAGTGTTTTAACTTTATGTTACTTTTCACTTTTCTGTCTTCCTCCAAATTATTTTTTGTTGTTGTTCAGAATCCTTTAGTGATATTAAGCTCACATAATGTTTGTTTCAAAAATATGTTAGATTTAAAGTGTTACCATAAAACTCCTTGTTTTGGTGAATTTTGATTTAATAGTGCATACAAATTCATATTAGAGCTTGTTCATCGAGTGAAAAGAAGAGCTGACCCAGATCCCATGAAGAACACGTGTAAATTATTGGTGGTAGCAGATCATCGCTTCTACAGATACATGGGCAGAGGGGAAGAGAGTACAACTACAAATTACTTAGTAAGTATTTGATATTGCATCGAGTAATTGAAAAAAAAATTTGGGTGGGTACATTCCATGAAACTTAATGCAACCAGATCTGTTCCAGATACTCTGTTATTTCCCTAAAATATTTGAGGGATATTCTCTGAGGTTTTTATGTTACTGTATGGAAATTATAGTTTCAAATTTGTGACAACCCATTTTACCCTTGAACTAATATTTTCTGCATGTTAGAATTTATGCATATAGGGTTTGGGAGAGGTTATAATGTAGTCCTTCCTCCTTGATATAAGTGAGTTCTTTAAAAACATCACTGCTATCATGGTAGTGAACCTGTGGTGTCACATGTGAATGTAAAAATATGTATTTGCATGAACCCATGTTTTTCTTTTGCTTATATGTATATTTCAGAGAGGAAGGCGAGTTTTGTTTGTCATGTTAAAGACCTAATCATTGGACTTCACTTGAAATAGGTGGGACTTTCATGGTCATAACTAGTTCTAGGGCACAGAAGTGAAGGAAAGATGTAAGAAGTGATGATACTGGATTTTTAAGTATGAACTATTATGATTTTTGAAGTCTGGGGAATCATTTTTCATTGACATTTTTTGCTAGTGTGACTTCATTCGTCATGATTACTTGGCACTGACCAAAATGTTGTTACTGAGGGAATAATGGAGAATGCAGCTATTCATGAAGCAAGAAGAAGCTGGTGCAGTAAAGATGTCTTTCTCATTGCCTTGCTTTTCCCATGCTGTCCATTTTATTCATACCCTCCCAACTTCTTTCCCTTCCCTTTCATGTCAAGTGGATTTTTTTTTTTTTTTTTCAACACAGAGTCTCACTGTGTCGCCCAGGCTGGAGTGCAGTGGCACAATCTCAGCTCACTGCAACCCCCACCTCCTGGGTTCAAGCAATTCTCCTGCCTCAGCATCACAAGTAGCTGGAATTACAGGCGTGAACCACAGCACTCGGCCCCATATCAAGTGAATTTATTATGAGGCTAGTAAGAGTCACTGTGATTCTTGTTCCTAAATAAGAGAGATTTTTACTTTAAAAAGCTTCTCTCTTAATCTGGGTTTTATATTAAGGGGCTCCTCTTATTTTACTTCTTTGTTCATTGCACTATAAATATGAATATAATGAGAGATCTAGTCTTAAAAATTGTATTTTTTTACAACTTCTTAGGCATAACTTGTTTCACAGTTGCTAGAACAAACCTCATCAACCCAGTTTTTGAACAGTAGAATATTCTCTTTGAGAAAAAGATAGGTAATTAGCATTTTGTTCTTTCTCATGTCATTTTCCTTGGAAACTATACTGCCTTCCTTCTCCAGTTTTCCCAAATCAGAGAACAAAAGAAGGAGGGTTGCTGAAATGAACCTTGTTCTTTCTGGCTGTCTTCTTACCCATTCCTCAGTGCTGAACTTTTTGGGGTGAGAGTGGGGGAATAGGGTTGGCAGTTGTCTGCCACGGCCCCTTACTTGTTTCTGGGGAAGACATTCGAGGTACTCACCAAGAGATAGAGTGAAGATGGAATTCTTTTTAGAAGGGAATACAGTTGACCCAGGAACAGTGCGGGGGTGTGGTTAGAAGCACTGACCTTCTTCCCTCTGCAGTCGAAAATCCTCACGTGACTTTTTTTTTTTAAGGCTCTGTCGCCCAGGCCGGAGTGCAGTGGTGAAATCATAGCTTGCTGCAGCCTCTATTGCCCGGGCCAAAGCAATCTTCCCACCTCAGCCTCCTCTAGCTGGGACAACAGGTGTTCACCCTTCCTGGCTAAGTTTTTTGATTTTTAGTAGAGATGGAGAATTTCCCAGGATGGTCTCAAACTTCTAAGCTTAAGCAATCCTCCTGCCTCAGCCTCCCAAGGTGCTGGGATTACAGGCATGAGCCACTATGCCCGGCCACTGTATAACTTTGATTCTCCAAAAATTTAACTACTAATAGTCTACTGTTGACCAGAAGCCTTACCAATAAAATAAGTTGATTAACACATTTTTAAAATATGTATTATTACTGTGTTCTTACAATCAAGTAAGCTAGAGAAAGGAAAATGTTATGATGAAAATCATAAAAAAAAAAAAAAGCCCGGCATGGTGGTGTGTGCCTGTAGTCTTCTGTTACTCAGGAGGCTGAGGTGAGAGGATTGCTTGAGTCCAGAAATTCAGGCTGTAGTGAGCTATGATCGTGCCGCTGTACTGCACCCCTGGTGACAGAGCAAGACCTTGTCTCTTGAAAAAAAAAAAAGAAAATCATAAGGAAGAGAAAAATACATTTACTATTCACTAAGTGGAAGTGGATCATCATAATGGTCTTCATGTTGAGTAGGCTGAGGAGGAAGAGGAAGAGTTGATCATATTGTCTCTGGTGACAGAGGCTCAAGGAAATCCATATGTAAGTGGACACTTGAAGTTCAAATCTGTTGTTCAAGGGTCAACTGTATTTCAGGTATACTGATTGACTTTTAAATTTAATTTTTATTATTGGCTGAAACGGTAGTTTTAAAAAAGCCTGTTACTTGTCATTTTGGTTCCATGTGCAATTGAGTACCTGAAATTTAGGTTAAACTATACCATTGTTTTATTCTGGTAACAGCACTTTAAGTTTGGGGCCAAAGGTTGGGAATACTCTGATACAGTAACATCTCAATGCTAGTTTTTGCGAAAGTAGAAACTTTTGCAATGGCCTCTAAACTGAGATTTTTTCTTTCCCCATAGATTTTATATTGCATTGCCAGGAGAGGTAAAGAGTTACATAATGTCTTTTTTCTTTTTTAAATACACACAGATAGAGCTAATTGACAGAGTTGATGACATCTATCGGAACACTTCATGGGATAATGCAGGTTTTAAAGGCTATGGAATACAGATAGAGCAGGTATTTATCAATAGATATGGCTTATATTACTTAAGTTTTGTAATGTAAATATTTGTCACTTGTATTCAAAACCTAAAAACTTGTCCTTAACAATAATTGTAAATAAGTTTTCTCAGATGCCAATGATTTTTTATGATGAATTGTGCAGTATTTTTGATGTTAATTAGTTCTAGATTGTGAAGTTTTCTGTCCTTAGTCTCGCTTTAGGTAGAAAGCCTTTTATGCTGCTGTGCTTTGTTCCTTCTTTGAATTCATGGCCTTTATATTCTCTGTAGTTTTCTTCCCCCCTCCGATTATGCTTAAGTCTTTAGTTAAAACTCTGGCATGCACCATTGAATCCTTAGTCAGAAAATTTACTAAAAAATACTGTGTACCTTTGCAAGGCTGTATTTATATATACAGAACCTTTAGGTTCTTTCCTCTCAGATATCTCCTTCTGATTTCTTGTAATCTGTTAACAGAGTGTGTCTAGTAATGTTATATTAATGTCATCTTAATAATAGCTCATATTAAAAGTTATTTCAAATTGCTAGGACTAATTAAAAAGGCTTCTGACAAAGGGTATTGCTTTGGGCAGAGAGACATTTTGATATGTAAATTATATAAATTGTTATCTCTATTTTTTTCCAAGCTTTTTGTAGTAAACCATATTTTTATAAGTTATATAGTATAGAATTTAGAGGTTGAAAAAATTTTTAAAAATCATTCACCATGTTTATAAATGTTAAACTTTGATATTACTTGTATAAAACTAAGAGAATTATTTTTCCCTTTTCATTCTCTTTCACTGTTACGCATTTTCTTTTTAAGTTATTATTTGAATAGGTAACATGTACACAGTACAAAAGCCAGTGAAAAGTAAGTCTCTGCAGCCTGTTTATTGTCAAACCAGTTCCTTTCCCCAAAGACATTCATGTCACTAGTTTCATATGTATCTTTCTAGAGATGTCGTATGCAGGTATAGTGTATGTATATGTCTGTATTTGACACAACGGTGCTATGCAGTACACTTTTACACCTTGCTTTTTCATTTCACAGTATGTTGGAGAGTACTTCATGTTCATGCATGTAAAGCTGCTTCACTTGTTTTATTATAAATAGCTGCATCATGTTTGAGTTTCAGGGAACCTGTAAATTTTCTTTTTGCTTTAGGCATTTGGAACCAGTCGAAGAAACAGGAATAATATAGGAGATTAAAACATTAACTTCTTTACATCTGATGAAGGATGGATTGGAGGGTGTGGTTTAGATGTGTATCATGGTGGGCTTCTAAGTAGTTCTATCCCAGATTTGACCTTGACCAGCCACCATCAAAACTGCAGAGTCCACCCCAGTAAACTTACCACACAGTGGCAGAGGAGACCAGAATGGGCCTTCTCTGCAGGCAGGCAGGCAGGCAGGCAGGCAGAGAGACTCACAGAAACTCTGAGCTGAGCATGGTTTCCTTCTTTATCTCACACTTACTAATGGGAGCCTTTGTTACTTTTTTTTTTCTTCTTTGCAGGTTTAATATGAATTTGTCTGAAATGCCTGTATAAGGAGAAGACTCTATTCTTAGCCTTTTATTCCTTTGATGCACAAAGAGATGTATATTTTATTATTCTTTCCTGAGTTGTCGACTGTAGTCGTAATAAATATTTTAGGCTCCTGTAACCCAAGTTCTTATTTTTTCAAAATAAACATGGAGGATATGAAAATTTAAGAGTACATTTATAATATTATAAATAATTCATTGACATATGTTTTCCATACCATATGCTTCTCTGTTTGTTTCAAACATTGAATATTGGTACTGAAGAATTTATGAATTTTGGTTTTAAAATGTTTTTTTTCTAGAACGATTCTTTTTTTGAACAGATAAAATAATGCAGTATTCAGAGCCTTCTGACTTATTTTGGAAGTGTTCTAAGTATATGATCTCTTTAAGTATAGATTCGCATTCTCAAGTCTCCACAAGAGGTAAAACCTGGTGAAAAGCACTACAACATGGCAAAAAGTTACCCAAATGAAGAAAAGGATGCTTGGGATGTGAAGATGTTGCTAGAGGTAGGTCTTAGAATCCTGGATATGGTGCTAACACCACTTTGTCATTTCTGATATGTGGATTGTATGTGTTTTAATGAAGGAGCATGTTAGAAAAGATGGACACCCAGAAGCAGTCTCCTCCAGCTGATCCAGCAGTAACCCCATCCCATGTAGCAGCATAGACAACAAATAACAAAAACTCTATGAAAAAGAAAAACGCTATAAAGCAATGCTTCCTTTTTTTTTTTTTTTTTTTTTTGAGACAGAGTTTCACTCTTGTTGCCCTGGCTGGAGGGCAATGGCGTGATCTTGGCTCACCGCAACCTCCATCTCCCAGGTTCAAGAGATTCTCCTGCCTCAGCCTCCCAAGTAGCTAGGATTATAGGCATGCACCACCACGGCCGGCTAATTTTTGTATTTTTAGTAGAGACAGGGTTTCTCCATGTTGGTCAGGCTGGTCTTGAACTCCCGACCTCAGATGATCCGTCTGCCTCGGCCTCCCAAAGTGCTGGGATTACAAGTGTGAGCCACCATGCCCGGCCAAAGCAGTGCGTCTTAACCTTAATATCTTTGAGGATCTAATGAGACAATCAGTGGATCTTCTCTAGAAAATAACATGGATACCCAATATATAGAGTTTTTGCACACTGTTTCATTAGTTCTGCACACTTAGTTCAGCTCTCTCTGAAGCTTATCAATTTATCTTTTAGGGCAGTAATTATCAAACAGGTTATGAACATGTATTGGAGAGTAGAAATATAGCTTGGAGATCTGAAAGTTCTCTACAGGAATTTAAAATTTTTGTGTTTTTATTCTGGCGATTAATCTAAAGATGGCTAACTTAATCATTTTATGTCATTTGGAGTCTTGCCGTATAACAGGGTGCTGCCATGTGATTCCAGTGTCTTGAGTTTGTGTGTGCTATTACTTTGGTGTAGAATGACTTTATATGAAGCGATAGTTTTTATCTTTTAATGTGTTGGCAAGTTTATTAGTTTCTTGTTGTTGCTTTAATTATCACAAGTGGAGCAGCTTAGAACAACACTTATTTATCCCATAGTTTGCATGGGCTAGTCCAGGTATGGTGTGGCTCATCTGGATTCTTGTTTAGGGTCTCATGAGGCTGAAATCAAGTTTTCAAAGCTTCAATAGAATTAAAGGATATTATAACTATTCATCCAGATGGAGAAGCATAATGTGCAGCACCTGTGTGGTACTCATTCATACCTTGTCTAATTTGATCTGCTGAGCACCCTGAGAGGTTGGTTGAGACAGCATCCTTGTGAGGAGGCTCAGCAAGTGTTACTGTTTATTCCAGCTGACATGACAAAGCAGCATAGGCTGGGGGACTTAAACAACAGAAGTTTGGGTTTTCACAGTTCTGGAAGCTGGAAGTCCAAAATCAAGGGGTCAGCAGGGTTGATTTCTTCTGAGGCCAAGGTACTTGTGGTGTAGATGCTGTCTTCTCCCTGTGTTCTCACATGGTCCTTCCCTCAGTGTGTGTGTATATTCTGATCTCCTTATCAGGACACCAGCCATATTGGATTAAGGCCCACCCATATGACCTCAGTGTACCTTAATTACCTCCTTAAGGGCCCTGTTTCCAGATAGAGTCACATTCTGGGGTACTGTTGAGGGTTAGGACTTCAACATTTGAATTGTGGGGTGGCACAATTCAGCCAGTAGCAGGAAGATTAAATGACTTGTCTGATTAGTCATACAACTGGTGATGGCAGAGGTTGAATTGAGCACAGATCTCCTGACTCCTAGAACAGCTGAACCACTGCGCCTGTCTGCTTTTCTGTGAGCCTCCAGACAGCCCATGGCAGGGGAGGAACCAAAGAGAAAAATGACTTATGTTGACAGATGGTCCTCTCCAGTTTTCTTCCCTAAGCCTCCTAGAATATTCTTAGAAGCCTCATCCTTTTACCACGGAACTATCAGAATCCCCATGTAACCACACTTCATTCCTCATATAGGGCTCTCTGGCCTCTCATTTAAAGCATTTTAAACATTGAGGGTTTTGGCTAGGCATGGTGGTTCATGCCTGTAATCCCAGCACTTTGGGAGGCTGAGGATGAGGCAGTGGATTGTTTGAGCCCAGGAGTTCAAGGCTAGCTTGGGCAACATGTTGTACAAAAAATACAAAAATTAGCCGGGCATGGTGAGGCACGCCTTTGGTACCAGCTTCTTGGGAGGCTGAGGTGGGAGGTTCACTTGAGCCTGGGAGGTCGAGGCTGCAGTGAGCTGTGATTGCGTCACTGCATTCCAGCCTAGGTGACACAGCGAGACCCTGTCTCAAGCAAAATAAATCAAACCCCCCCCCCAAATTAAGGTTTTTTTAAACTTGGAGACGCTGGACGGTTATGGTAGAGGTTTTTAAAGTAATGTATGAAGCCCTTTTAAATTAAGAAAAAAAAAATCCTCTCAAACCTGCAGTGTTGATTTAAATGGATGTAAAATCTTTATTTTAGTAACATAAAACTGGGTATGTATGCTTTTCTATAAGTGTATATTTATATAAATGACAATATATTATGAAGCTCAAAAAAGTTTAAGATTAAAATTTCTATAAAACCAATTGAATCCTTGAAATACTTGAGAGGGATCTGTTTTGGCCTGGAGTGCTGCAATCCCCTTATCGAATTGGAGCATCTCTAGTCCTGGGCTGTATGTCTTCAGAACAGCCCTCGGAGGAGCAGTGAGTTAGTTCTGAAGAGCTGGAGCAAGCTCCCGAACTATTCCCTTTTGTGTCCCTTGTCAGATGACAGTGTGTGCCTCTCACCTGTGCAGGTGGAGAAGCACTTTAGGGAAAGAGCAAAGCACTGCACGAGGTTGTGATTGCTGGTGCTGAGCTGCATGCCATCATAGTTCTGTTCTGGAATGTTTAGTTGATTTAGATTACATCTTTTAGTCTGATGTAATTGTTAATCTAAGAATGCTTTTTTTTTTTTTTTTTTTTTTGGTCTTTCAAAGCAATTTAGCTTTGATATAGCTGAGGAAGCATCTAAAGTTTGCTTGGCACACCTTTTCACATACCAAGATTTTGATATGGGAACTCTTGGATTAGCTTATGTTGGCTCTCCCAGAGCAAACAGCCATGGAGGTGTTTGTCCAAAGGGTAAGTTTTTCCATTTCTTGTGTGAATATGCTGCTGGGATTATTAAGATGATTGGATTATATTATAATTCTGTATTTAATAAGCAATTTATCTCTGTTTCCTTTTGACTTTAGCTTATTATAGCCCAGTTGGGAAGAAAAATATCTATTTGAATAGTGGTTTGACGAGCACAAAGAATTATGGTAAAACCATCCTTACAAAGGTATGTTCTTTTATTTCTAAAAGAATAGTGTTAGAGTTTATTGTAGTAGAACCTCAGTTATATATTTATGTAGGTATTTTTTTAAAAAATGTAATATATACTGTTTTTTAAATTTCTGCCTAAATAAAATTTATGTATTTTTGTGGGATATATGAAAATTAAAGCATAAAGAAGAAAATAAAAATGGCCTGTCAGCCTTCTTTTGAAACATGTGAGGACCACTGCTTTTCTCGAACCCTCTGTCCTGGACCCCTCTGACCTGCAGCAACTCTTAGAGCTCCCTGTCTCCTAGTCCTGCAGTGCAGCTGTCATTCAAGGCATCCCACACCCTCTTATTTTCAGAACCCCATGGTCTCCCTCTTTCTCAGTGCCATCATTTTGGTGTAGTGTATCTTGCAGGAGCTTCCTAAGAAAACGTAGATGACCTGCATATTGTTGGGATTTCATATATCTGAAAATGTCTTTATTCCACTCTTAAGCCTGATTGATAATTTTGGCTGAGTATATTCTTAGTTCTCATGTTCTCTATGGTCTTCTGTGCATGTTGCTTCTAAAGAATCTGAAGTCATTTTGAGTTCTTATCTTTGTTTGTCACCTGTTTTTTTCTCTGGAATATCTTAAGATCTTGTTTTTCTCCAGCTATGTCTGTTAAAATGTGTTTGACTACAAATAACAGAAAATTAAATAAGCAGTGGTTTAAATAAGGGGTTTATTTGTCTCAGTCAACAAGAAGTTCAGGGATAGCATTTTCTGGGTGGTACAGCAACTCAGAGGTACCCTCAGTGGCTCAAGAACAAGCAGGAAGTCTTTGTCCTCATGGATGTCACCTCATGGTTTTAAGATGGTTCTCTTCTGTGTTGGAGAAAGGAGGAGAAAGAGAACATGGCTAGCCTAGTCTGGCCCTTCTAAAAAGCTTCTCTGGAGGCCCCATCCTGGCTTTTGTTTATATGTTACTGGACAGCACTGGGTCCCGTGGCTGCCCTTAGCCTCAACGGAATGTGGAAAGCTGGCTATTTTAGCTGAGTATATTGCTGTCCTGGGCAAAATTAGGGCTCATTAAGTAAGGAAGAAGGGGAGAGAGATGTTGGTAGGACATATTAGTATCTGATATACTGATTTTTAATTTTTATTTAATTTTTATTTTTTTTGAGACAGAGTCTTGCTCTGTGGCCCAGTCTGGAGGGCAGTGGCACCATCTTGGCTCACTGTAACCTCTGCCTTCTGGGTTCAAGCAGTTCTCCTGCTTCAACCTCCTGAGTAGTTGGGATTACAAGCACCTGTCACCACGCCTGGCTAATTTTTGTATTTTTGTTTTAGAGACAGGGTTTCACCATGTTGGCCAGGCTGGTCTCATGAACCCCTGACCTCAAGTGATCCACTCACCTTGGCTTCCTAAAGGGCTGGTTGGTATACTGATTTTTTGACTATGATGTTATACTTGGTGTAGGGTATGGGAAAACATTTGCAAAAGACACATCTGAGAAAAGACTGCTATCTGAAATATACAAAGAGGCCGGGCATGGTGGCTCATTCCTATAATCTTCGGCACTTTGGGAGGCCGAGGCAGGAGAATCACTTGAGCCCAGGAGTTTGAAACTAACCTGGGCAAGATGGTCAGACCCTGTCTCTACAAAATTAAAAATAAATAAATAAATAAAAATTTCCATATGTATAAAGAACTGTTAAAATTCAACAATAAGAAAATGAACAACCTAATTTAAAAACAGACAAAAGAGCAGAACAGATACCTCCAAAGATATACAGATAGCAGAGAAGCATATGAAAAGATGCTCAGCGTCATATGTCATTAGGAAATTGCAAATTAACAATGAAGCTGGTTGTAGGGGTACATGCCTGTAGTCCCAGTTGCTTGGGAGGCTGAGGTGGGAGGATTGCTCGAGCCCAGGAGTTTGAGACCCATCCTGGGCAACATTAGTGAGATCCTATTTCTATAAAAAACTTTAAGAAACCCAACAACAATGTGCTATTACTAGTAGCTTATTAGAATGGCTAAAATCCCAAACACTGGCAACACAATTCCAACAAGGCTATGGAGCAACAGGAACTCTCATTAATTGCTAGTGGGAATGCAAAAATGGAACAGCCACTTTGGAAGGCAGTTGGCAGTTTCTTTTCTTTTTCTTTTTTCTTTTTTTTTTTTTTTTGGAGACGGAGTTTCACTCTTGTCACCCAGGCTGGAGTGCAATGGCGCCATCTCGGCTCACTGCAACCTCTGCCTCCCAGGTTTAAGCAATTCTGCCTCAGTCTCCTGAGTAGCTGGGATTACAGGTGCCCGCTGCCACTCCCAGCTAATTTTTGTATTTTTAGTAGAGATGGGGTTTCACCATGTTGTCCAGGCTGGTCTCGAACTCCTGACCTCAGGTGATCCGCCTGCTTCAGCCTCCCAAAGTGCTGGGATTACGGGTGTGAGCCACTACGCCCAGCCATAAGAATGTTTATGGCAGCTTAATTCATAATTGATAAAACTTGGAAGCAACCAAGATATCCTTTAGTTGGTAAATGGATAAACTGGCACATCCATAAAATGAGAAAAAAATAAAAAGCTATTAAGCCATGAAAAGACATAGAGGAACCTTAAAAGCATACTACTAAGTAAAATAAGCCAGTCTGAAAGGCTACATACTATATGATTCCAAATATATGACATTCTAGAAAAGACAAAACCATGCAGACTATAAAATGATCAGTGATTGCTAGATGCTGGGGGAGGGAGGGATGAATAGGTGGAGAGCAGGGTAATTACTCTGTATGATACTTCAACAGTCAGTATAAGACATTATGCATTTGTTGAAACACATAGAATATACAGCACAAAGAGTGGACCCTAACATAAACTGTGGACTTTGGGTGATTTAAAAACAGGTGGTGGCAGGAGCCTATAGTCCCAGCTACGCGGGAGGATCACTTGAGGCCAAGAGTTAGAGGCTGTAGTGTGATAAATGCAACTGTGAATACCCGCTACATTCCAGCCTGAGCAACTTAGCGAGATCCTCCTTTTCTTTTTTGAGATGGAGTCTCGCTGTGTCTCCCATGCTGGAGTGCAATGGCATGATCTTGGCTCACTGCAAGCTCTGTCTCCTGGGTTCATGCCATTCTCTTGCCTCAGCCTCCCAAGTAGCTGGGACTACAGGCACCCCCACCACCACGCCCGGCTAATTTTTTGTATTTTTAGTAGAGACGGGGTTTCACTGTGTTAGCCAGGATGGTCTCAATCTCCTGACCTTGTGATCTGCCCGCCTTGGCCTCCCAAAGTGTTGGAATTACAGGCGTGAGCCACCGTGCCTGGCCTGAGACCCTGTCTCTTTTTATTTATATATATATATATATATATATATATATATATATATATATATATATATATTTATATTTTAAATTTAAGTTCTAGGATACATGTGCACAACGTGCAGGTTTGTTACATATGTATACATGTGCCATGTTGGTGTGCTGCACCCATTAACTCGTCATTTACATTAGGTATATCTCCTAATGCTATCCCTTCCCCCTTCCCCCTCCCCCCACCCCACGACAGGCACCGGTGTGTGATGTTCCCCTTCCTGTGTCCAAGTGTTCTCATTGTTCAATTCCCACCTTTGAGTGAGAACATGCGGTGTTTGGCTTTTGTCCTTGCGATAGTTTGCTGAGAATGATGGTTTCCAGCTTCATCCATGTCCCTACGAAGGACATGAACTCATCCTTTTTTATGGCTGCATAGTATTCCATGGTGTATATGTGCCACATTTTCTTAATCCAGTCTATCATTGTTGGACAATGTTGAACAATAATGTAGAGTGGTATGAGAAAAGAAAAAGACACTAATTAGCTTTTGGGAATCTTTTAATTTCTTTTTTTCTTTTCTTTTTTTTTTTTTTGAGATGGAGTTTTCTCTTGTTGCCCAGGCTGGAGTGCAATGGTGTGATCTTGGCTCACTGCAACCTCCGCCTCCCGGATTCAAGCAATTCTCCTGCCTCTTTCTCCTGAGCAGCTGGGATTACAGGCATGCGCCATCACGACCAGCTAATTTTGTATTTTTAGTAGAGATGGGGTTTCTTCATGTTGGTCAGGCTGGCTCTCAGGTGATCCGTCTGCCTCGGCCTCCCAAACTGCTGGATTACAGGCGTGAGCCACCGTGCTTGGCCTTAATTTCTAAATTTATTTTTTTCTTATGGTACTTTGTTTTAGGGGAAAAAATCTCTCAAACTGTGTTTTCCCTCTATTCTCACATCACAACCATCATCATCAACACAGAAGACTTGTGTGACCAGACCAAACGTGTGGGGATTTCCCCCTACATATCAAGCAGTAGACATCAGCTAGGTGTCCTCCAATTCAATTCAAACACTCTCCACCCGGAAATAGTATCAGATCTCACAGTTTGAGGGCCCAGTCCCACAAGACTGACTGTTCCCTCCTCCCCACCAGTTACAAGTCTGAGCCTCCAGAACTTCTGACCAACTGGCTTCAAGTTGGGGTTTCCACATTCTCCTCTTTGGGTCTGATTAATTTGCTTAAGTGGCTCACAGAACTCAGGGAAAAGCTTAACTTAGTTTATGGGTTTATTACATAGGATATTTTAAAGGATACAAAGAAGCTGGGTGCGGTGGCTCACGCCTGTAATCCCAGCACTTTGGGAGGCCGAGGTGGGTAGATACCTGAGGTCAGGAGTTTGAGACCAGCCTGACCAACATGGTGAAACCTCGTCTCTACTAAAAATACAAAAATTAGCCAGGTGTGGTGGTGCATGCCTATAATCTCAGCCACTCGGGAGGCTGAGGCAGGAGAAGTGCTTGAACCTGGGAGGCAGAGATTGCAGTGAGCTGAGATTGCGCCACTGTACTGGTCAACAGAGGGAGTCTTTGTCTCAAAAAATAAAAAAAAAAGAAAGGATACAAAGAAATAGCCAAATGAAGGGATACATAGGGCGAGGTCTGGAAGGGTCCCGAGTACAGGAGCTTCTGTCCCCATGGAGTTGGGATGTACCTCCCTCCTGGCACACGAATGAGTTTTGCACCTTCCTGTCAACCTCCATGTATTCAAAATGCTCTCTGGAAGCTCTCTGAATCCTGTTTTTTGAGATTTTATGGAGGCTTCATTACATAAGCACGAATGACAACTGTGTAGAAATGTGATTGGACAAAATGGGTATGTTCTCATACTAACCGACTGAGTGGGGAAGCCCACCAAGGCCTGTCCAGATTCTCCTTGACCTCTCTGTGCAGCATTCCTCCCTCCACAGTAAAGGGCAGGACCCTCTCTAGAATGAGAATGAGAATGAGGATCTCTGGACCCACAATCAGATTAGAGTCTTGCCTTGGATCAGGTAAAAGGAGGACAGGAGAAGGTCAGAGAGAGAGATTCTGTTTCCTGAGGATTGCTCCTGAGCCCTAAAGCACCCCAACATTATAACAGAAGACCGTAACCAGGGCTACGGAGGGTTGTAAGCCAGGAGCCATGGACAGAAACATACATGTGTGTACAGTAGCTCACGCTTTTACTTTTTTGGAGTCACAACTTCTTAATGGCTTGATTTCATGACATATTTTCTTTGGTCTTCCAGAACTTTCCTCTTAAAAAAACACAGCAAAAAAACAAAATTTGATTTGAAATTTTTGAGATTTTTTTTTAAGAGTCATTAGCAAATCCACTAATGAATTTTCCCCAAGCAGTTAGGAGATATTTCTCTTCATTACACCTTTGGGATTTGAGTGCTTTTGCTAAAAATTTAAGTTTTTTTTCCCACTACGGTTTTAATATGAACATGTGGAAAGACTTCTTGTATAGAAAAATGACTTGCAAAATATTATTTTTTCAGGTTCTATGGAGTGATTTCCCCCCCTTAGGAAAAAAGAACTCAGGAATTTTAAGTTTATATGTATATATATTTATTTTATTTTATTTTATTTATTTATTTTAAGACAGACTCTCACTCTTTTGCCCAGGCTGGGGGTTCAGTGGCCTATCTCGGCTCACAGCAACCTCCGCCTCCTGGGTTCAAGCAATTCTTCTGGCTCAGCCTCCCAAATAGCTGCGATTACAGGCGCCCACCACAATGCCTGGCTAGGTTTTATATTTTTAGTAGAGACAGGGTTTCACCATGTTGGCCAGTCTGGTCTGGAACTCCTGACCTCAAGTGATCCAGCTGCCTTGGCCTCCCAAAGTGCTGGAATTCCAGGCGTGAGCCACTGTGCCTGGCCTTTAAGTTTGATATTTTATTCAGATAAATATGGAAAAAAAATTTTAGCTTTATTGGCAAAATTTATTATTCATATAGAAATCATCTGATAATCTGATAGATTAAGTACAGCCCTGCAACTGGATTCTAATAAACCAAGTCCTCTAGGTCATTAAGATTGTTATTGGACATGAATTCAGTCATTGAGAAAATAAAACATTGTTTTGTTGTTCCTCAGTTGTGGTTTTTGTTTTTTTTTTAAGATAGAGTTTCACTCTTGTTGCCTAGGCTGGAGTGCAATGGCATGATCTCAGCTCACTGCAACCTCCGCCTCCTGGGTTCAAGTGATTTTCCTGTCTCAGCCTCCCGAGTAGCCGGGATTACAGGCGTGCGCCACCACACCCAGCTAATTTTTTGTATTTTTAGTAGAGATGGGGTTTTACTATGTTGGCCAGGCTGGTCTCGAACTCCTGACCTCAGGCGATCAACCCACCTTGGCCTCCCAAAGTGCTGGGATTACAGGTGTGAGCCACTGCGCCTATCCGTACTGTTTTTTTTACCCCTTGCTTTTTTTTTCCTTTCTGCTGAGATGCTTTAGGTTTTAACAGACATGTGATTGGGCCGAGGGGCATGTGAGGAGGCTGGACAATTAACTACAGTTAGCTTATTGCATTTATCAGCACCAGATTGTGTGTGGTTGAAATGGCCAAGGTTTGATGTTTTGTTATGAATGTTCCAGTATATCTTATAAATTACATTTTCTTAAATTGATTTGTTACTACTTACAATAATGTTTGATAGTATTAAATAAAATCCTACTTATTCTGTTAAATTCATATAATTGGTAGAAGAATCATAGTCCGGTTATTACTCTTTTTTGAGACAAAGTCTTACTCTGTCACCCAGGCTGGAGTGCAGTGGTGTGATCATAGATCACTGTAGCCTCAGCCTCCTGGGTTCAGGTGATACTCTCACCTCAGCCTCCCAAGTAGCTGGGACCACAGGTGTGCACCACCATGCCTGGCTAATTTTTTTTTTTTTTTTTTTGAGACGAAGTCTCGCCCTGTCTCCCAGGCTGGAGTGCAATGGCGTGATCTCAGCTCACTGCAACCTCCGCCCCCTGGGTTCAAGCAGTTCTCCTGCCTCAGCCTCCCGAGTAGTTGAGATTACAGGCGCGTGCCTCCATGCCCAGCTAATTTTTGTATTTTTAGTAGAGACAGGGTTTCACCATGTTGGCCAGGCTGGTCTCGAACTCCTGACCTCGTGATCCACCTGCCTCAGCCTCCCAAAGTGCTGGGATTACAGGCGTGAGCCACCATGCCTAGCCCACCTGGTTAATATTTTTTATTATTTTTGTAGAGATAGGGTCTCCCTGTGTTACCCAGGCTGGCCTCAAACTCCTAGAGTAAAGTAATCCTCCCATCTCAGCCTCCTAAAGTGCTGGTATTATAAGCATGCAGTTCTTATTCTCTTGTTGATCTGATTATAAGGCTCTATTTAAGACAGCATAGGCCCAACTGGCAGAAGTAGGTGATGGCTGGATATTGAGAAATAATGTTTTCTTTGCATGATCCTTAAGGAAGCTGACCTGGTTACAACTCATGAATTGGGACATAATTTTGGAGCAGAACATGATCCGGATGGTCTAGCAGAATGTGCCCCGAATGAGGACCAGGGAGGGAAATATGTCATGTATCCCATAGCTGTGAGTGGCGATCACGAGAACAATAAGGTATGTGTGTGTCGAGAATTTTTTATGTGGTTTGGAAAGAGGCTGTGTATAATGATCATAATGAGAGCTCAGAAACGTATTCCATTCCTAGGCGTTTCCCTAGGGATGGATGTGCAAATTACAAAGTACCTTGAAACGTGGTTGTGTGTTTTGGGGTGAAGCACGGTTCATCTAAATCTGGTTAAAACTATCATTTGGACTTTGTTGTCAAGCTTAATGGTGTAGATTTGAGCTCTAGGAAAAATTACTAATAATAATGGCTTTTTTTGGAGTTCTGGATTTCAGGGTCTGGTGGGCTCAGGCTTTATGTTAAAAATTTGTCATTTCATTTACAAGTTGTCATTCATTTTAACTCTACAATTTACATGTACAGTTTACACGTTTTTATTAACTTTTGCAGTTAAACACATAGTTTGCCTGACTACAAGCCTCATGGGAGAAAGGCCCTTCCTTGTCTGTCTTATTCATAGCTCTATCTTATTCATAGCTCTATCTCCAGTGCCTAGTAGGAGTATCTGGCATGTAACAAATATTTGTTGAATAATTAATGGAATCATTTACTATTGGGGGTTTCTGATAGAGAATACTAGTTGATTTGTGATACTGTAAAACACTTTCAGAGACTTTAAGAGTGCCGTGACTAACTCTTAGAGTCTGAACTAAAAGTTGTGTTAATAAATATCTGGTTCTTTCATTTTATTTGAAGTTAAACAGCATAAAGCAGTGTGAGGAAAACAATAGTTGCACTGCTGAGTTAAAGAGGGTCGGTGGGGAGAGCTTAAAGGAGTCTGATTCTAATCACAAAAGATTGTGAAGTATTTGTCCTGACTCCTATTTTGAGCTTGGCTGTGGGCTAATGTGCAAGCCTTCCCTGGACACAGAGGGCAAGATTACTTCTGCTTTTCCCTGGCTCTGACACCCTGCTTTCTGAAATTTCTGCCTCCTGTTCTTTTTGTGATCTTTGATTGTTGCATCTCATTTTTTTTTGGCTTTTTATGTATATTTTCTGCATCTCATTTTCTTTGGCTGTTATGTGTAAACAGTTCCTCTGTTACTTTGCATGTTATGTTTTATTTTTCCTCTGCTTGACAACTTGTGCCAGAGAAACATTTTTCTACCCCTTTTTGTCTACTCTTCCAACCTGTCAAACTGTTGAATTTTCCTTCTCTTTTCATAGTCTCTGCATTTCTAATCATGTTCACTATAGTTCAGTGCTGCCCAATAGAACTTTCTGCTGCGGGGCGGGGGATGTTTTGTGTCTGCTCTGCCCAGTATAGTAGCCACTAGCCCAGTGGAGCAATTGAAATGTGGCTAGAAACTGAGGAACTGAATTGTAAATTCTATTTTATTTAAATTTTTAATAATGTTTGCCTGTGATGGGAGACGGGAATGGGCATTAACTGTAAAAGGACATGAGTGAGATTACTGGAAGGATGGAAATGTCCTAAAATTGACTTATAGCAATGGTTTCAACACTTGGTAAAGTTATTAGAAATCACTGAGTTATATACTTGAAATGGATCAATTTTGTGATATGTGAAATATGTCTTAATAAAGTTGTTAATAAGCCAACAAACAAAAACAGCAGTGTGGGAGCAGAGGAAAAGTAGCGCGGATGTAGAGGAGCTGTGAAGTCATAAGTTGATTATTGTTGAAGCTGGTGAGGGGCACGGGGGCATTCATGATACCATCCTGTCTACTTCATAGATGCTTGAATATTTCTGTAATAGAAACTGTAAAATATGTGACTAGGAACAAAATTTAAGTAGCCACATATGGTTGGTGGCTACCATATTGCATACTGTTTCTCTAAGTAATAGGTCATATGCTTCTTGGTTATGAGGATAGTGTCAGAACTTGGGAGCAAAATGTTTTACTTTGCAGACTGCCTGGGTGGACATGCATGCTGCTGACTCTTCCTGCTGCCAGTTCTGGGGCTCTTCAAAACAGCCCTGTAAGAACTTGCCAGTGAGGCATGGTGGCTCACACCTGTAATCCCAGCACTTTGAGAGGCCGAGGTGGGCAGATCACTTGAGCCTAGGAGTTCAGGATCAGCCTGGACAACATGTGAAACTCCATCTCTACAGAAAATACAAAAATTAGCTGGGCATAGAAGCACATGCTTGTAGTCCCAGCTACTCAGGAGGCTAAGGTAGGAGGAACCCGGGGAGTTCAAGGCGGCAGTGAGCCAAGGTTGTGCTACTACACTCCAGCCTGGATGACAGAGTGAGACTTTATCTCAAAAAAAGGAAAAAGAAAAAAAAGAACTTGCTAATGAGAATGGGGCCTGGGAAGAACTTTTTTTTTCTGGAGCTGCCAGTCTGTATCAATGAAGAACAATTTATTTATTTTGTCCTGAGCACATCATATTTAGTCTGTGTTTTTCTAGTTTGGTTGCCCAAGTAGGAGTCCCCTTGTAAGAAGATAATGTGCATCTTCTATGTTTTATTTATTTATTATTATTTATTATGATTTTTTGAGTGGAGTCTCACTCTGTCGCCCAGGCTGGAGTGCAGTGGTGTGATCTCTGCTCACTGCAACCTCCACCTCCCAGGTTCAAGCGATTCTCCTGCCTTAGCCTCCTGAGTAGCTGGGGTTACAGGTGCATGCCACCACACCTGGCCAATTTTTGTAGTTTTAGTAGGATGGGGTTTCACCATGTTGGCCAGGTTGGTCAACTGACTGGTCAACAAACTCCTGACCTCAGGTGATCCACCTGCCTCGACCTCTCAAAGTGCTGGGATTACAGGCATGAGCTGCTGTGCCCAGCCTATGTTTTAAATGAATTCCTTAATAAAAATATTTTTAACTGATGAAAAGGGCTTACAGGACAAAAATAAAGTAGTTCCTTGACCTAGAAAGACAGAACCCATCACCCTCTACTAGGCAAGCCTATGAAGAGCAGTTTGCCACAGGTGGACTTCTCTGTGGACAGATGACATTAGTGAAAAGGAATGTAGGACCTTTGAGATTGTAACTTCTTAGGAAGGTTTGCTGAACGGAAGAGGAAGTCTTATGACAAGGATGCAAACAGAAGCTGCCAGATCTTCAGGGATGTGTAGGCAGAAAGCCAGAGTTGCGGGTTGGTCCTTTTATCGTTAGTGCTCTCCAGCTGCTTGGGAGTTGTAACTCTGACAAATCAGTGAAGAGGTCTTCTTATCTGTTCACTGTGAATTTTAACTCCATTTTAACCTGATAAAATGGAACCCAGAGATACATGATGTTGATGAATAAACCCACCAAAATGACAACTGCCTGAGGCCCCGATTAGAATAACCAGACCCCTTAGACATCTGTACTGTAACGACAGATTTGGGCCGGGCGCGGTGGCTCACGCCTGTAATCCCAGCACTTTGGAGACCGAGGTGGGCAGATCATGAGGTCAAGAGATCGAGACCATCCTGGTCAACATGGTGAAACCCTGTTTCTACAAAAAATACAAAAATTAGCTGGGCGTGGTGGCATGCACCTGTAGTCCTAGCTACTCAGGAGGCTGAGGCAGAAGAATCACTTGAACCCGGGAGGCGGAGGTTACAATAAGCCAAGATTGTGCCTCTGTAGTCCAGCCTGGTGACAGAGCAAGACTCCATCTAAAAAAAAAAAAAAAAAAAAAAAAAAACAGATTTGAAGATGTTTTTTAAAAAGCCAGTTAGTATTTCTGTGTAAGATGAGGTCTTTGCTATCTTTCTGAAAGTAGCTCCTTTGGTGTCTGATTTGGTGGTTACAGGCACCTTTGGAGGGTCTCATACACTTGGCTCTCAGGGGCTTCATGATTGTTGTCTGGGGTGAAAGTGAAGCCATTTTGGCATCTGCAGAGCACTTTGGAGACCCCGACCTAAGAAGTAACTATGCTCAGTTTTCCCTAAGCCTCTTCTTTTTTTGATAACTTCAGGAGGTCTGGAAAATGACCGCAGTTTTAGAGCTCCTGATAAAACCCTCAGCCTTAAAAGGGAGTTATCCTAGTGGTTCTGTACTCCAGGGTGGGAAGGTAGTGTAGAGACTTTTTGAGACACTGGTCTTGCTGGTTGATGAAAATGTTTAGGTAACAATTGGGGATTTAATTTATATAAAATGTACTATTATGCCTATTACTAAGCTCAAATATTTAAACAACTTTAAACTTGGATCATCCATATAAGTAGCCAAAGAAGGAGAAGAAACCCCTTCTCCTGCATTTCTGAATTGTTTTGTCTGGGACAACATTAACCTACAGAGGTTCTTAATTCTTGTCACTGCATGAGTGGCATGCCTGAGGTGAGGAGATTTCAAGTCTGATGGAGCTACGAGCTCTCTGTTGTGCTATTCTGCTTGTCCTTAAGTGGGCTTTGACTGGGATGTTTGGTCTCAGTATTTGTATAGCTTGCTTACCTTCGTAAGAAGAATTATAGATCCTTAACCAAGTTCACATCAGCCATTTAGCATTCTATGGAGGGAGGTTCCCAGTTCCATATCAGTGGCCTTTGGAGGAGACTGTGGTGGCCTTGCCATAACTCCAGGGTGGCTCTGATGGTGGTTTTACATTAAGAGTTTGTCTCTAGAGAAGACACAAACATTGCATGGGAATACATTTTTATGATATTATTTTGGGTCCTTATTGCCTTTTTTCTCTCAAGATGTTTTCAAACTGCAGTAAACAATCAATCTATAAGACCATTGAAAGTAAGGCCCAGGAGTGTTTTCAAGAACGCAGCAATAAAGTTTGTGGGAACTCGAGGGTGGATGAAGGAGAAGAGTGTGATCCTGGCATCATGTATCTGAACAACGACACCTGCTGCAACAGCGACTGCACGTTGAAGGAAGGTGTCCAGTGCAGGTGAGGAGTCTCTCCACAGGGATTTTGGGAAGTTGGTATAACAAGATGTCCAAAATAAGAGAAGACTGAACTTGCAGGGGCTTTAGAATCAACTGAAAGGGGTGTGAGTGTGTTTGTTTACATCTACCTCTTTTGCCCTTCACAGCAAGAAATTGCTTTCTGGGCCTGGCACGGTGGCTCACTCCTGTCATCCCAGCACTCTGGGAGGCTGAGGTGGGAGAAATGCTTGAGAACAGCCTGGGCAACATAGTGAGACACTATCTCTTAAAAAACAAAAAACAAATAAGAAAAGAAGAAGCTTTCTGGAAAGCAGTGTGACATTATGTAACAAAATCCTTGACCTTGCATGCTCCTTGGTTTAGCAGTCCTATAGTTAAAAGAATCTTTTTTTTTTTTTTTTTTCCTGAGACAGAGTCTTGCTCTGTCGCCAGGCTGGAGTGCAGTGGCGCGATCTTGGCTTACTGCAATCTTTGTCTCCCGGGTTCAAGTGATTCCCCTGCCTTAGCCTCCTGAGTAGTGGGACTACAGGCACGCACCACCATGCCCGGCTAATTTTTTGTATTAGTAGAGACGAGGTTTCACTACGGTGGCCAGGATGGTCTCCAACTCCTGACCTTGTGATCCATCCACCTTGGCCTCCCAAAGTGCTGGGATTACAGGTGTGAGGCACCGTGCCTGGCAAAATAATCTTTTTTATTTAATTTAATTTATTTATTTATTTTGAGACGGCGTCTCGCTCTGTTGCCAGGCTGGAGTGCAGTGGCGCGATCTCAGCGCACTGCAATCTCCGCCTCCCAGGTTCAAGCGATTCCCCTGCCTCAGCCTCCCCAATAACTGGGACTACAGGTACGCACCATCACGCCTGGCTGATTTTTTGTATTTTAGTAGAGACGGAGTTTTAGCATGTTGGCCAGGATGGTCTCGATCTCCTGACTTCATGATCTGCCCACCTTGGCCTCCCAAAGTGCTGGGATTACAGAGGGGAGCCACCGTGCCTGGCCTTTATTTTCTTTTTGAGACAGGGTCTCAGTCTGTTGCCCAAGATGGAGTGCAGTGGCATGATCATGGCTCACTGCAGCCTCAACCTCCCAGGCTCAATCAGTCCTTCCACCTCAGCCTCCCGGATAGACAGGACTACAGGTGTGTGCCACCTGGCTAATTTTTTTTGTATTTTTTATAGAGATGGGGTTTTGCCATGTTGCCCAAGCTTGTTGTAAAGTCCTGGGCTCAAGTGATCCACCCTTCTAAGCCTCCTAAAGTGTGGAGATTCTAGGTATGAGGCACCATGCCTGGCCCAAATAATCTTTTATTTCTTTTTTTTTTTTTTTGAGACGGAGTCTTGCTCTGTCGCCCAGGCTGGAGTGCAGTGGCGTGATCTTGGCTCACTGCAACCTCCGCCTCCTGGGTTCAAGCCATTCCCCTGCCTCAGCCTCCCCAGTAGCTGGGATTACAGTGTGCACCACCACGCCCAGCTAATTTTTGTGTTTTTAGTAGAGATGGGGTTTCACCATGTTGGCCAGGCTGGTCTCGAACTCCTGACTTCGTGATCTGCCTGCCTCAGCCTCCCAAAGTGTTGGGATTACAGGCGTGAGCCACTGCTCCTGGCTGCCCAAAGAATCTTTTGGGCAACAGAGATAAGATTTAACAAGGGTATAAGATTTAACAAGGTTTTTTTATGGCTACATCCTAATAGCAAAATTTTGGAAACAATCAAAATGACAGTCTTGGGATATGAATGTTATCATGATTCTATATACTGGAATAGTGTGGAGGAAGTAGGTTACAAGTTAGAAAGTTACCCAGGTTTTCATTTTTTATATACACTGATAGACCAGTGCCTGGCTTAGAAGTAAAAGGGTTAAACTTCAGTTTTCTGGTGAATAATTGAGATTTAACTGGATACAGTGCATATTAACGCTGTAAATACTGATGGGGAGTAGAGTTCTGGCTGCCGAGTGTCTTAGCTATGGATTGCCTTGTGGCCCCACCTTGTCTTTTTTTTTTTTCCTTGTCTTTTTTTTTTTTTTTGAGAGAGTCTCGCCCTGTTGACCAGGCTGGAGTGCAGTGGCGCGATCTTGGCTCACCGCAACCTCTGCCTTCCAGGTTCAAGCTATTCTCCTGCCTTAGCCTCCCGAGTAGCTGGGATTACAGGCATGTAGCACCATGCCCGGCTAATTTTTTGTATCTTTAGTAGAGACGGAGTTTCACCATGTTGGCCAGGCTGGTCTCAAACCCCTAACCTCGTGGTCCACCTGCCTCATCTTTTTTTTTTTTTTTTTTTTTTTTGAGACAGAATTTCTCTCTTGTTGCCTAGGCTGGAGTGCAGTGGTGCGATCTCGGCTCACTGCAACCTCTGTCTCCGGGGTCCAGGCGATTCTCCTGCCTCAGCCTTCTAAGTAGCTGGGATTACAGGAGCGCACCACCACGCCCAGCTAATTTTTGTATTTTTAGTAGAGATGGGGTTTCACCATGTTGGCCAGGCTCATCTCGAACTCTCCTGACCTCAGGTGATCCACCCACCTCGGCCTCCCAAAGTGTTGGGTTGGGATTATAGGTGTGAGCCACCTCGCCCAGCCCATCTTGTCTTTTTTAAATTAATGCGTTAAATGAATGAAAACCAAGGGCACCAAGATGTTTCACAGGTGATTGCTGTGTTCCCATTCTTTTCTCCTATAGTGTGGCATTTATGTGACCTCACGCACATTAGGAAGGGACAAAGTGTGTGCAGGTAGCTCTAGCAGCGGAGATGTCTGATGATGTAGGAGTGGGTGACGGAGCCAGGAGGTCTTCCCCGGTGATCTTCAGGTCACTGTAACGTAACTGTAGCGTTTGATTTGATATGGGGCCATAATTTGAATTGCTCTGTTCCTGTCTGCTGTTCTTCTCCAGTGACAGGAACAGTCCTTGCTGTAAAAACTGTCAGTTTGAGACTGCCCAGAAGAAGTGCCAGGAGGCGATTAATGCTACTTGCAAAGGCGTGTCCTACTGCACAGGTTCGTGTTCTTGTTGCTTCCTTGGAATGCTGTGGGTCAAGTGTGTGTGTGTCTTTGAAAAACAAGATTATGTTTTGTTCAGATGAGAGACACCTTATTTTTAATCTCATATGCCGGGTTGAGTTTCTGGCACTCCTTAGTTTGTGACACTTGGCTTTGGTGGGTTTAAGACCTGTTTCTATTTCTCTTTCATTTCCATCACTCTCCTCTTTCTCCTCACAGACATCCACTCTACTGTGGTTAATATTTGCCTGGATATGTGTATATCCTTGAAAGATCATATAGTGTTATTTTGTGCATGTATGTGTTTTTAATGTGCCAAAATGATATTCTACCTTAAATTTACTTTTAAAAAATTCAGTATCATGTTTTAAAGAATTACCCATATTGTGCTACAGATAATATAACAAGGTTTTTAATGGCTACATCCTAATAGCAAAATTTTGGAAACAATCAAAATGACAATCTTGGGATAATGAATGTTATCATGAATCTATGCACTGGAATAGTGTGGAGGAAGCAGGATACAAGTTAGAAGGGTAACCAGTTTTTCTATATGTATCTATATGTATTTCACTGTTGGGGACACCTACATATTGTTTAGTTATATGATTGGCTGTGTTTTACTTACAAGTCACCAAGTGGTAGCTACTTCCATTGCCTTCATCCCCTTGATATTCCAGATAGGACACAGATCACATCCTCCTACGTCCCTTCAGGAACCTGTGTGTTTCTCTGGGTACTGAGGAGTGTCATTGTGTAGTCACAGAGGCAGGATGTGCTGGTCTCTAGAGCACCACTGCTAGGTTGCCTGTGTCTGAGGACTCCTTATCCTGACGTTCTGGCCAACGCTTGGAATTACCCTGCTGTCCTATTAGCATGATGAGTATAAAGTAATCTCTTGTTCTTACTTTTTTTTTTAACAGCCCTTGTCCTAATGCACTTACTTACATTTTTCTTGAGCATCTCTTTATATTTTTCAGCTATTCAGATTTCTCCTGTGAATAGCCAGTTCATATATTTGGTTCATTTTTTAAAAATTGGGTTTCATGTTATTTCACTACTGTGAATTTGGAGGAGTTCTTATGTAATCATCCATTTGGGCATACGTCTCCTATCTGTTGCCATTCTCAGAACAGAAATCTTTAACGTAATCAAATCCATCATTTTGTTGTGTGTGTGTATTTTTTAAACACATGGTTCAGAAAAGCCATGGCGGATGGTTAAAAAGATATTTTCCACAGCTGCTTCTATTAGCTTCATAAGTTGTCCTTTTACATTCAGGACTTGAATCTTTCTGGAGCTAACCTTTCCAGGTGTCCAGTATCTTTTGTTCGGTCAATTGTTGCTTTAAAAATTTCAAAGCTATGTTATTACTAGGTATATAAACGGACATATCTCTACATCTTTATCTGCTGTTCCTTACCAGTATATAATGTTCCTTTTTTACCCTTGCGATGTTTTTTGACTTAAATTGTCAAAAAGCAATATTCAGTTTGCTATTCTAGTTTTTTTGTTCCTCTGATATATCTATCTGTCCCATTCTTATATTTTTCAAAATTTGTCTCTCTTGGTTGGTTGGTTTGATTTTGTAATAGCTTTATTGATACATAATTCACACTCATGTAGTTTGCCCATTTAAAGTGTACAGTTTAATGATTTTTAGTATATTCAGATTTATGCAGTCATCACAATTAATTTTAGAACATTTACATTACTCCAGAAAGAAACCCTGTATCCTTTAGCTATGATCCTCCAATCCCCCCATTCCCCACAACTCAGAGCAACCACTAACCACCCTATTCTTTATGGAGTTGTCTGTTTTGAACATTTCATATAAATGGAATTATACAATATGGTTTCGTGACCACATATTGTATGACTGGCTTCTTTCACTGAACATAGCATTTTTAAGGTTCATGTATGTTGTAGCATGTATCAGTACTTCATGTACTTTTATTGCTGGGTAAATTCCATTGCATGGATATGCCACATTTTGTTTATTCATTCATTGGTTGATAGACATTTGGGTTGCTTCCACTTTTTTGCTATAACAAATAATGCTGCTGTGAACATTTATCTATGAGTTTTTGTGTGGACAGTTCCTTTGGATATTATTCAGGAATAGAATTTCTGGGTCATGTGGTAACTATGCTTAATCTTTTGAGGAGCTGTCAGACTGTTTTCCAAAATGGCTACACCATTTTACAGTCTCAGCAGCATTGTATGAGGGTCCCAGCTTCTCCATATCCTCACCAACACTTGTTATCTTTTTTATTGTAACTATCCTAGGTTTTGTGATAAGGATGCAAACAGAAAGCTGGAGGTCTTCAGGGACCTAGTGAATGAAGTTGTGTCCTATTTTGGCTTGATTTTGGTTTTCCGTGTGCATAGTATGACATGTTGCCCATGTTTTTATCTTTTGGGATCTGTCACTATCACATTACTTTGCCAAATGTTAGGAACCTGATGGCCCGGCACAGTGGCTCACACCTGTAATCCTAGCACTTTGGGAGGCCGAGGTGGGCAGATCACGAGATCAGGAGATCGAGACCATCCTGGCTAACACGGTGAAACCCTGTGTCTACTAAAAGATACAAAAAATTAGCTGGGCGTGGTGGCGGGCGCCTGTAGTCCCAGCTACTTGGGAGGCTGAGGCAGGAGAATGGCGTGAACCCGGGAGGCGGAGCTTGCAGTGAGCCGAGATCACGCCACTGCACTCCAGCCTGGGCAACAGAGCAAGACTCCATCTCAAAAAAAAACCAAAAAAACAAATGTTAGGAACCTGAATATCTAAATCAAGCTTTAAAGAAGCATTTGCTAGCTATGCTCAATGTTTCATCTTCACTGTAATAATAAAATAGATTGAGAAAAATGCTTTCTTTTAAATAAACGTAAGTAAAACAATTTGAAAACGTTTGTTCTTATCAAACAGCCTTTTGTTCCCTTGATATTTTATACAAAATAGTAGATAGCAGAGGATAAGTTCCTGATAAGGAATCAGTATTTTCTAGCAGGAAAAGCTAGAGAACAACAACCTCAAAAAAAAAAAAAAAAAAGAAGAAGAAAGAAAAAAAGCAATTAGCATTTCACAACCAGCAGCAGCAGCATCACCTGGGAGCTTATTAGAAATGGAAATTGTCAGTCCCCTCCCTGGATCTACTGCATCAAAAAATGTGGGAAGGGAGGCCAGCAGTCTGTGCTGTGTAACCTTCTGTCAGGTGATTTCCATGCATGCTAAACTTTGGGGACCATGCTAGATAGATGATACCATTTTCAGAATTATTTTCCTACCTGTCTAATACTCTGACTTTAGTCTTTTAAGAACAGATGCTCAACAGATATTTATTGAGCATTTTTTAATGTATCAGGGCAGTATCATATACCAAAAATACAATAATGATCCACAATATAAACCTTCCCTGAGCTCACTGGACATCATACTTTCAGTAATAGTTTGTTAAATGACTGTTGACATGATGAATGCCCAGTGCTCATGAAAGGTTTTATGAGAACCAGAGGCAAAGTGCCTGGTTATCTGTTGGGTACTTAATAAACCATCACTTTTGTTTGAAACTGGCCAGATTTTCTGTACATTTTGTGTTACTGCTCTGAAACCCTCTAAGTCAGAATTCTTTTGATTGGCTTCATTCTTCAGCTGAAAGGCCAGTCCAGAGCTGTGGATATATAGTCCATTGCTTTCATAAAGTGTTTTTTTTCTCCTCCTCTATTTGTGTTGACTTTTAGCTACTTGTGCTATTCATTTTCCAGAATGATTCACTCATTCCATCCTGTCTCTCCCAGTTTAACTTTCTTTGGTGGGTTTTCTTTGGCATTATTGGCCTGGGCACAGTGGCTCATGCCTATCATTCCAGCACTTGGAAGGCCAAGGTGGGAGGATCCCTTGAGCCCAGCAGTTTTACACCAGCATGGTCAACACAGGGAGATCTCGTCTCTCAAAAAAAAAGAAAGAAAATTAGCCAGGTATGGTGGCGTACGCCTGAAATCCTAGGTACTTGTGAGGCTGAGGCAGGAGGATTGCCGGAACCTAGGAGTTTGAGGCTGCAGTAAGCTATGATCACACCCCTGCCTTCCAGCCTGGGTGACAGACTGAGACCCTGTCTCAAAAGAAAAATAAAAAGAATAATTGATTTATTTAAGAAATATTTGTAGTATACCTATAATATGATAGGGATTGGAGATAACTTAATAGATTTGATCATTGCTGTCATGGGGCTTTCCAGTCTAGTAGAGGGAAAACAGAAAATAACATTAAATATATATATATAAATTGCAAAACATATGCAATGAAGGAGAGAAGGAGTGTGATAGTGCATAATGGAAGTGGGAGGCCACATCAACTTAGCATCCTCAGGGATATCTCAGAAAACCTTTGAGACAAAACTTAATCCATAAGAAAAGCCAGCTAATTGCCCCAAAAGAGTGGAAACACCAGCATTCCAGGTAGAAGGAATAGTATCTGTTAATATTGAAGGAACTGAATGGAGGTTGTCATAGCCAAAGCAGTGGGCTGTGGGAGAGTTGTGTGCGATGAAGTCAGGGCCAGATAGGGAAGGCCGTGGAGTTCTTTTAAGCCTTCATACAAAGTTTGCAATTTATTCTAAGTAATAGCACATAGGATATTCTTTTATATATGACTGTGAGATGCAGAAGTGGAGACCATGCATTCTAACTGGGGCTTGGGAGGCCAGGGACTCATGCAGCCTAGCCTGGCACATAGCCAGGCACTCCCATTTAAATGCTGATTGCTGGTGAGATGCAGGCTCTTGTCCTAGCTCTGTAGGTCACTTTTTGCTTTTGCAAGGTAAGATGCTCACTTGTATGAGAAACAGCGTATTATGCACCTGTAGAACTGGTGGACCTGTGACTCATTCTTTTTGTTATGACTGGTGTTTGCTTCCAGGTAATAGCAGTGAGTGCCCGCCTCCAGGAAATGCTGAAGATGACACTGTTTGCTTGGATCTTGGCAAGTGTAAGGATGGGAAATGCATCCCTTTCTGCGAGAGGGAACAGCAGCTGGAGTCCTGTGCATGTAATGGTGAGCAGTTTTATTCCCAGTCCAGCAGCAGGAGAAAACATGGCCTTTGTCTGCCAGGCTCCCTTCCTCCATTTGGAGGTTGTGCGAATGACAGCAGTGGTGAGATCCAAGCCGAGGATGAGGGGATGGGGAAGGGCAGGGTGGTGTCTGGAGACAGGCATCTCTGCATGCAGATCCACCATACCTGGGAGACCTATCCTGTTGGTGTTTCTTCTTGCTGCAGTTTCAGGCCATATGGCAGGCTTTGAGGTGGGAGAGGAGGGAATTTTGTTGGGGGTGAGTGGGTGGGTAGGTAGAGGTGTGTCCTAGCCTTCCTCTGCTCCATATCATACAAACCACAAAAGCAGCAGTAGCTATCTACATTACATTGGCATGGAACTAGGATACTCCTGCAACAACTCCACCAGAGAGAGCTGATTCCAGGACCTAACCCCACTAGATGAGGATTTTTGCAGTTATCAAGAAGGCTGGGTCTGCTCCCCTCTGATCTCTTAGAGCAGCCTGGGGCAGGAGCCTCTCTCCTGCTGGCCTGTCAGTTTTCCTTAGGTTTCTGTGCTATTTTGGAACCCCTGGGTTTGAGGGCATCCTCATGGACTGGTCAGGGACTGGCTGGACTCTGCTTCCCACCCCACTTAAACCATGGGAGTCGATGAGGGAGTTCTCTTGCTTTCAAAATAGACAGAGAGCCAGGTGTGGTGACTCACACCTGTAATCCCATCACTTTGGGAGGCCGAGGTGGGCAGATCACTTGAGGTCAGGAGTTTGAGAGCAGCTTGGTCAACATGGCAAAACGCTGTCTCTACTAAAAATAAAAAAAATTAGCCGGGTGTGGTAGCGTACACCTGTAATCCCAGCTGCTAGGGAGGCTGAGGCAGGAGAATTGCTTGAACCCAGGGGGCGGAGGTTGCTGTGAGCTGAGATTGCGCCGCTACACTCTAGCCTGGGCAACAGAGCGAGACTCCATTTCAAATAAATAAATAAATAAGTAAAAAATAAAATAAATAAAAGACAAAGAACCCGGTAGTTAAATAAAATCACTGGGTTGGAAGCTCACCATCCATACAGTGGAGTGAGGAACTCTTCCAAGTTCAATAATGTGTAGGTAAAGAAGATAGGTTGAGGGCAGTGTCTCACATCTATAATCCCAGCACTTTGGGAGGCCAAGGTGGGTGGATCACTTGAGCTCAGGAGTTGTTTGAGACCAGCCTGGGCAACATTGTGAAACCTCACCTCTTAAAAAAAAAAAAAAAAAAGGTAACACGTAGCAGATGCCAAATAAATCTGTTGTGTTGAATGCCAAGAGGCTTGGGGTGCTCTGGAAGGACAGAGCCCGACACAGTAAAAGTCCAAGAAATATTTTATAAATTAGTGAATGATGAAAAGGTTTTCTTTTTTTTTTTTTGAGATGGAGTCTCACTCTCGCCCAGGCTGGAGTGCAGTGGCGCGATCTCAGGTCACCGCAGCCTCCGCCTCCCGGGTTCAAGTGATTCTCGTGCCTCAGCCTCCTGAGTAGCTGGGACTACAGGCAAGCACCACCACATCTGGCTAATTTTTTTTATTTTTAGTAGAGATGGGGTCTTGCCATGTTGGCCAGGCTGTTCTCGAACTCCTGGCCTCAAGTGATCTGTCCGCCTTGGCCTCCCAAAGTGCTGGGATTACAAGCGAGAGCCACTGCTCCCGGCCTTTTCTGAAAAGGTTTTCTTTTTGCTTGTTTTTGTGTTCTAGTTGATTTCTTTTTCTCCTAAGTATGGTTTAATTTTCTGGCATTTCTGCCATTCTTATGTATGCCCACATGGCTCACAGATGCCCGGTGTTTTATCCTGTGACCTGTCAGAGCTGTTCTTGGGAGGAGTTGTGGAGCTTTGGCTGCAGGGCTCATGCTCCTGGGGTCACTGAGCTCCCCACCCAAGGGTGGACAGTTGTGTCCCAGCTGCTCTCGCTTTCAGGGAGCCAGTGTGGGCCCTGAGGGGCACACTTTAGACTGAAAAACCAAGGATTGAAGTCAGCAGGGTGACAAGAAAGTTGGGACAAAGGGAAGCATTTAGAAGAGCATTGTGAGGGGCTTGAAGGGGAGAGAATAGTTAGACTTTGAAGAGAGGTCTTGAATCTAGAATGGATTTTTCTCTGCATTTTTTTTTAAACCTTGTGGCCTCTGTCACTGAAGGCTGAGGAGTGTGACCTCAGAAACTACTCCTTGGTGGGGGCTATGGATAGTATTAGCTATTTAAATAAAAAATAAATGTGATTTCTTACCTCTTTGGGAGCATGGTCAGGGAGGAAAGAGGAGGCAGGAGGAGAGGCAGGTCTCAGAACAATCCAGCTGTCAATGCGTGTTCTCTGTTCCAGAAACTGACAACTCCTGCAAGGTGTGCTGCAGGGACCTTTCTGGCCGCTGTGTGCCCTATGTCGATGCTGAACAAAAGAACTTATTTTTGAGGAAAGGAAAGCCCTGTACAGTAGGATTTTGTGACATGAATGTGAGTATTTATGTACAGCTTTTTCTGTAACAGCCAGATAGGAAGTTTTTATTTTGTAAGTACTTGATTTTGCAGATGAAAACAAATCAAAACACAAGTGGGGCTACATCCTTCTGGCCCATTGTTATCTACGGGTATTACTTAGGAGGAGAAGACGGAGTGCTTTCAGGTCCCTGCCTGTAGTTTCCTTCTGTGGTGGGAGGCTTTGAGCCCAGAGACTGAGAAGGACTGGGGTGGGGACTTTATGGTAAAGTTGGTTGGTTTCAGGCAGTGGGTCCTAATTATGTTTTCCTAGATTACTTACAGAACTGACTAAGATTGCAAAATTATTCAGGGTGTGATTTTGAAACAGGTGCTGAATGAGTAGGAAAGACCTAGAAGGCTGCTTGACTTACTTAAGCCAGACCCTTTTGTTCTCTAGAGAAGCATAATTTTTCTCATGCAGAATGATGGGAGAGGGTTTTAAGATTTACGAGGCTTCACAGGGAGTCTGGCTGTGTTGTTCACTGTCCACTGTGTATGTGTAGAGTCCTTACTGGAATGCCTCATCTTTAGCAAACTGGTTTCCTTGATTTTTGTCTCCTGGTAATTCTAAATCACTTGTAAAAATGGAGTAATTATGAAAGTGTTAATGACAGATGTTCTACTTTCTTGGGTACTCATTACGCGGAAGTTATTGCCTTGTGTCAAAGATGGGAAAACGTTTGATTTTAATGAAGCCCTTTACATGTCAGTTATTTTTATAAAGCTACATTGCTTCTGAATACATTGTGTTTGGGAATGATGCTGTATGTATGTTTTTTCTTCATAGGGCAAATGTGAGAAACGAGTACAGGATGTAATTGAACGATTTTGGGATTTCATTGACCAGCTGAGCATCAATACTTTTGGTAGGTGATTTCCCCAGATTACTTACTGAGAGCTGAGTCAATTTCTGTGATGACATTAGAAAAGTGTGCTTTCAGAGTGATGTGCTTTAATTCTGCAGTAGAAGGTGGAACTATTCACAGCTTTAGTTATGAAACAACTTTGTTGGCTAGAATAAAATGAACTCATAGATAGTCTGTCCCCGTGGAGCTTGGATGCACAGATTTTCTGACAAGGGAAATAAAGTCAAAATACTGGCTTCCTTCTTTACCCAAAAATATCCATGTGATTAGCATAAGCATAGTTTAATGCTATAGACTGAATCCTGATTGATGTAAGAGTGTTTATTTGACTGAATGCTATATACTGAATCCTGCTTGATGTAAAAGTGAGCCTCATATTTTGCAGAAGCAGGGTATATCATGTTGTCACGAGTCCATAATTTAATCACAAAAATAATATCCAGGTAACAAAAACTTTGTCTTCTTAAGCATTTACTAGTAGTAGCATTCCATATTAATCTGTTGACACAGCTACTCCAGGTAACATGTTGAATATTCTGCAATCTCTTCCTGTCAGCCAGTATATGAGGGCTATTTCTTTAAAAGCACTTGGTATGGAGAGATGGTGTGGTGTAATACAGGCAGCACAGACATTCTGCTCTCGGTAGTATGTCTAGCCAGCAGCTCTGGCATTTGACACAATGGTAATATCCTAAGAGCATTTCACTTTAGATTTGTGAAGTACTTGGTCAAGACATTAACTGTTTGGAATTGTTCACAGGAAAGTTTTTAGCAGACAACATCGTTGGGTCTGTCCTGGTTTTCTCCTTGATATTTTGGATTCCTTTCAGCATTCTTGTCCATTGTGTGGTAAGTCATCAACTTTTAAGTAATTAAATGTTTTATTTAAATTTTGATCAACTCCAACCATGTAATCTCTGGAAAAGGTAAAACTTGTTCTTAGCAAAGTTTGGCCTGATATTTCCAATAGCTTTTTTTGTTGTTATTCCTAGGGGAACATGTCTTGTAGAAAGCTTAACTAATGGTCTTTTAAAAAAAATACTATTTTTGTGTGTTGGTGTTTTAATATATAAATTTCTTAGGAATTTTATACTTTTAAGCATAGGAGACTGTTTAACTGGATTTGTCCAGGTCCTTTGATGAGTAAAGCCCTTATTGAAGAGCATTTTCAGGCTGACTTCGTTGCAATAGAGCAAATATCAAACATCGGCATTTCAGATGTTCCCCATATATCATGTAGATTATTGGCAGCAGATGGCTATGTCTTCAGCCTTCTGCACAAATAGGATGTAGGGACTGGGGCCCAGCTGTCATATAGAGTATTTACATCTTCCCCAAAAAATAAGAGTAAGCAGTCTTTTCTGTTCTCATTCAGAATCAGTAACAGCTACAAGTTGAATTGGGCTTTGACTAAGGAACTCCTGGTCCTTTATAAATTTGAGGCCCTTTTTCATAAATGTTCTTACGAATCCATTCACTTGCATCTGTGGGGAATGGGGATTTGTCTGCTGTAGAGATGAGAAAGTCACACCCAGGCTTCCAGACTTGTTTTCCCAAACTCTTTCATAGTGGCCTTCCTATGAGCATTTAAAAATTCCAGCACAACTCTGATGACAAAGGAGTTTTTCCTACTGCCTCCTTCCTTTCCTTTCCTGCTGGCTTCTCCTGCCTAGGGGCCATCTCACAGAGCAGCTCTTCCTCAGGGTGGTGAGCATGATGGGTATAGGAAGATCTCTAGGGAGCACTTGTGCTGAAGAAAGCTGAAGGTGACGTGCTTGAAGCTTTGACAGATGTCTCTGGATGACAGTGCCATCCATCACGATTGCTTCTATTGGAGGATGGAACCTATTTTGTTTACAGGGAAGTTGCACATGTGGACAAGGCACGACCCTTGATTTCAGAGCAAAGCCTCCGATAGGAGGGAGGGCCATGGCTTGTTTTTGGTCATAGAATGCATTGATGGCACCCAGACAGGAAGCCTAGTCCTGGATTCTTGGTCCTTGCCCTCTGTCACCTATTATGCTTCAGCCACAGGCAGGGATGGGGCAGCAGATGGCCATGTGGTTAGCCTTCTGCAGAAGTAGGATGTAGGGATTGAGGCCCAGTTCCTCCAGCAGAGCATGGTCCACAGAAACTGTGGAGACAGCTAAGAGAGTGAGGCCATGGGCCGGGGCAGTGCGAAGAATGCTGCAGGCCCAGCCACCTGGGTCTTCCTACCAGTTGCCCTTCCAGTCAGTGCGGTCCTGGTGTACCCAGCATCTGGGACATTTGTCATTTCATGCACAGGAAGATGCCTTTATTATTCCCCTGCCCACAGAGGGATAAATTTCTCAGAAAACATAGCACTTAAACCTTGCCTCTTTCTGTACTTAACGCCAAAATGTATTTCCTTTGAGTGCAAAGGAAACACTTCTAGACTGGTGGCATAACTAAAGCTTGGGTGAGAAATGGATTGTCATCTGTTGAGCCTGCTATCACTTTCTACAACTCAGGTTCTAAGTTCTTCAGTTAGTGTTAGGAATAGCCTGTGATGAAATAGTACTCACTAACTGAATTGTATTTGTAGGGAATGACCTTCTTGCTGTTTCTTTCTAGGATAAGAAATTGGATAAACAGTATGAATCTCTGTCTCTGTTTCACCCCAGTGTAAGTATACCATATGAAAGAAACATAATCTTCGCCTGGTCTGAGGCCCTGTTAGGCAAAGACCTTCACCTGACCCAGCAAGAGCTTTCACTGGCTGATGGAAGGTCATGTTGCAGCAGGAAGGGTCTAGGTTGGAATGTTTACCCTTCTGACAACAGTGATGGTGAACTTCGATTAGTTGCATGGATGGACATTTAAAGAGCTGTGCTGTCCCCTTCCCAAGCCATAAGGAGTGATTTAGCCATTCAACACTTAGTTAATATTTTGAGTTCAATTTCTCTCTTGGGATCTTACCTTGAGAGGTTTGAATCCTCTTTTGGGTCTTCAAATGGTAAGTAAGTTTTCAGGATGCTTGAAAGCTAGTAATTACTGTTTTTGCCATTAAAAGTAATGGCATTAATTACTTTTGCACCAACCTAGTATTTTTTAGTCACTTAGGTTGAGTGAGCCTCACCTAGCACTTTTTTCTTAGCATCACAGTGCCAACAGAATAAGAGGCTGTTTGATGGGTAAGGGTGGAGCTGTGAGGACCTCCGATTCATCTTTTATTCCTATCAATCAATTGAACCCATGTCTTTGCAGAACGTCGAAATGCTGAGCAGCATGGATTCTGCATCGGTTCGCATTATCAAACCCTTTCCTGCGCCCCAGACTCCAGGCCGCCTGCAGCCTGCCCCTGTGATCCCTTCGGCGCCAGCAGCTCCAAAACTGGACCACCAGAGAATGGACACCATCCAGGAAGACCCCAGCACAGACTCACATATGGACGAGGATGGGTTTGAGAAGGACCCCTTCCCAAATAGCAGCACAGCTGCCAAGTCATTTGAGGATCTCACGGACCATCCGGTCACCAGAAGTGAAAAGGCTGCCTCCTTTAAACTGCAGCGTCAGAATCGTGTTGACAGCAAAGAAACAGAGTGCTAATTTAGTTCTCAGCTCTTCTGACTTAAGTGTGCAAAATATTTTTATAGATTTGACCTACAAATCAATCACAGCTTGTATTTTGTGAAGACTGGGAAGTGACTTAGCAGATGCTGGTCATGTGTTTGAACTTCCTGCAGGTAAACAGTTCTTGTGTGGTTTGGCCCTTCTCCTTTTGAAAAGGTAAGGTGAAGGTGAATCTAGCTTATTTTGAGGCTTTCAGGTTTTAGTTTTTAAAATATCTTTTGACCTGTGGTGCAAAAGCAGAAAATACAGCTGGATTGGGTTATGAATATTTACGTTTTTGTAAATTAATCTTTTATATTGATAACAGCACTGACTAGGGAAATGATCAGTTTTTTTTTATACACTGTAATGAACCGCTGAATATGAGGCATTTGGCATTTATTTGTGATGACAACTGGAATAGTTTTTTTTTTTTTTTTTTTTTTTTGCCTTCAACTAAAAACAAAGGAGATAAATCTAGTATACATTGTCTCTAAATTGTGGGTCTATTTCTAGTTATTACCCAGAGTTTTTATGTAGCAGGGAAAATATATATCTAAATTTAGAAATCATTTGGGTTAATATGGCTCTTCATAATTCTAAGACTAATGCTCTCTAGAAACCTAACCACCTACCTTACAGTGAGGGCTATACATGGTAGCCAGTTGAATTTATGGAATCTACCAACTGTTTAGGGCCCTGATTTGCTGGGCAGTTTTTCTGTATTTTATAAGTATCTTCATGTATCCCTGTTACTGATAGGGATACATGCTCTTAGAAAATTCACTATTGGCTGGGAGTGGTGGCTCATGCCTGTAATCCCAGCACTTGGAGAGGCTGAGGTTGCGCCACTACACTCCAGCCTGGGTGACAGAGTGAGACTCTGCCTCAAAAAAAAAAAAAAAAAAAAAAAATTCACTATCTACAAACCTAGAATATTTAAAATACAAAGATTGCCTGTTTTCAAACACTATTGAATAAGAGGGTGAGATATTTCTTAACAACAACAACAACAAAAAAAACAGGTTGTTTTGAATGTGATGAGCCAGCCAGGAGATAGAATACTACCTGCCCTTAGGGTTGGGGGCTGTCCCCACAAGACTTGATACTTCAGAAACCCTTTTTATTGACCCACAAGCAGATATTTGAATTACTTCTTACTTTATTGCTCCAGGATTCTGGATGGGCTGCATTTACTGTGTGAAGGATAAAAATCATTAGCCTGGATTCTGATTTCTATAAATTGCCATTAAAAGCTTTTTTTCCCCTAAGAACTGAAATGTGCTCACCAGCCAAAACATTTTAACTTGTAAATTTTGAGGGCAGTTAACCAAACCTGTGACTAATCATATCTCCTCCTACCCCCCATTTCCAAGGACATTTGTTACTCAGATACTTGTTATACTAATACTTGAACTTGTACCTTATGGTATTTGCTATCTTTTAACTAGTCATGATATTCTTATACTTTAGTTACACTTTTGGAATTTGATACAAGGTTGAGTGGGGTGTGTGGGTGTATGTATGAGTGAAACAGTTCTCAAAAGAATGTAAGAAAAACCATTTTTATAAAATTGTGACTTTTTAAAAACATAGTCTTTGTCATTTATAGAATTAACAAGCTGCTCAGGGTATATTTTATAGCTGTAGCACTGATATCTGCATTAATAAATACTGTCGAAACACAATGGACCTAAGTATAAAACTTCCCTGAAAAATCATCTAATACTTTTATTATTAATATCAGTGGCAAAGGTTTAAGCCTGAGGAAAAAAGCGTACCTCTACGTATTGACAACTTTGAGTTCTGTAGATAACAAGCAGATTTGGGTCTCCTGTGATTGGCTAATGGTCTCCATCTCCCAGCAGACTTAATTCAGGTTTTGCTTCTGCTACATCCCGCCAGTAAGGAAGCAGCAAAGGTAGAGAAGAGACCTTTTTCTCTATCAAAGGCCAGAGATGCGAGAACAAAAATTCATTCCCCTTTGGAGACAAATGTAGTCCATCTGATAAATAAGATGAGAAGTCCTAGAAGGGAGAGAAATCGGTTAAAGGTGGGTAACTGGCCACGTGTGGTAGCTCACCCCTGTCATTCCAACACTTTGGGGCCGAGGATTACTGGAAGACAGGAGTTTGAGACCCTGTCTCTACAAAAAATTTTAAAAATACAAAAATTAGCTGGGTGTGGTGGCAAACACCTGTATTCCCACCTACTTGGGAGGCGAAGATGGGAGGATCACTTAAGCCCAGGAGTTGGAGGCTACAGTGAGGTATCATTGCACCACTGAGTTCCAGCCTGGGTGATAGACTGTCTCCCCCCACAGCGCGCGCGCGCGCGCGCACACACACACACACACACACACACACACACACACACACACACACAAAAAGGCCGGGGAGGGAGGGTATAACTTTTCTAAATGCCAGTGTGTACCATTCTCTCATTTGTGGCCCTGCGACAGAAATATCACCAGCCCCTTTCATTGTAGGCATCTGACCAGAGGTGTCTTGGACTACAGTAGCACTGATGTGCTATTTACGTAGGTGTTTGAACACACAGAGAACCCTGACTAGTGCTATAGTGCTGTCTCCATATTATAGAATTGAGTTTCATGAAAGTCACTCACCATTAAGTGAGCTGGGACCTCATTCCAGGTCTTCTGAATCATATGACATGATTCTCAGGTTATTTGAAAGAACCTTAACAGGTAAATATGGCCTATTAACGTAATCAGCAAAAATGAAAAATTTGGTATTAGGAGTGTTCAGGGGCCCCATGAGTCAATATTGTTTTTGACTCTAGGCAGGTTTTTAGGCAGAAAGAACTTCTACCATCTAACCTAGAACAGTAATTGCTGGGACACAGGAGTCCAGTCTCCCTCCCATTGCCCTGAACTCAAGAGTACATATTTAAAAAGATACACATATTTTTGGAGACAGGGTCTTGCTTTGCTGCCCAGGCTGGAGTGCAGTGACATGATCATGGCTCACTGCAGCCTCAACCTCCTGGGCTCAAGCGATCTTTCTAACCTCAGCCCCCTGAGCAGCTGGGACTACAGGCACGTGCCACCATACCTGGCTACCTGGCTAATTTTTGTGCTTTTTGTAGAGATGGGTCTCTCATTATGTTGCCCAGGCTGGTTTTGAACTCCTAGGCTCAAGCAATACTCCCACCTTGGCCTCACAAAGTATTGGGATCACAGGCATGAGCAGCCATACCAGGCCCTGAACTATAAGAATTTTACCCATACAGCCATTTCTTTCTTGGGGAAGAATCTCACTAGCCAAGAGCTCTGTTAGAATCTGGGTGGCCAACTAGCTTATGTGACTTTTTTTTTTTTTTTTGAGCTAGAGTCTCACTCTTGTTGCCCAGGCTAGAGAACGATGGCACAGTCTCGGCCTAATTCAACCTCTGCCTCCCGGGTTCAGGTGATTCTCCTGCCTCAGCCTCCCAAGTAGCTGGGATTACAGGTGACTGCCACCACGCCTGGCTAATTTTTGTATTTTTAAGTAGAGATGGGGTTTCAACATGTTGGCCAGGCTGGTCTCGAACTCCTGACCTCAGGTGATCCACCTGCCTCAGCCTCCCGAAATGTTGGGATGATAGGCATGAGCCACCGCGCCCGGCCTTATGTGACTTTTAATAGACCAGAAATTTAGATGCTATCATATAATAGTAGCACTTCTTCTTCGGCCTTGGTTTTCTCATCTAGGCAGTTTGAGATGAGATGATCTCTAAGGACGACCCTCTCAGTTTTGTATTAAATTGAAAAAGACATGTGAGCAAAACTAGCCCAATAGTTTGCAGTTTCCTTTCCTAGACAACAGAACTCTAGATGTCGACCCTTTTGGCACTCAAGCTGCCAAGGCCCCTCCTAATCTGGAATTCTGGAAGGTTCCAGTACTCCAGGGTTTCAGAGGAAGACTAGAGGCCTAGGGTCCAGATCTGCTTAGGCTCTCAGGGCCTCCAAAGGTGACTGGTGACTCGGCATCCACGTGGTAGTATGACTTTCCCACTGGTGACCATTTTCCCTATTACAGATGGATAATAAATGTGTAGGTCATTGGAACGATTGGTATGGATTAATATTTAGGGGAGAGGAAAAAGTTGGCACTTGGGTTAGTTTCTTGGCTGTTTTCTATGTTGCTTTGTCCAAGTAGCCTAAACCTAACAGCTAGGAATAGAGGAAACCGGTGAGGCTGTGAGTCTTCCCGTTTGTCCAAAGAGCTTCCCGCACACTGGATCCTTCCTTCCCTTGAGTACTTCAAATATCATCAGTCCCGTCCAAGCTTTCTCTCTGGATCCCAGCATAGCAATGAAGTAGCCTTTAATGTGCCCTACTGAACAAGCTCTTTACAAAAGAGTAGCACAAGGTCACAGAAAAATTAAAAAAGACCAGTGCCTGTCTGCCCCTCTTCACCAGTATCTGTGTGGAACCTGAATTTAGCCATACCTTTCCTTGCCCTAACCTCTGGCCACCATGGACCTGTTCTGTTACTGCAGTCTTGCCTTTTTTTGGGGGGTGGGCTGGGGAGGGTGAGACAGTCTCCCTGTATCCTCCAGACCGGAGTGCAGTGGTGTGACCTCTGCCTCCCGGGTTCAAGCGATTCTCACACCTCAGCCTCCTGGGTAGCTGGGATTACAGGCGCGCTCCACCATGCCCAGCTAATTTTTGTATTTTTAGTAGAGACAGGGTTTCGCCATGTTGGCCAGGCTGGTCTTGAACTCCTGAACTCAGGTGATCCACCTGCCTTGGCCTCCCAAAGTGATGGGATTACAGGTGTGAGCCACCACACCCAGCCCAAGTCTTGCCTTTTTGAGACACCAAAACAGATGGACTCATGTAGTAAGTAGCCTTCAGAGACCAGCTTCCTTCCCTCAGTGAAGCGCCTCGAGAGTCACCCACGTTGCTGCGCTTGTCAGTTCCTCCTCTTTATTGCCGAGTAGTATCCCATTCCACGGACACACCAGTTTCCCTATTCATCACAGAAGGACACTGGCGTGTTTCCAGCAGGTAGGAATAATGCTGCTGTCAACAGTTACACCCAGGTTCTGTGTGAACATAGTTTTCATTTCTCTAGGGCAGATAACCCAGGAGTGGACTGCCAGGTCCTCCCTAAGTGTATGTGTGACTGCGTCAGAAACCAGCTGTCTCCTGAGTCAGTGCACCATTCCATGGGACCTGCTTTTTACCTTTTATATTTGTGCTTTCAGGCTTTAAAACAAAGTAACTTAATTAGAACTACATATCTCAAACAGTTTTATTAGCCAATACTGTATTTAAATTCATTGTTTTACCTATTAACAAGTTTTAGCTTTCTGCCATTCTCTGTATGAAAGAAGAACTTGGCCTGGACGTTCATAAATATGAGCCATGTGTTGCTCATTGATGTCACTGCGCACTAACTCCTAGCCAAGGAGCCTGGCTGAATTAAGCTGCTGGGCTTGTGAGCCATCCTGGAACCTCCATTCCTCCCCTCCCCCAAGCCTGTTTGTTTTCATTGGCTAAAGGGATGACTGTCTTAGCTAAGCAGGGCCTTTCTAGGGAAAGCTGCTGCACACACACCTGGTTTACTTCTGTGTGATCCTATTTACCCCGAGAGGACCGAGCAAGCCACCGTACCTGGCTGTCCTGCATCAGGGTCCACAGGTCAAGTACGTCAGTCCCACAGTCTTGGGCCACTTGTAAACACGCATTGGCATATTCACCAACAACAGAGTTCAGGCGATTTAGTTTGCAACCTATTGAAGAGAAGAAATAGAGGTGGCAGTTGGTAAACCCAAGTGCTGGCCCTTGTGTAAGTTCTGCTCCACTCATCTAGACAGTTTCAAAATGCCATTAAATATTGACCCCACTTGGGCCAGCCCCGGGGTTTAGGGTATATGTTGATGAGCCTTGCAGGTTACTGGTGTGCTGCTCTACCCAGCAGAGGACAAGGTGCAGTGGGAAGAAGGAGCCTTCAGTGGTAACCGGAATCTTCTGAGGCGCCAGGGAGGATGTTCTAGAGGACACCTTGAACAGAGGCAGAGAGGCAGGAAAGGCCCAGGAGGGCTGGGCTGCTTGGAGAGTGCCGGCTGCAGGAGCTGGGCTGGGGGCTGGTAAGGGCTGCACTAGTAGGAAATGCCAGGCCATGGAAGCTGAACGCTGCGCTGACACCGCTGGCTTCTTACATGTAACAGCTGGACCGCAACACAGCAAAATCATTTGTCGGCTTTAGACAAAGAGACCTTCGTTTTGATGCCTACAATTTTCACTAAATAGCGGTGTGCCTGAACAGCTTAACCGTCCTGAAGCTTTCTGCATTCTTATGATGACAGTGCCTACCTAGTTGCAGGAATATTGGCAGGATTAAGAGACTAAACACCAGCAAAGCAGCTAGCACAGAACGATTGAGTGTATCTAACACAAGTGCAGGCTGCCTCATCCTCCCAGGGAGCTGCACCAGGGAAGGCTGGAGTGCAGTATCTGGGGATTGTGCTAGGTTGGTTTGGAAGGTGGGGCTGGGGCTAGGGGAGAAGGCTCAGGAGGCTGCAAACAGGACAGTGAGGGCTGGCGAGAGGCGGACTACAGAATGGTATTAAAGAGAAAGCATGAGGATATGGGCAACTGGATGCGGGCCACAGGAGGACCTATGCTGGCCCAGGCTCTACATCACAGCGAAGAAACTATTCACCAGCTTTGATTCATACTTGGGATCAATTGTTTATAAAATTCACCTAGATTATAACTAGCTACCCCATCCCTACAAAAAAATTTAAAAAATTAGCTGAGCATGGTTGCACATGCCTGTGGTTCCAGCTACTTGGGAGGCTGAGGCAAGAAGATCACCTGAGCCCAGAGGTGGAGGCTGCAGTGAGCTATGAGTAATCCACTGCCCTACACAGCCTGGGTGACACAGCAAGACCATCTCAAAAAATAACCTGCTGAATTTCTAGGGGACCAGTTATTGAGATGTGACCCCTCCTCTACCTGCTTTGCCCATCACTGACCTTTTAAAAAGTCTGCATTGGGCTACATTCAAGGCTAGAAAGGGGAAATGAAATTAAACATTCAGAATTTCATATATATTATTTTCCTGGGAAACAGTAGACAAAAAGAAGTCTAAACAGCTTCTGTGGACCATGCTATGTAACATTTTTCCCCTTTTGTTAAAGCCAAGATGACACTGCCCCCCAAAGCAGTTAGGGCTGCAGGCCCAGAAGCAAGCTGGGGCTCTGAAGTTGTCTCCAGGGGAGCTTTGTGGGCCTTAAACACCTCCCCTTCCCTGCAGAACACTCTGGTGTCTCATGCACAGCAATAGGGCCCCTCTGCCCTGATGTGATGCCCAGAACCTACTGTCACCACGTCCCGCAGGCTGGGGTTTCTCCCCGTTTGTCTGTGCCTCCGGTGTGTGGCACCCCTTGGCATATGCTGTTTGTGACTTGAGAACGCATTGGATCCTTCTCTAAGGATGACAGGCCCTTTGAGAGCAAGGGACATAGCTACAACCCCACTCAACAGTAAACTCATACAACAGTAAGGACTTGAGCTGTGAAGTCACACTTGCTGGATTTGATTCCTGGTTGTGTTGCTGGCTGTGTGATCTTGGGCCGGTTACTTAGCCTCTCTAAGACTCCATTTCTCCACTGGTAAAGTAGGGACAATAACAGCCTTCCATGAAGTTGTGGTATGTGTGCTGTGGTGTGTGTAAGAAACATCTGGAGTGCTGAAAATGGGTCCAGAAATCTACCTAAAAATCCCAGTTAACTCAGAGTCAGACCACACTTTGAGAAATAGCTGTTCTGTGTTGCAAAGCCAGTCATTTGTCCTAGAATGTTGAGTTCTGGGCAGCTTAGAAAACTTCCAGTCCAGGAACGGTGGCTCACGCCTGTAATCCCAGCACTTTGGGAGGCTGAGTCGGGCAGATTACCTGAGGTCAGGAGTTCGAGACCAGCCTGGCCAACATGGTGAAACCCGTCTCTACTAAAAATGCAAAAATTAGCCGGGCGTGGTGGTGCACACCCATAATCCCAGCTACTCAGGAGGCTGAGGCAGAATTGCTTGAGCCCAGGAGGCAAAGGTTGCAGTGAGCCGAGATCGTGCCACTGCACTCCAGCCTGGCTGACAGAGCCAGACTCTATCTCCAAAAAAAAAAAAAAAAGAGAACTTCCATAATGCACATTTTCAACATTAACATACAGCTGACCCTTGAACAACACAGGTTTGAACCGTGAAGGTCCACTTATGTGCAGAGGTTTTTCAGTCAAAGGTGGATTGAAAACACAGCACTTGAGGGATGTGAAACCCAAGTATATGGAGTGCTGGCGACTCCTATCTGATCATTCCTACCCCCAGCTTCTGTGGACCAGTAAAAAGCCCCAGGTGTGGACTTCCAAGTCAAGGCACATCAGCATCAGCCCCCGCAGGCCGAGCACCACAGCTCTACACAGATCTCAGTGGCCTTCATGTGCACCCTGGAGTCTGGTAACTGTAAAGGTCAGCAGATGCCAGGCCCGCGGTTCCCTCCTGACTATCCAAAGCCAGAATCCCTTTTCTAGGTCAAAAAAGGTCTCAGGTATAACATAATGGAAGCTATAATTTAATAATTTTGGATTGAAAACAGACTGAAATGGACATACCGAGCCCCTAAGAAACAGAAGCCCCAGGCAGGAAACCACTGTCCTATCAGAGTTCCTCCCTCAGCATTCCTATCCAGATTTGCCGAGATTGGCTGTGGTTTGTTTACCTTGTATGATGCACTGTTCTTCCCAGGCTGTTTCACAAAGTGGGGTCGGCGTGATGAGAATGACTCGATTCTCAGGGATGTCCACGGACTTCAGGTACTGCACCATGCTCTTTAGGTTCGCAGCGTACTCCTCCAGGGGAATGTGCTGCTTGGGATTCTCATCTGCTCAAGAGAAACATGAGTCCTCACCAGATGCATATTTATTATAAGTGACAATTCAGGTGAACACACTTCTGCAAATGCCTGTTATTCATGATGTCACTGGGGGGATTGTTTAACACCAAGGACACAAAGAGAAGGTTTTCTCCTTATGAATTAAAATGTATAGTTCTTCATAAAACAAGACTTCAAAGGCTCTAACTAGGGGCACCGTAAGTACTCTTGTCTTTTCGTCACTAGTATCCAGATGGTTATTACATCAATTAGGTTGAATTTGTAAAGAAATTAAAGAGCCCACCCTGTTGGGTGAGACGGCCTAGGTTCAAATCCTGGCTTTGTCACTCCTCGCCACAGAACCGCAGATAAATACTTAGACTTTCTGTACCTCATTGGGAAAATGAAGATAATAAGGTCTCCCTCCTAGGACTGAAAATCAAAACAGCTAAGAGTTTACAGCACTGAGAGCAGTGTGCCTTCACAAAGCAAGCACTCAGTCTAAACAAATGGCACCCACGAATACTACTATTATTGCAAAGGAGTATTTTCTAGATAGGCTCTCACTGAAGTATTACAAGGGTCATTGTTTACCATTTGCTAACCACATGTAAGTACAGTATAAAGGAAAAAAGTCACCAATGTTCCTACCACCCAGAAAACCACTGTTGGCATTTGGATGTATATCTTTCCGGTCTTTTCATGAAGATACATACACTTTTAAAAAAATGAGTTTGCACTGAAGATTATATTCACACTGAAGACTTCATATTTTGCTTTTCTCTACAAATTGTTTTAGAGACAGGTTCTCGCTCCATCACCTAGGCTGGAGTGTAGTGTGATCACAGCTCACTGTAACCTTGAACTCCTGGGGCCAAGCGACCCTCCCACACCTCAGCTTCCTAAGTACTGGGACTACAGGCACGCAACACCACACTAGGCAAACTTTGTTGTTATTGAGACAGAGTCTCACTCTGTTGCCCAGGCTGGTCTCAAACTCCTGGCCTGGCCTCCAGTGTTGGGATTACAGGCATGAGCCACCACGCCTGGCTCACATAACATATTATGAGCTTTTCTGTGTCCATAAATAGTTTGCAAAAAAATGAAATTTAGTTGTAGGGTGACCACATGATGTTTCCGTACTGTACAGCTTGTAATCTACTGTTATATATAAATAGCAATACACGGCCAGGTGCGGTTGCTCATGCCTGAAATCCTAGCACTTTGGGAGGCCGAGGCAGGTGGATCACCTGAGGTCAGGAGTTCAAGACCAGCCTGACCAACATGGGGAAACCCTGTCTCTACTAAAAATACAAAAATTAGCCAGGCGTGGTGGCGAGCGCCTATAATCCCAGCTACTCGGGAGGCTGAAGCAGGAGAATCATTTGAACCTGGGAGGTGGAGGTTACAGTGAGCCGAGACCGTATCACTTCATTCCAGCCTAGGCAAGAGTGTGAAACTGTCAAAAAAAAAAAAAAAAAAAAAAAAAAAAAAAAAAAGCAATACACAGAAATCTCCGCACACACATCTGGCTGCGTATCTGAATATTTCCTTAGGTTGAATTTCTACACGTGGGCCGTCCCTTGGCGCATATTGCCACACAGCTTTCCAGAGGATCACAAGCTATTCTCTCACCAGGAATGTAAGAGTTCCAATCTTATTTCATGCGTGTCAGCTGTAAGTATTACTGCTTCATATTGCTTTTCTGAGTCAAAAAATCAAAATACCTTGTTTTAATTGGCATTTTTTGATAAGTTTTCACACATTTTCAAATATGTATTTGCTGTTAAATTTCGCCTTTTATCTATTCCTGTCCTTTGCCTACATTTTCTATTGGAGTTGGTATTTTTCTTATTGATTTCTACACTAAAGACATTACTCTCTTGTCTGCCACATTTTGCAGATATTTTCCTTAACACATCATTTTCTTCTTCAGTTTTTTCGCAGCCTATTTTATTTCATAAACCTGTTTTTCCTCTGTGGCTTCCTCCACTGCTCTTATACTTAGGAAGTGTTTTTTCCTTATGCTAAATTTGATAAAAATTTATCTTTTTAAAAAATTCTGTTTTGAGTTTTCTTATGGTTTTTGGTACAAGATAGAAAGTGAAGATTAATTTCTTCCCAAATATAATGGTTAGTGTGCAGTCTCCACCGATACCTGTCATCTACGTAATCTTTCTCCTAGAGAGCAAGAATTCCTCTTACTGCAGTTGGTGTTCCTTCATGTCCAGCCTCAACTCAGAGGTCTCCTACGGTGTGCCCGTGAATAGCAGACCACAGCACTTCTGTGACACAAGTAGGGTAACAAAAGAAATCTCTGGAAGGTGACTACCTAACTTCCCAAAACAAAGGCTGATTTTTCTCGTCGATAGCACGCAGAAGGCTTTTTTCAAGAGTAGAAGGGGAAGAAAGGCCTCTTACATGGCTAGCTTTCCTCTAGTCACAGCAGCAATTCTTCAGCAGTCAAGGAGAGACCATCTCCTTTTCCAAACCCACGTTCACCATTGCCCAGGATTCAAGCCTAACTGAGGTCAGGGTGGCTGCTGCCCTGACATATCCCTCCCTAAGACACGCCACCAGCTGCCATCAGTGTGATGCAAGCCACAAGGTATCCTTAAGCTTTCTGCTGCCAAATGCATCAACTAAAGAGAACACATTACAAACTTAGCATAGCACTAACAGACTCTAGAAAATATTTAACTGTTTGCAAGATTAGGACTGCCAGCAACCAAGGTATGTAGAAACTGAGTCAAGAATAAAATCCACCAGTGTTAAAGCCAGGAATACATATAAACAACATAAGTTTGGCAAAACTGTATCTATTGGGAGAAAGTAAACAGTTGAAAAAAGTATATTAAATGCAAGTTTGCTGTAACATAAAAATGATTAAAAGTGAGCTAGAAGAACATCAAAAATGCTTTTACCTTTTAGTGCACTGTCATTGGCCCCAAAGAAAATTGTAACTGCTACTGGGATGTCCAAACTGTTTCCTTTCCTGATTAATCTTGGAAGGATAATTTTGGCCCACCTGGTATTGTAACCTGAAAATCCACGATTCAGAACATCACATTTTCTGAAACGAAAAATTTTAAAAAGATGAATTGTGGGCAAGAAGTGTTTATGGTCGCAGTAACCGGCCTTTAGTGAGGGTGTGCTCTCTGGGATTCTAAACCCGTCACGTGTCTCTGAGCCACCCCCAGGTTTCACTTTGATAGGAGCAAGAACATAGCTGAAGCATGCTAATCTTAAGCCATTCAAAGATACAGGTAAATACACCATACTCCTCCGTGAGAGAAGTAATTATATATAAAGGGGCTGTGATGAAGTCTACAGACTACCTGACTTCAAGCATGGTATAGTGAGGTGCTTTTAAAATGGAGTTCACAACAGATAGATAATCTGAGCAAGTATCTCAGGTAAAAAGTCACTAATATCCTGGAACTTAAATAGTTTAGTTTGGTTTATATTTAAACAGTCTATAGAATATTTGAGATTTCTGGTTTTGATTAAATAGTTTTAGTAAATACATTCGTTGTGTTTCAACTTAAACCGGTTAATACTTTTTGTTTCCTTCTTAAAAACAGTTGGATTCACAGTACTGTAGGTGTAATGGGGGAAAAAAAAAAAAAAGCCGGGTTGCCTGGATTTGTTTCTCGGCTCCCTGTGTGACTAGGCGTGACCCTGGGCACGCTGTGCTCCTTCCTCACATGTAAAGTGAGGAGAATCCCAGTTAAGGATTCGCATCAGGCAGTAGGTTTGAAACCCCTCAGAGAATACCAGTCACATAAGAGGGACTCTTTTTTTCTTAGTCTTGGTAAAATGATATGATTTGGGATTTGCTTCAGAATAATCCATAGGAGGGATGGATGGGCTCATTTCACTCTTTGCTTCTGTAGATATTTAAAGTTGTCCATAAAGTTTTCTTAAAATGACGCCTGGGGTTCAACTTATGATTAGTAAATCAATATGGTTCATTTTGCTGTATTCACATTCCCATACATGCATAACCAAGCAGAGAAGCTGGGGCACCCGCGGAGAACTGCAGGCCACAGCGTCAGGCAGCGGCTCCAAAGCAGCACAAGGGGACACTTTCTGACACTGCTCAAAGTTCTCAGGTGGCATTTATAAACTGCAGAACCACCACCGAAACTCAGCCTTATTTCTAAGAGATTGTTTGTGTGTGTAATGATTATAAAATGCGACTAGCCATTTTACAGAGTGAAATCACAATACTTTAATGAAGTGCTGGGCTGGGTGTGGTAGCGAGTGCCTGTTGGTCCCAGCTACTCAGGAGGCTGAGGTGATGATGCCTTCAGCCCCAGAGGTGGAGGCTGCAGTGAGCCCTGATCACACTGCTGCACTCAAGCCTGTGTGACAGAGTTGTCAGGCCTCTGAGCCCAAGCTAAGCCGTCATAACCTGTTACCTGCACGTATACATCCAGGTGGCCTGGAGCAACTGAAGAACCACAAAAGGAGTGAAACAGCCAGTTCCTGCCTTAACTGATGACATTCCACCATTGTGATTTGTTCCTGCCCCACCCTAACTAATCAATCGACCTTGTGGCATTCCTCCCCTGGACAATGAGTCTCAGGAGCTCCCCACAGAGCACCTTGTGACCCCCTTCCCCTGCTAACAATAGATAACCACCTTTAACTGTAATTTTCCACTACCTACCCAAATCCTATAGTACTGCCCTACCCATCTCCCTTTGCTCTTTTCAGACTCAGCCCACTTGCACCCAAGTGAATAAACAGCCTTGTTGCTCACACAAAGCCTGTTTGGTGGTCTCTTCACGTGGACGCGCCTAACAAGAGACCCTGTCGCAAAACAAAAACCACCAAAAACCAAAACAAAGTGCGGTAGAATTGTGACAAGGTGAGTCTTAAGTCATGGCAGCACTTCAAAAAAAGGCAAAGTAGCTTCCTACCAGTGTGGTGTAGCAGTGAAACTGCAAGTTCTGCAGTCATAGCAGCTGGACTTGGATCTGTCTGCCCCTGACTAGGGAAGAGGCCTTGGCCATTTCCTTGATTTGTCTGAGTCTACCCAGCCATCAGTGCTCAACCCTAAAATATCTAATTGGTCAGACTGAGTGAAGAGTAAATGTTTTCTGTTCCTTCTCCTATATACTGATTAGGGGAGGCAAGCAAAATTAATAAAGGAGGAATGTTCTGTTCAGAACTATCCTTCATCCATAAGACGGATCCCTAAGACATTTTCCATCCATAAGAACTCAAGTATCGGAAACCATTCTCACCTGACCAGCCTGTCAGCCAGCGATGCTCCCCATCCACCCTGCTGGAAGGAAAACTGGAGGAAGAAAAGCCCATTATTACTACTAATGACTGTAACCGGGCATCTCAGCGAGGGCAGTTCTGATTGGCAACTTCTGTTTTCTCGGCGCTCCCTTCTTGGCTTTGATTGCTTCACTCCAGGAGGTCATTTTGGGGATTACAGGTAAGTACACCTGGCAGCACTTTAGCAGAGGGGGATTTTTCTCTATCAAAAGCTAAACAGCCTGTATTCCCAGCACTTTGGGAGGCCAAGGCGGGCGGATCACATGAGGTCTCGAGTTCGAGACCAGCCTGGTCAACATGGCGAAACCCCGTCTCTACTAAAATTACAAAAATTAGCCCGGTGTGGTGGCGCACGTCTATAATCCCAGCTACTCGGGAGGCTGAGGCAGGAGAAACGCTTGAATCCGGGAGGCGGAGCTTGCAGTGAGCCGAGATCGCGCTACTGCACTCCAGTCTGGGCGACAGAGCGAGACTCCGTCTCAAAAAAAGAAAAAAAGAAAAAAAAAAAAAAGCTAAACAGAAATCTAAGTTCAGGAAATAAAGTCAAAGGTCAGTGAGGAAATGAAGGCCACACCGCCTCACTGCTTTGCTGGTTACCGAGCTGAGGGTGAACACTTTTTCATACACATTCCCATGGAATTCGGCAGCTCTGACTGCCCCATATGCCTAAACATAATGTTACCAGTTACTGGCGTATACACAAAAGCCTGGTGAAGCAAGTCCTGTCTGAGAAGAGGACACACACAGGAATGGAATTTCTACTCCCTCCCCGAAGTAAGAACCTGCATTTAGAAGACCGTTCCCTTCATGGGAGGTGAGATGATCTTGGATGAACGGATGGTCCTTTTCTACCTAATTCCTGAAGGCGTTTTACTTCCAAGGTCAACCCCTAACGGCCCCACCTGTGCCCGCAGGGAATGGGGCGAGAGAGCTCCTGGCGCCTCTGCCCGGAGCTGGCCGCGGGGCCTCCTGGGACACAGCGCGCGGTCGCCCGCGGCCGCTAACCCGGACCCGGAGGGGAAAGGCCGCTGCCCAGGAGGGCGCTGAGGGGAAGACCGCGCATCTCGACCCGGGTGGGAGGCGGCGCGGGGCGGGCAGCGCGGCCGGGTCCCCTCGCGTCTGTGCCTGGAGCCCGGGCTCTCGCGGACGCCGTCGTGACCTCCGGGACGCCGCGGGCCCGGAAGGCGCAGCCACTGGGGGACCCGCCACTCCTCCGGTGTCTCCACGGGCGTGGCCAGGCCTCCGGCCCAGCCGTCTCGGGCGCCGAAGAGGACGGCGAGGAGCCTCGGCCTGCTCGGCAGCGACCCCGCAGGGAGGCCGGGGCGGGAGGCCGAGCGTCGGGGCGGCCGTACCTGGGTGATGGAGTCCCCGAAGAGCAACAAGCGAGGCCAGAGCAGGGCACTCCCGCAGCCCGCGGCCTCGCACAGCGCCATGGAGCAGCCGGGCGGGGCGGGGCGGGGCCGCCAGCCACGAGAGGCGCCTGCGCAGTGGCCGCCCGTGGGTTGCGGGAGCCGGGCTCGTGGGCACCCACGCAGTCACTTTGGTGACGCGCGAAGGTCGTTGCCCCTTGGAGTCCGTTTGCAAGAAGCTCGGCCTCCGCGCTTGCTCACCCACAGCAAGGCTGCCCCCAGGGAGTCCGGAGCCCGCGTCCCGCTGCGTGGTTCCCGGAAGAAAAGCGGTTGGGGGCCCTTCTAAGCCCACCCCGCGCTCCGCGGGCGCAGGTGCGTTCGGCAAAGGGCAGGAGTGTGACCTCAGGACGCGCGGCGGGAAGCACAGCTGGCTCTCGGTGGGGCGGAGGGCTGCTCCAGGCCCCCCTGGAAGAGGTCGTGGGATGCGCGCGCGGCCTCCTGCGCCCAGCGTCACTCTGGAGGGCCTGTAACACCCACGAGGACGCAGGCACTGCGGAAACCCTGGCAGTACCTCGTGGTTCTGCGAATGACAAGGGAAAGCAGCTGCACCTTCAGTGCGCGCGCAGCCGGCCGCTTTTCTTTTTCCCGCCGTGGGGTGGATGCGCAGATGCAGAACCCCGCGGACACGGAGCACTGACTAACTTCCAAGGGATTCACCTGTTAAAACGTGGTTGTAATGCAACGTTCTTACCTCAACTGTGCAATGAAGTTCGGCAGCCGAGCTAAAAACGAACGGGTGGGAAGGATGCCTTGAAATCACGGAGCTGTAGATGAGTAACAGAAGGGCCAGGGGCGCCGGCGCAGAGGCCGACCCCGCTCCCTGGGGCGGGGCGATGGGCGTAGAGCATGACTTTCTTTAGGTTGCTCGTCCCAAGCTCGCTTGGATCACCTGGGGGAGCTTTACAACTAAGATCCAACCTAGGGCCCTCATTCCAGCCGGACTAACTCACCTCCTGGTGGCAGGACTTGGGCACAGGTGCACTTGTGATGCACCCCACGTGATTCCCACGGGTAGCCCAGATTGAGAGCCCCTGCTAGAGCAAGCAAAGGTGCCTGGACTTCATCTTTATCACAAGGACTTCATTAAGGCCTTCAAGCAGCAGAGGCTTGAGGCCAGGTCTGTTCCAGGAATCAGCTATAGGGGAGGAGATGGAGGTGGTTGCAGGAATTCAGAGGGGAGAGTAGACTTGGACTCGAACAGCAGCAGTGGAGATGAAGACAGAAAAGATTCAAGTGCAACTTAGAATCCTTATTATTAACTCAAATTGGTTACCCCAGAGGAGAGGGTAACCAGCAGCGGTTGCTATCGGCAGATCTTGATGGTTTCAATGGGAGCTGCACATACATGCCTGGAAGAAGAATCCAAAATTCTAAAATAATGGGCAGTTGATCTAGTAGTTAGTTCTAGAATAATGGACAAATTAATTAGCAATTTAGCAGTATTCAGGCTGTTGAAATAAAGGCCATTTGACATTAAAAGTAAACAGGCTCCCCCAGAGAAACGAATGCATTTTATTTTAGGTAACAAAAGTAGAGTCAAGTATTTTTTCAAAGTTCATATACAGGCACAGTCTCAGTGAACTGGCGTCAGGGCCTCGTACAGTCTCTGTGCAGCCAGCTCCACCATTTCTCGGAGGGATTCATCGTCTTCACTTCCCTCTTCACATTCTACAGTCTGAAAGTGAGGCACAAACAAGACTGTTAGAATTAAGTCTATAATGATTATATAGAAGATAAATGAATACTCTTTAAAAAAACCATCATCTCATAAAAAATTAGCCAGCTGTGGTGGCGTGTGCCTGTGGTCCCAGATAAGAGTCTGAGGTGGGAGGATCACTGAGCCGGGAAGGTTGAGGCTGCAGTGAGCTGTGACTGCACCACTGCACTCCAGCCTGGGCGGCACTGCGAGACCGGGTCTCAAACTAAAAAAAAGAACAATCATCTGTGTGTGCAGAGGTCATGGTGGGACTGATTACCATGAAACAGAACGGCCGCCCTACACACTTGTGGGCGTGCAGTGCTTCCTGACAGCAGCACGGTCCTAATTAGTGATGACTTGAGGCTGGGGTGAAAGACTGGGGAAAGTCTAGTAAACTACATTTACATCAAAGCCCACAGTTTGATCTAGTAAATGATACTCCAGGGAAGTTCATCTATGCCACACAAATTACTTGGCAAGGAATGGATGTGGCTATCTACTCAACATTTGGTACTGAATTTGACTGAAACTCACTAATAATCTTCTAGTTGCTTCTTTTTTTTTTTTTTTTTGAGACAGAATCTCGCTCTGTCGCCCAGGCTGGAGTGCAGTGATGTGATCTCAGCTCACTGCAACCTCTGTCTCTTGGGTTAAGGTGATTCCTGGGTTCTCCTGCCTTAGCCTCCCAAGTAGCTGGGATTACAGGCACACCACCACGCCTGGGTAATTTTTGTATTTTTAGTAGAGATGGGGTTTCATCATGTTGGCCAGGCTGGTCTCAAACTCTTGACCTCAGATGATCCACCCACCTTGACCTCCCAAAGTGTTGGGATTACAGGCGTGAACCACCACGCCTGGCCTCTAGTTCTTTTTTTTTTTTTTTTTGGAGACAGAGTCTCGCTCTATCATCCAGGCTGGAGTGCAGTAATGTGATCTTGGCTCACTGCAACCTCTGCCTCCCTGTTTCAAGCAATTCTCCTGCCTCAGCCTCCTGAGTAGCTGGGACTACAGGCAGCTGCCGCCATTCCCGGCTAATTTTTTTTGTATTTTTTAGTAGAGATGGGGTTTAACTGTGTTGCCCGGGCTGGTTTTGAACTGTTTGGAAAATCCACTTGGATCTTGCTGGTGCAAACAGAAGAGCGGCTTCTTTAAAAAATGGAGAGTCAACTAGATGCCAAACTAGAGAAGGGATGAGGTGAACTAAGCTGTATTATGGAAGAGGACAGCAATGGAGTGGCATACACGCGAACCTTGTACTATGCAGTAACCCGGAAAAACACGGAAAACTTCAACCATAATAATATAAAAAGAACAATGTGAAAAAAATGTTGGAAACACTGGAAGCAAATGCCAATATGCAACAGTAGACTGTTGAGTGTGAGAGCACAGATTATTTATGCCTTCACTTTATTTCCCAAATGTCTTGAAACGTAGGAAAGAGCAGCTACATACCCGTGTCTCCAAGTTAAGGTTGGCAGTTTTCCCGTCCACTGTGACGCTAAGAATAGAGTCATCCTTTACACTTACACAGTCTTCTCCAAATATGTCCCTGAAAATAAGCAGAAATGCAGGATTAGTGAAAATGCCCGGCTTTATATATTTGAGGAAAAAATAAAACTGAAGATAGGTCCTAGTTCTAAAGCAGAATACTGTATTTACTTTTTTTCTTTTTTTTTTTGAGATGGAGTCTTGCTCTGTGGCCCAGGCTGGAGCGCAGTGGCACAATCTTGGCTCACTACAACCTCCGCCTCCCGGATTCAAGTGATTCTCCTGCCTCAGCCTCCCTAGTAGCTGGGATTACAGGTGTGCACCACCACAGCCAGCTAATTTTTGTATTTTTAGTAGAGTCAGGGTTTCACCATGTTGGCCAGGCTGGTCTTGAACTCCTAGCCTCAAGTGATCCACCTGCCTTGGCCTCCCAAAGTGTTGGGATTACAGGCAGGAGTCACCATGCCCAGCCTGTATTTACTTTTGAGACAAGCTTCTTATTTGCCTTGATACAGCTTATTAAGTTTATAAAACAGGGAAAATACACAGCTTTATTCAAGAATGATCTATTCAGCAGGCATCATGCTAGGTGGTTTATATACATTATCTTAACCTATAATTTTAGTAAGGATCCCCTTTTACATGTGAAGAAAACAAGACACAGAAGTTAAGTGATTTGCTTAAAGCCTCACAGCTAGTAAACAGCTGAGCCGGCATTCAAATCCAGGTATCTAGGTTTAAATGGCTCCCAAGCCCACTAGCTGTGCACTCCTACTTTAATTAAACTTGGTATTTATTGAGCATCTTCTGTGTGGCAGATTCCTTCTGTGCTAGTAGCTGGGGATAAAGAAGGCACTAAGACATTGCCTCTGTCATCGAGAGAAACAGTTTTGATGGTTAATTTCAACATCGTCCCCATTGGTACAGAGGTGTTAGGAAACAGCAGTCCACCAGCAGGCTGAATGCAGGTAAGAAAGGCAGGCAGTGACTCTAAACAACCCATGGACCATGGTCAGCCTAGGACAGTTAAGCACTGACAACACTGTATTAAGCGGGGGAAGTGGGGAGTGGGAATCAACTCCTTGCATCTTCAGGCAGTTACTGCTCATCATATGTGTGAATAAACTTAGGTGGGACCCTAGCACAAAGGAAAAGATTATATTTTATTTTATTTATTTATTTTGAGACGGAGTCTTGCTTGTTGCCCAGGCTGGAGTGCAGTGTCCCGATCTCGGCCCACTGCAACCTCTGCCTCCTGGTTTAAGCAATTCTCCTCCCTCAGCCTCCTGAGTAGTTGGGATTACAAGCACCCACCACCACACCTGGCTCATTTTTGTATTTTTAGTAGGGGTATTTTGGATGGGGTTTTGCCATGTTGGCCAGGCTGGTCTCGAACCCCTAACCTCAAGTGATCCACCTGCCTTGGCTTCCCAAAGTGCTGGGATTACAGGTGTGGGTCACCACACCCAGCCAAAAAAATTATATTTTAAACACAGAAATGTATTCAAAAGGATAGGAAAAAAGGTTCCATTTTCATGTGATCCACTGTTGGCTTCTCTGAAGAAACCAATACATCTACTCCTATCTAATCCTAAGTGTTTAAACAACTGGGGAAATAGCTGCATTTTTAAGGGTACGATTGGCTTTGAAGTTTAAGGACATGGGAACCTCCCATTCCTGGCCGAATGGAAGCTGTCTCATACTCCTGTTCCTCAGAGTTGAATAGTTCTGGTGTGTTTGTGGGAGGTGAGGGAGAGGGAGGGGAGGCGGGAGGAGTGGTGTCAGGAGGACAGGGAAGAAGGCCAGAGTGAAAGTCCAGTGGAAGGGCCGCAGCCTCCCGCAGACTGCCCTCCCCACGGCTCCTGAGGACCAGCCACAGCAATGTGAACTTCCATTCTGCACCCCGACTGCAGCACGTGGGAGAGCGGGGCCAGTCCAGGGCCACACGGGTTTTCTATTCTTGTAGAGCCCCAGGGAACAGGGCCGCCAACAGAACTATTGTAGTCAAGTCCCTGGTCAGCAACACCCACCTTCTACAATAGGGCTGTTTAACCGGGGGTCCCAGGATAGCCTGTGGGGAGGGGGTTGTCTAACCTCCTTGAAATCAAAGGTAAAACTGCATATATGTGTGTCCCCTGCCCCCGCCCCACAGCCTTACCTGACTGCCAAAGGGGTGAAGGATCTAAAAATGATTAAGATACTCAGACTTCAACGCTGGCAGACTTGAGCCCTCTGCAAAATGAGTTAAGAGAACCAGAGGCTCCAGGGGTGGGAACCAGTAAAATCTCTGGCCTTTTCAACGGCCATGGTAATCACTGTGCCTGCACTGTTGGCTGGTTTTGTATGAGGAATGCTCTTTAAAATCAAAATGACAACACAGAGAATACTGTTTTGAAGATGTATGACAACTTCTATAAACAAAGTCATCATTTAAAGTCTATCATTTTTTTTTAAAGCCACTAAACTGCTGCTTTAGTGGGCCGGGCACGGGGGTTCACACCTCTAATCCCAGCACTTTGGGAGACCAAGGCAGGTGGCTCATGAGGTCAGGAGTTCGTGACCAGCCTGGCCAATATGGTGAAACCCTGTCCCTACTAAAAATACAAAAATTAGCTGGGTGTGGTGGGCATGCGCCTATAGTCCCACTTGCTCGGGAGGTTGAGGCAGGAGAATCGCTTGAACCCGAGAGGTGGAGGTTGCAGTGAGCTGAGATTGTGCCACTGCACTCCAGCCTGGGCGACAGAGTGAGACTCCGTCTCAAAAAAAAAAAAAAAAAAAAAAAAAGGTCAGTGTAGAATTTTGGGGAAAGAAAGGAAGGAACAGAAATGTTAGCATAAAAGCCTTCTAAACTAGCAGGCCACCTTACTTTGTTAAACCGTTTCATGGGGCAAGGGCTCACATCTGTAATTCCAGCATTTTGGGAAGCCAAGGCAGGAGGATCCCTTGAGCCCAGGAATTTGAGACCAGCCTGGGCAACATAGGAAGTCCCTGTCTCTCCAGAAAAATAAAATTAGCTGGGCATGGTGTTGCGAGCCTGTGATCCCAGCTACTTGGGAGGCTGAGGCGGATTGCTCGAGCCTGGGAGTCAAGGCTGCAATGAGCCAAGATCATGCCACTGTATTCCAGTCTGGGCAATGGAGCAAGACTCTATCTCCCAAAAATAGAAATAAAATAAAATAAAATAAAAAGAAATACTTAGTTTAAAGTTAATTCATCGCTTACAGACTAAGAAGAGTCTAGAAGAACACCATTTTACAAAGAATTCACATTTAACAAGTAAATATATAAAATAATTCTTGAAGATACAGTAACATTCAGCTAAGATTTTTGAACTTGTCCTTGATGAGAATGTTTTAACGCTTGCTAACTGTGCCAGCCCTGTGCCAGCATCCTGAAGCACTGTATTAAATGAAACACAAACGGCTGACCTAGCAGGTCACAGGTGAGTGCAGAGCTGGCAGGGAACGGTTCCAGCCCCTCTCTTTCCTAACAGAGAAGCAGGCCTCCGAGCATGGCAGTGGCCTGGCCAGAGCCACGCCCCAGTCCTTGAAGGAGTCAGAGCCGAATCCAGGGCTCCTTCCGGCCGCTGTCACTGTCTTGTTGAGAAATAATGGGTGAAAAACTTACTGGAGCATGATCTCCAACCTCTTGCTGTAAACGTGCATTTCTAATTTTTTAGAAACCTTCTGTACTGCACCTGGGAAAAAAAAAAGCGACAGAGAGTTCAGTTTCTAAATTCCTATTCAGAATAATTTCCAAATCAATAATCAGAATCTGGTTACTGATAAGTTAAAGTGAATAACTATGGAATCCTTAAAGTGACAAGCAGGGATTTGTATTATTTGCCTGCTAAAGGAAATGGATATTTTCATCATTTAATTTCATGTTCTTTTTATGTGTATTTAAAAAAAATTTTCTATTACATCTTTTCACCCTTTCTCCAATATTTCATGTTCTTATTAAAGAACCACAAAATGACACTTAATATTATTTTTAGTTTTATTTCCCACATTTCTTAAACTTTACATTTATGACCACGGGCAATTAACTCCAGGAATTCTAGGGACATATTCAAGCTCAAAGATCTGTGAAGTCTTTTATCTAAAATGTGATATAAATTTAGCTTTCTATTAGATATAATTATTTTAATAAAAATTAATATTTAAAATGACTTGCCCATTAAATTACTCAGCTTTCCTTCCAAAACAAATCTGACAGCTTGGGAAAATGGGCCCCCCTTAATCTGGAGTTTCAGGCATGCTCTGACCCCTCATTCAACAACTCAGTGCATCAACAGTAGCAAAAGAGTGCAGAGCTCACAGTCTGGCACTTCCTCAGAAAGTTAAACAGTGAGCATTTGACCTAGTAATTCTACTCCTAGGTACAGATCCAAGAGAAATGAAAACATATGTCTGCAGAAAAACTTACATCCAAATCTCCACGGTAGCACTATTCATAAAACCCATAAAATAGAAACAACCGAAGTATCCATTAACAGATGAATGGATAAACAAAATGTGTTGTGTCCATACAATGGGAAATTATTTGGCCATAAAAAGGAAGGAAGTACCAATTTATGTGACAACACGGATGAAACTTGAACACAGCATAGTGAAGGAAACCAGTCATCAAAGGCTATATATTGTATGATTCCATTTATCTGAAACGCTGAGAACAGGCAAATCCAGGGAGGCAGGAAGTAGATTAGTGGTTGCTTTGAGTTGGTGAGAATATAGAGATTGGGGCATCATACGTAAGGGATATGGGGTTCCTTTTCGGAGGTGTGCATTTATTTATTTATTTATTTAGAGACAGGGTCTTGCACTGTTGCCCAGGATGGACTGTAGTGGTATGATCACGGCTCACTGTAGCCTTCACCTCTGTGCTCTGGTGATCCTCTCACCTCAGCCTCCCAGGTAGCTGGGACTACATGCATGCATCACCATGCCCAGCTAATTTTGTGTGTGTGCGCGTGTGTGCGCGTGTGCGTGTGTGCGCGTGCGTGTGTGTGCGCGTGTGTGCGAGTGCGTGGGTGTGTGCGTGTGTGTGTGCGCGCGCGCGCGTGTGTGCGTGCGTCTGTGTGCGTGCGTCAGTGTGCGTGTGCATGCGTCTGTGTGCGCACGTGTGTGCGTGCGTCTTTGTGTGCGTGTGTGCGCGTGCGTGCGCGCACGTGTGTGTGTGCGTGCGTGTGTGCGCGTGTGTGTGTGAGCGCGTGTGTGTGTGCGTGTAGAGACAGGGTTTTAGCATGTTGCCCAAGTTGGTCTCAAACTCCTGGGTTCAAGCAATCTGCTCCCCTGTGCCTCCCAAAGTGCTGGGATTACAGGTGTGAGCCACCATGTCTGGCCTGGTGTGATGTAAATGTTTTAAAGTTGATTGTGGTGATGGTTGTACAACTCTGAATATGCTAAAAAATCATTGAATTCTACACTTTATATGGATGAATTGTATGGTATGTGAATTATGTATCAATAATGCTGTTACAAAGAGTAGTGCAGAATTTTAAAATCCTTCAGACAACACACACACACACACCCCATATATATGGATATTGTCATCATTTCATTTCATGTTCATAACAGACTTCACTTTACAAAAGGGCTATCAGAATATAATGAAGAGAAGGCAACCTTGGTGGCATTTGATTGGGATTGAACAGACTAAGATAGGAAGTGAAGGCCAGCTGAGCTCTTAGAAGGATGGGGGGCCTTAAGAGTTGAAAGCTGGGCTGGCCCAAATGTGAAAATCTCAAGTTTGGATGGGAAGAAGTCAGTTTGATAAATAATAAATATACATAACCAATTTCCTCTTTTATATATTTTTTATATATAAACGCGCGCGCGTGTGTGTGTGTGTGTGTGTGTATGATATGGGGGAAAATACCAGAAATAATCTTATGGCCTCACCTATAAACAGGAAAATATAATATAAGACTGTAATTTCTTTCTTCTTTTTTTCCCTTAGAAACAATGTCTCGCTCTGTTGCCCAGGCTGGAGTGCGGTGGTGCAATCATAGCTCACTGTAACCTTGAACTCCTGGGCTCAAGTGATCCTCTCATCTCAGCCTCTCAAGTAGCTAGGCCTGTACGTGTGTGCTACCGTGCCTGGCTAAGACTCTGTCATTTCAAAGAGACTTCAAAAATTATGATTTCTTCAATGCACTTTCAATTTCCCAGCCCAAGTAATTACTTTCTCATGTAACACTATGACTTTTTAAAATATTGTATCATGTAAGTGTAGCTTTATTAACTCACTTCTGCACTCCCACATACCTATTTCAATCTACTCTACGGAAAAGACTCAACTTGTCATTTCTCCTAAACTATTCTAGAATTCAAACCATACTTCATCTAATTCTTTTTAATTCGTGAATTTCAATTGTATATACAACTAACTACTCGCCTGTAATCCCAGCACTTTGGGAGGCTGAGAAGGGAAGACTGCTTGAGCCCAGGAGTTGGAGACCAGCCTTGGCAACATAGCAAGACCCCATCTCCATTAAAAAAAAATAGTAAGCCCAGGTGCAGTGGCTCACACCTGGAATCCTAGCACTCTGGGAGGCCAAGGTGGGCAGATCTCTTGAGCTCAGGCATTTGAGACTAGCCTAGGCCACATGGTGAAACCCTGTCTCTATAAAAATAGAAAAATTAGCCAGGCGTGGTGATGTGCGTCTATAGTCCCAGCTACTTGTGGGGGCTGAGGTGGGAGGACCACTTGAGCCCAGGAGGTCGAGGCTGCAGTGAGCTGAGATTGCACCACTGTACTCAAGTCTGCGACACAGTGAGACCCTGTCTCAAAAAATAAAATAAAGTAAAATAAAAATAAAAATATTAAAAAAACACAAAAACAAAAAACTAACCAGGTGCTAGCCAAGAAAACTATATAACAGAATTTTATACTTTAATTATAATCATTAGTTTCATTAATTACTAAAATAAGCACTTAATTGACATGTAAAAACAATCTCACAAAATATATTACAAAATAAATATCTAGGCTATGAAACTATCAAAAGAAACTTTCCAAAGTTTACGTGTGTATATATATGTATATATATATTTGCAAATTCCTGCATTAATATTTAGACAAACTCATCAGACACGAGATCATATTAAACACAGAACTATACAATCAGACAGGTATACCTGTCCTTAGTAGGTCTGTGTGTCAAAACAGGACACACACATGCTGAAAACAGGTGCCATGTAAAATAGAAGAATGTTATGGAATATAAAAACAAAATAATGTATTTTGAAAATATATAAGATTTCCCCTTTGGTTAAGAATGGGGACACATAAATTGTGGTTGGTTAGACACACACACACACACACACACATACACCACAGATACAAATACAAGTTGTGTTTCCAGAATCTGGACTGAAGTGTCAGGAGGCTAAGAAATGAAAAGGGAGAAAAATGCCATCAAGGAAGAATCGGATTGTTTCACAGAGGTGCCTTGAGAAGAGGGCAACTTTTTCTGTAAATGGCCAGATGGCATTCTAGGCTTTGTAAACCACAGGGTCGCTGTTGCAATGACTCAGTTCTGCTGCTGTAGCAGGAAAGAGGCATCAGAGATGATGAACCAGTGCGCACGGCTGTGTTTCGGTAACACTATACTTACCAAAGCAGGCGGGCTAGGTGTGGCTTGTGGGCCACAGTCGCTGACTCTGCTCTAAATGTGAAAATCCCAAGTTTGGATAGGAAGAAGTCAGTTCGATAAATAATAAATATACAGAATCAACTTCCTCATGAGCAGCATAAGTGTCACATGTACCAGTTCTTGCAATACTTGTCACCTTTGAAAGGAGCAAGTGCTACTTATTAAAACCTGTCACTTAGCCCCACGAGTGACAACTGTCCATGCTGACATATCACATACATACCCTGGATCATTATCTTAAAGTTCATCCTGTCTGTTCTCTTTCTGTCACCACTTACAGCTAATCCAACAGGAAATACTGCTGGCTTTATTAGAACACCTCCAGAATCCAGCACTTTGCGATATCCCCATGACTTCCACCCTAATCTGAGCCACTGTCTGCCACCTGGATGACTGAAGAAGCTCCCAGCTGGAGCCTCTGCTTTCTTGCTTGCCCTCCTAACAGTACTTTCAGCAAGCACCACGGCAGTCCTTTAAAAACTCCGTCAGATCCTGTCTCAGCCCCGCTCAAAGCTCTGCAGCATAGCCTCATTTTACTCACACTGAAAGTCTGAGGTCCTTACAATAGCCAACAAGACCCTATGGGATCTGCCCAACTCCAAACCCTATCAGGAAGCCCTGGGACATGCCAGAATGTCAGATCCTTGGAGGGGGCAGATCTGTTTGCTTTGTTCACTGATGTTTCCTAAGCACTTTGAGGCATGCCTGCTGGGGAGCAGGTGCTCAGTAAACATCTGTCAAATGAATGTTAATGAAAATATGCAAACACTTCATCATCCCAGAGGAATATAAAACCTCATTCTCCATAAACTACAAAATGGGGAAGAACTAAGAAACACAAGGCACCCAGCCAGCTGAACAAATGCTAAATACACGGAACACACGGAAACAGCCCAGTTCTAACCTGTCTGCAATGAACCTCTGCTGAAATGGCCACAGGCTAACCAAAGGAAGGAATGTTTTTATTATTAGCATAAGAGGGATTACTAATAATATAGTGATAATTAATTTAAATTCAATTACTGCAGATCAGAGTAAAGGTACATTTCATTTTGGACCGGAGCATTAAGAGAAATAATCAAGATAAAGGCAAACCAACCTATGACAGGTCATGTATTCCTTCCCGTATAAAACACACACGAGCTATGTGGAGATTATCTGTCATACCACAGCACCTCTTGTTTTTCAGCATCACCGCTAGGCAGAGCCCTCATCAGAACAGCAGATGACATCCTGACAACATCTCTGTGATCCCTCCTCTGCCACATGGAAAACAGGCTGGCAGAGCTCAGACACTAAACATCACCAAAGACCTTGTAGTCACACAACATCCTAACCGGCCTAAAAAAGTGCCATTTTTGCATAGAAACTTCATTTTTCAGAAAAGTATATCAATTTCTAATTAGTTGACTATATTACAAAAAAGACTTCATTTTATAAAAGGGCTATCAGAAATATAGTGAAGAGAAAGCAACCCTGGTGGCATTTGATTTGAACTGAACAGACTAAGATAGGAAGTGAAGGCCAGCTGTGCTCTTAGAAGGATGGGGGCCTTACAGCTGAAAGCTGCGTGGCCCAAAGCCCTGGGCGTGATTCTGCTCTCCGCACCTAACCCTCTTCCCCACGTCACCGTTCCTAACTTCTGTACCACTACTTACTCATGATCTTTTAAAAGATCCTCCTAGGCCCGGCACGGTGGCTGAAGCCTGTAATCCCAGCACCTTGGGAGGTCAACACAGGCGGATCACGAGGTCAGGAGTTTGAGACCAGCCCGACCAACATGGAGAAACCCCGTCCCTACTAAAAATACAAAAATTAGCCGGGCATGGTGGCACACGCCTCTAATCCCAGCTACTCAGGAGGCTGAGGCAGGAGAATCGCTTGAACCCGGGAGGCAGAGGTTGCAGTGAGCCGAGATGGTGCCACTGTACTCCAGCCTGGGCGACAGAGCAGAGACTCCATCTCTAGATAAATTTAAAAAAAAAAAAAAAAAAAAAAAAGATCCTCCTTCCCACCCTGCACACCTTTATTTTTACCACCTAAGATAAGTAAGACAAAAACAATTTTTTTTTTTGAGATGGAGTATTGCTCTGTCACCCAGGCTGAAATGCAGTGGTGTGATCTCTGTTCACTGCAACCTCCGCCCCCCGGTTTCAAGCAATTTTCGCCCCTCAGCCTCCTGAATAGCTGGCTGGGATTACAGGCACCTGCCAGCACCCCTGGCTAATTTTTTTTGCATTTTTAGAAAAGATGGGGTTTCACCATGTTGGCCAGGCTGGTCTCAGACTCCTGACCTTAAGGGATCCACCCACCTCAGTCTCCCAAAGTGCTAGGATTACAAGTGTGAGCCACCGTGCCCAACTGTAAGAGAAAATTGACAATTGCATTTTTTCTGTCAATATGTTTCTACCCCAGGATTAAGACTGTGACACTGAGCATCATGTAAGAATCTTGCGGCATTCTTCTGTGGCTTATATAAATGCGTTGTGGCTTATATATATGCACAGCTGTCTCCTGTGTTACATGCACATGGGAGGAGCCATTTCCCATGAGTTAATTCAACTAAAACAAGTTATCAAATGATGTCCAAATGATCATTTTTACAATTACTGAAAGCAAATTCAAATGCTTACCAGTGACTCAAATGAATAACAGATTTAGATTGTCTAAGTATTTATTTGTTTGTATTATAGATGCAGCATAAGAAATGAATTACAAAGTAGTCTGCTCAACTTTTTTCTCATGAAATCAAAGAACTAACTAACTGTATATTTTCAAGGAACAATAATATTCTCTGAGAGTCCAGGATCTAATGGTGTGTGAAGGGTAAAGGCTGAGGCTTCCCAGAATACTTCCCGTATGGTCACTTCCCCCAGCACAGCACACAGGACTACTCCATATGCCGGAGACTCACAGCTCAAAACATGTAAAGAGCTGGGTACAGTGGCTTATGCCTGTAGTCTCAGCCACTCAGGAGGCTGACGTGAGAGGATCATTTGAGCCCCAGGCATTTGAGAGCAGCCTGGGCAACAAAGCAAGACTTTGTCTCAAAAAAAAAAAAAAAGAAAGAAAGAAAGAAAAAAAAGACATATATTATGCTGACTTAAGTATAAAATAGAATCAAAGAAGTAACACAAAAATATCTTCACTGTTTTCTCTGGTTGCAAATTGTCCCATAGGGAGATTCAATTCTATTCAACAAATTTTATTAAACATGAAGATAGTAGCATATCTTCCTAATCTACTGGCTCAATTCATCAATATTTTGAAATTTCTGACTCAATTATTTTTATTATTTTTTATTTATTTATTTTTGAGACGGAGTCTTGCTCTGTCGCCCAGGCTGGAGTGCAGTGGCGTGATCTCGGCTCACTGCAAACTCTGCCTCCTGTGTTCACGCCATTCTCCTGCCTCAGCCTCCCGAGTAGCTGGGACTACAGGTGCCCGCCACCATGCCCAGCTAATTTTTTGTATTTTTAGTAGAGACGAGGTTTCACCGTGTTAGCCAGGATGGTCTCGATCTCCTGACCTTGTGATCCGTGCGCCCGGCCTGACTCAATTATTTTTAAGAGGACTGTTTCTAAAAGGATTTTATCTTAGTCTTAATTGCAGCCAGGTTTTTGCAGTATGAGTGAAGAGCCAGGACAAAAATAAGCAAAATACTAACAACATGCATTGCTGTGTGTATTTTATATCTTAAAGATTACATAGAAATGATCAAGTTTGTTAGGAGTCTATGTACTGCCTTTTAGTTCACAGAAACATAAGAAAAATGAAAGAAAGGATAAAAATGAGTGGCTGGGCGCAGTGGCTCACACTTGTAATCCCAGCACTTTGGAAGGCTGAGGCGGGCGGATCACGAGGTCAGGAGTTCAAGACCAGCCTGACCAACACAGTGAAACCCCACCTCTACTAAAAATACAAAAATTAGCTGGGTGTGGTGGCAGGCATCTATAATCCCAACACCTTGGGAGGCTGAGGCAGGAGAATTGCTTGAACCTGGGAAGTGGAGGATGCAGTGAGCTGAGATCGTGCCACTGCACTCCAGCCTGGATGACAGAGCTAGTATCCGTCTCCAAAAAAAAAAAAAAAAAAAAAAAAAAAAGGATAAAAATGAACTCTTACCTTTTCTTATTTTGGGATTTGACTGAACTTCCAATATCACAGTTGTTACTGTATCTGCATACATATCATTAGAAGGGTTTGCCAGCCACTGGAAAGCAAAAGGCAGAATTAGGAAGTGACCTACCTAGGGTGACCAACCACAAAGGCTACAACTACAACCCACCAAACCATGGACTGTACATATGGAACTACTGCTTCTAGCATTTTCAATGAAATTAACTGACTCATTGTTTACTGAAATTAATAATACTATAGTCCTCTAATTTTCTGTAAACAAAAGTAAATGGTACTGAGCACTTCCTTTCGACACAGTGTTTTATAGGCATTATCATTTAATTTTCATAACAGCACGATTAATTTCATTTTATAAAAGAGAAAACTGACTTAAAAGTAACTTGCACAGGATAATTACTGGTGCTGGGACTGAACTCAAATTCCTAATGCTTATATTTAGTATAGTATATGACTACAGACAGAATGCGAAGAGGGTAATTTTTTTTTTTTTTGAGATGGAATTTTGCTCCCATTGCCCAGGCTGGAGTGCAATGGCGTGATCTTGGCTCACTGCAACCTCTGCCTCCCAGGTTCAAGTAATTCTGCTGCCTCAGCCTCCCAAGTAGCTGGGATTACAGGTATGTGCCACCACGCCTGGCTAATTTTATATTTTTAGTAGAGACAGGGTTTCTCCATGTTGGTCAGCCTGGTCTCTAACTCCCGACCTCAGGTGATCCGCCCACCTCGGCCTCCCAAAGTGCTGGGATTACAGGCATGAGCCACCGCGCCCGGCCAAGAGGGTAATATTTTTAAATATTTACTTTTGCTTCTCACACTAAGCCTCAGATCCCCTGGCTTTTGTTCCTAGGGTACAATCTCTGACATGTTTACCCTAGGAACAAAAATATATTATCTACTATGTAAGTATAAATGAATGAATGAATGAATGAATGAATTATAGAGGCAGGGTCTTGCTGTATTACCCAGGCTGGTCTTGAACTCCTGGGTTCAAGTGATCTGCCCACCTTGGCCTCCCAAGGTGCTAGGATTACAGGTGTGAGCCATCATACACAGCCTCTAATAGTATTTGGTAGAATGAGCTAAATTAATGTCTCCAATAACTTCCCCCTTTTTCTGATATTAACATTTTATATATTGTTCTATGTAACTTCATGTTTATAGATAACTACTCCTTTTCACTTTCTTTCTTTTTTTTCTTTTGAGACAGCGTCTCGCTCTGTCACTCAGGTTGGAGTGCAGTGGCGTGATCCTGGCTCACTGCAACCTCTGTTTCCCAGATGCAAGTGATTCTCCTGCCTCAGCCTTCCAAGTAGTTGGGATTTTAGGTGCCTGCCACCACGTCTGGCTAATTTTTGTATTTTTAGTAGAGACGGGTTTTCACCATGTTGGCTAGGGTGGTCTCGAACTCCTGATCTCAGGTGATTCACCTGCCTTGGCCTCCCAAAGTGCTGGGATTACAGCTGTGAGCCACTGGGCCTGGCCTGACACTTTCTTTAGTTGCTTTTAGCCTTATGAATCAAATTTAGACTTAAATCACAGAATTGCATCGGGACCAAAGCTGACAAATCTTTTTTGTTTTAAAAATAGAATGTATGCGAGGCGGGTGGATCACTTGAGGTCAGGAGTTCAAGACCATCCTGGCCAATGTGGTGAAACCCCATCTCTAACTAAAAATACAAAAATTAGCTGGGCATGGTGGCATGCACCTGTATAGTCCCAGCTAGTCAGGAGGCTGAGGCAGAAGAATCGTTTGAACCTAGGAGGTGGAGGTTGCAGTGAGCTGAGATCACCCCACTGCACTCCAGCCTGGGTGACAGAGTAAGACTCTGTCTCAAAAAAAGAAAAAAAAAATTAGAATGTATGAATGAAATAGTTCACCATCTACCTTGGCAATTTATATACAATTCTACCTTGGGGCATAGCAGTAGACAAGGTACCTCCCTGGACTATTCAATGATAGGACTCACTTTGAAAGTCCTTCTTTAAACTTAATAGGTGCCAATCTATCAAAATCAACCATGTAATTCCTTTGGTATCTGTCTTCCAAACTCCACAAGGTGGAGTTTAAAATTCTAATAGGAACCATATCACTTAATTTAATAATTTCTATCCTTTCCAGATTTGGGTCACTTTATTGTTGTTTATTTGAATCTTCAAAATTCTGCTCTTTTAACGAGTGGTACCTAAGTTTGTTTTAATTTAACAGAATTAAATTTTTACCTTAAGAATTGTAAAACCTTCTGATATAACTAAAGACATCCTGGAGTACCACAAAATCAGGTAAGACTTATAGGAAAGGACTATATTTATCACACATACTAAATAAGAACCCTTAATTTATTATTAGGTTTTTTTGTGACTACATAGAAAATGCTCAGCTACTTAATTATACTTAATGCTGATCCTTAAAACCACACACACACACACACACACACACACACACACACACACACACATATACTTTCCAACAATATTCTTTTTCTAATTGGGAAGAAACTAATTTTCTCTACAATTGTTCATGAACTCTTTTTAAAACTTTTTTCCCCTCATTGTTTAGGTAAATGATCTTTTCTTACTTCTAATACCACCATGCCTGGTTCTTGTATTACAGTAATATTTTTGAACACTTTCAGAGCAGGTTTTTCTTGAATTTCTAATTCTTCCACATCACCTGAAAGAAAGACATAACTATAAGATGTATATACTTTTCTGATAATCTTCCAGAGACCATTCGTTTGTTTATAGAGACAGCTAAAATAAAGCAGCTACACAATTAAAAAGTTAGTAACTCATTTGTATAGTCAATTTTTAAACAGCAAAGTACAGCAACGGAAAGGTCTGAACATGTATTGCAAACATTCAACTAGATAGCATTTACCCTGGACATCAAACATTTTATCAGTGGCAAACTTAAGTGATGCTCAAACATCTATCTTTTGTATACAAGAGATTTAGCCTTCCACTAGCATCTTAACATATAACATAAAATTTGTCAATTGTTGCCAGCTAGTTTCATCTACCTTCTGTCTTCGTAAGCGTCAACATTCTACAGCGGAATTCTATTGTTGAAGAGACTTTTCTGGTCTTTCTAGCATCCTCTTAATCAAGGACAGTTCAGACATATTTTATTAACCTTCTATGTTATGACAGATTATCCTAGTGCAAGGTTCCAAGGTTTAAAAAAAAGATTCTTTCTACTGGTTTATTTTATGGTGGTACTTCATGAGTCATGAAGAGCGTTACTGATGGAAAATGTATTTTGTAATATGAAGTATTCTTGCTCTATCAGAAAGTCTACACCTTTTAATTTAGTCACGGCCCCTCATGATGTTAATATACAAAATCTCGAACTCAAATGGTCTAATAATGAAAGCAGACTAGGTTTATTTTCTCACTGGCCTTTGGCCAGTGGTCATGAACTCTTATAAAACCTGCTGTATAGACTGGTATCAATAGAACCAGAAAAATTATTTTCACTGATCAAAGAAAAGAAACAGATAAAATTTTAGGTATGGTCAAGGAAAATAGATTTCAAACATAAGGAACAAAGACTACTAAATTTTAATTGGGTCAAAGATAAGTATTATGGAATTAAAAAAAATTTGAGTATATTTTCTTTTTTAATTTTTTTTAAGTTTTTATTTTTTTCCCAGGACCGTCAGGCAAGAATATGAGTGTATATTCTAAAATTTCACATAAAGGCAATAATAACATGATCACACATATTTATAAAACTTACACAATTCTGAGACAATTATCAAAATTAAGTAACATTCTTTTCTAGATAGAAAATTATCTTACTAAAAGACAGAAAACAATGAAATGAATTTCAGTACACACACACACCTGTCAATTTCTGCAGCTGGTAACAGAGCAAATTAAAGGGACCAGTATATGGAATGGCTTGGGTCTGCTTCACCGTGCTCATGGCCAGGTCAGTATAATCTGAAGAGAAAATGAGAAGAGACTTGAAGAAATACTAGTCCTACAAAACACATACCAGGAGCAAAGAAAAAAGAAATAAAAGCAAGTAAATGTGAACATGTTTTTCAGAAAGCTAACAAGATGCTCCTTAATTTGGTACCACCTTACATTTCCCCACTGATCTCCCTATGTCCCTACCTCTCCCCTTCAGTTAACTTCTGCTCCAGCTGTAAGAAAGCACCTTATGGCCAGGCGCGGTGGCTCATGCCTGTAATCCCAGCACTTTGGGAAGCCGAGGCAGGTGGATCACGAGATCAGGAGTTCAAGACCAGCCTGGCCAAGATTGTGAAACACCGTCTCTACTACAAATACAAAAATTAGCTAGGCGTGGTAGCGCATGCCTGTAGTCCTAGCTACTCGGGAGGCTGAGGCAGAGAATTGCTTGAACCCAGGAGGCAGAGGCAGAAGTGAGCCGAGATCGTGCCACTGCACTCTAGCCTGGGCAACAGAGCAAGACTTCATCTCAGAAAAAAAAAAAAAAAAAGCACCTCATGTCCCCAAACATACCAGGTTCTTGGATGCCACAGAGCTGGTATGCCAGCTGTCATCTGCCTTCTTTCCTTGGTAACTCCCAACAATCTTTCACCACCTGGCACAAGGGCTACCTAATTTACAAAGCTTTTTCCAGCTCCTGAGGTGCACAGTTTCTCTTCACATATGTATCATGAGCTTCTATATGCCACTGAGCAATACTGGGATTAGCTCTTCCCAAGACTGCTTCCCTCATTAGACAGATTTCAAGGGCTGGGACTATGTGGCATAAGAGTAAGAGCTCGGGCCCGGCGCAGTGGCTCACGCCTGTAATCCCAGCACTTTGGGAGGCCTAGGCAGGTGGATCACGAGGTCAGGAGATCGAGACCATCCTGGCTAACACGGTGAAACCCCGTCTCTACTAAAAATACAAAAAATTAGCCGGGCATGGTGGCAGGCGCCTGTAGTCCCAGCTACTTGGGAGGCTGAGGCAGGAGAATGGCATGAACCCGGGAGGTGGAGCTTGCAGTAAGCAGAGACGGCACGCCACTGCACTCCAGCCTGGGAGACAGAGTGAGACTCCATCTCAAAAAAAAAAAAAAAAAAAAAGAGTATAAGAGCTCACTAACTCAGAATGAAGGCACAAGTCAGACAGTGACCTATGATGCTATGAAAACTGACAGCAGGGCAATCTCACAGGTAAATACCTCACCACTGCTGCTATTTCTTTCTTTCTTTTTTGAGACAGAGTCTCGCACTGTTGCCCGGGTTGGAGTGCAATGGCGTGATCTCGGCTCACTGTAACCTCTGCCTCCTGCATTCAAGCAACTCTCTTGCCACAGCCTCCCAAGTAGCTGGGACTACAGGCACATGCCACCACACCCAGCTAATTTTTGTATTTTTAGTAGAGATGGGGTTTTACCACGTTGGCCAGGATGGTCTCGAACTCCTGACCTTGTGATCTGCCCACCTCGACCTCCCAAAGTGCTGGGATTACAGGCGTGAGCCACCGTGCCGGGCCACTGCTATTTTTTATTCCTGCATAAAGCACATATAATGTATTAGTACCATGTAAATCACCTTGAGCATAGTATTTACTCGAAAATAATACCATATTCATTGGAAAATGACTTATTGATGGCTCAGTAAATTTATAAAGACAAAGAATGCATATGGAAATGTGTATCAACTATGGGAAAAAAGCAATTTACAAACTTAAATGTAATCTTATTAGTTTTGTGCAATTTTTCCTTTTTTTTGAGATGGAGTCTTGCTGTGTCACTAGGCTGGAATGCAGTGGCATTATCTCAGCTCACTGCAACCTCCACCTCCCACTTTCAAGCAATTCTCCTGCCTCAGCCTCCTGAGTAGCTGGGACCACAGGCACGTGCCACCACATACAGCTAATTTTTGTATTTTTAGTAGAGACGGGGATTCACCATGTTGGTCAGGATGGTCTCGATCTCTTGACCTCGTGATCCACCTGCCTCGGCTTCTCAAAGTGCTGGGATTACAGGCGTGAGCTACTGCACCCTGCCCAATTTTTCATTTTTCTCTATAATGAGCTTCAATGTATACACACACATTAGAGGCATCAGTTATATAGTTGGTGTTACTTATTTGGATGTTGAAAGTTTCAATGTAATGAAAAAATTAGGCTTTACATTAATACTTTTTTGCTTTTAAAGAAATTATACAAGTTTTTGTTCCTACTCCTTTTGGAATGGTGAAGGAATACAAAGGCCCTGCAAGTGATGTAAAGGTCATAAAAAACTGAAATGCTTATGCAAAGGTCATAAAAACCAAACGGCTTCTCTGGGGAATCCAAAGTCACTTCAGAAAATAAAAGCCCACAAGTCTGTTGTAGAGGGTAGAAAACAAGGTGAACTCAGAAATGAACTTATGTTTCCAAAGATGAAGAAAGTGATTTCACCAATAATTTCAATCTTTCAGTAGTTCATGGGAGGTGTTTTTCTCTCCCCACAAAGCTAATTAGCTAACTTGCCTCATTCCTTTTTTATTATTTGTCTATTACATAACATTAGGCCACAAGGTGAAGAGAAGTTTTCATAGATTTTCTTTCAGTGCTAAGGTGAAGTTGGATTTGACATTTAATAGTATACTTACTGGACAGGTCGCAAGGAGAAAGTATGTGATAATTAAAGTTTCTTTTAACAAGTATTCCTGAGACCCGCTGGCCTTGTTCTGGTTTTTTGTCTGCTAAAAATCCCATAACCTGTAAAAAAAAAATACTTGAAGAAAATAGAACCTGGTAAAATGCAGTTTTTCAGGTAATAAAATGCAGTTCATCATAATGAAGACCATAACACCTTTGAACTATGAAAACAACATATGGATTTAACCACGAAAAACATAAAATGTTTGATATCTCTATGATGAGGGCAGTTGCATTGCTACCAATGTCAAAGGGAAGAGTCACAGTGGCAGATCTGGCACAGTTCAGTTCTAATCAGTTCAACAAGCAAGTAACTTACTAGGTGCCGGGGCTTAAGAAAGCTCTCACTAGCTGCACTGCAGTAGGGAAGGCCGGGAAGTCCCCGTGAAACGCACACATGCACTCCCTCAGGCTGGCTGCAAACTCATAACAGAGAGTGAGGCCCACTGATACAAACCTGGGAGGCTGTGGTACACCTAACACTAAAAGCAGCAGCAGCGGCTTTGAATAAAAAGGTCAATAAAAACAGGTTATGGGTGAGCTCATACATTGAGGGAGAAACATTTTTAAGAGAATAAAATAACAACCATTTAAAAACAAAAATACTACAAACGTGAAACCCACTATTCTTTTTTTTTTTTTTTTTTGAGACAGTGTCTCACTGTCGCCAGGCTGGAGTGCAATGGCACAATCTCAGCTCACTGCAACCTCTGCCTCCCGGGTTCAAGCGATTCTCCCACCTCAGCCTCCCAAGTAGCTGGGATTACAGGCACCTACCACCATGCCCGGCTAATTTTTCTATTTTTAGTAGAAATGGGGCTTCACCACATTGGCCAGGCTGGTCTTGAACTCCTGACCTCAGATGATCTGCCCACCTCGGCCTCCCAAAGTGTTGGAATTACATGCGTGAGCCATGACACCCAGCCCCACTATTCATTTTTAAAAAGTTTCATTTATGGCCGGGCATGGTGGCTCACGCCCATAATCCCAGCATTTTGGGAGGCCAAGGCAGGCGGATCATGAGGTCACGAGATTGAGACCATCCTGGCCAATATAATGAAACCCCGTCTCTACTAAAAATACAAAAAACTAGCTGGCCGTGGTGGCGGGCGCCTGTAGTCCCAGCTACTCGGGAGGCTGAGGCAGGAGAATGGCGTGAACCTGGGAGGCGGAGCTTGCAGTGAGCTGAGATCGCGCCACTGCACTCCAGCCTGGAGACAGAGCGAGACTTTTTCTCAAAAAAAAAAAAAAAAAAAGTTTCATTTATTTATTTTTCTGAGACAGTCTTGCTCTGTCACCCAGGCTGGAATGCAGTGGTGCGATCATCGCTCACCATGTGCGCCACCATGCCTGGCTTATTTTTGTATTTTTTGTAGAGATGGAGTTTCACTATGTTGCCCATGCTGATCTTCAATTCCTGAGCTTAAGGGATCTGCCTGCTATGGCCTCCCAAGGTGCTGGGATTACAGGCGAGAGCCACCAAGCCTGGCTGAAACCCAGTATTCTTAAATATAACTTCTCTCAACTGCAAATAAATGAGCTCAAAGGAATAAAGGTAGTGTGTTCCATACTTGTTTGCCTTTAAGCAAGTAAGGGCAAACAGCAACCAGGCAGTGCTATATTTGTTCTCATAATTATAAACACAGAGGGTTGTATTTCACAGTATTTCCTAGGGTTATTTTCTCCTTAATTGTAGGTAGCTTTCAGAAAAGAACCTTTGCTCCTAGGAGACTAATTTTAATACAGTGATGTACTTGAGAGAGAAAAATAACTAAAGGTAATGATTTTAAATCATTAAAATTATGGGTGAGAAACAGAACACTCCGATAAGAAACCCAACTTTTCCTGAACTCAGTTCAATTCATCTTCTAAACTGTCTGACTGCAAAACTTTTTTTTTCTCCCCACATATCCACCACCAGCAGAGTATGTGAAATACAGTTCTAGATTCTCAACTGAGTATATTTTTCTACAGGTATAAGAAAAATACTATTAAATCGGCCCCTGAAAAGTTTTGTGGACAGTAAGACTCAGGAGTAACTACGACTATTTACAACAAAAACCTCATACCCTAAGTTTTGCTAATTTCTTTTTTTCCTCCAATTCACCTTCAAGAAAGGATATTCATTAGCGTCTGCAGGTTTGGCTCATTATGTATTAAAAGTGTGTCGTAAAGTTGCTTTTTTAAGACGGAGTCTTGCTCTGTTGCTCAGGCTGGAGTGCAGTGGCATGATCTCGGCTCACTGCAACCTCCGCCTCCCAGGTTCAAGCGATTCTCCTGCCTCAGCCTCCCGAGTGGCTGGGACTGCAGTTGCGCACAACCACGACTGGCTAATTTTCGTATCTTTAGTAGAGACAGGGTTTCTCCATGTTGGCCAGGCTGGTCTCGAACTCCTGATCTCAGATGATTTGTCCGCCTCAGCCTCCCAAAGTCCTGGGATTATGGGCGTGAGCCACAGCACCTGGCCCATATGTTGATACTTAAACCTTCAACTAAATCATTAAAAGTTTGAGCCTCAGACTGGGCACGGTGGGTCACGCCTGTAATCCCAGCACTTTGGGAGGCCAAGGCACGTGGATCATTTGAGGTCAGGAGTTCGAGACCAGCCTGGCCAATGTGGTGAAACACTGTCTCTACTAAAAATACAAAAAAAATTAGCCGGGCGTGGTGGTGGGCACCTGTGATCCCAGCTAATCAGGAGGCTGAGGTAGGAGAATTCCATGAACCTGGGAGGCGGAGGTTGCAGTGAGCCGAGATGGCACCATTGCACTCCAGCCTGGGCGACAGAGCAAGACTCCTTCTAAAAAAAAAAAAAAAAAAAAAAATTTGTGCCTGTAGTCCTAGCTACTTGGGAGGCTGAGAGGGGAGGATCAGCTGAGCCTAGGGAGGTCGAGGCTGCAGTAAGTCATGAATGCACCACTGCACTCCAGCCTCGGCAACAGAGTGTGACCCCATCTCAAAACAAAAAAACAGAACATGGGAGTTGCACATATCTCTTCAACATAATGATTTCAATTCCTTTTTAAAAATTTAAAATTATATATGTAATTTTTAAAAAGTTTCTCTTAGAAGTATTTCTAAACGAGTTGTGATCAACAGAAGTAAAGATGCAGACTTCTGACAGCATCCCTCTAAAAAGCCAGCTCAGGCTTTCCTTAACTATTTCAACTTTAAATTCTGAAAATGTTACATTTCACTCTCAAAAATGATTAATTCTTTTTTTATTTTTTTGAGACAAGGTCTTGCTCTGTCACCCAGGCTGGAGTGCCGTGACAGGACAATGGCTCACTGTAGCCTCAACCTCTGGAGCTCAAGCCATCCTCCCACCTCAGCCTCCCAGGTAGTTGGGACTACAGGAGCATGCCACTGCACCCAGCTAATTTTTGTATTTTTCGTAGAGACTGGGTTTCACCACGTTGCCGAGCCTGGTCTTGAACTCCTGAGCTAAAGCGATTCGCCTGACTTGGCCTCCCAAAGTCCTGGGATTACAGGAGTGAGCCACCGTGCCCAGCCTTGATTACTTCTTTTTTGTTTGTTTGTTTGTTTTGAGACACAGTCTCACTCTGTCACTCAGGCTGGAGTGCATTGGCGCGATCGCAGCTCACCGCAACCTCCATCTCTCAGGTTCGATCTCAGCTCACTACAACCTCCACCTCCTGGGTTCAAGGGATTCTCCCGCCTCAACCTCCCAAGTAGCTGGGATTACAGGCACCTGCGACCACACCCAGCTAATTTTTTTATTTTATTTTTATTTTTGGTAGAGCCGGGGTTTTACCATGTTGGCCAGGTTGGTCTCCAACTCCTGACCTCAAGTGATCCACACACCTTGGCCTCCCAAAGTGCTGGGATTATAGGCAGGAACCACCGTGTCCGGCCGATTAATTTTTAAAGAGAAAATGTTTCATATATTCCATCATATCTACACAAACATATATGTTTAGAGATATGAGCCTATCTTCAGATTCTCAGGGAGAATGACAAGAGGTGGACACAAGGCTATACTGGCTACAGTAACAAACAGTAACAAACAGTTCTTTACCCTCAGATGTGGGTAGGAAAAGCAAGTGGGGATATGGATTAAAGAGCTATGAGATTCAGCTGCATTAAGATCTAATCTAGGCCGGGCACGGTGGCTCACGCCTGTAATCCCAGCACTTTGGGAGGCGGAGGTGGGTGGATCACGTGGTCAAGAGATCAAGACCATCCTGGCCAACGTGGTGAAACCCCATCTCTACTAAAGATGCAAACATTAGCTGGGCGTGGTGGCGCGCACCTGTAATCCCAGCTACTCAGGAGGCTGAGGCAGGAGAATCGCTGGAACCCAGGAGGCGGAGGTTGCAGTGAGCCGAGATCGCACCATTGCACTCCAGCCTGGTGACAGAGCGAGACTCCGTCTCACACACACACACACAAAAAATCTAATCTAGCTGAACATTTTCCACCTGAAGAAATGAATGCACAGAACCAAAAGAAGCCAAAAAGGATAAGGATAAAATTCCTGTAGTGTAACAAGTAGACAGAAATAAGCATATTCTTTTGACTAAAGATCTATTTTCTTAAGAAGTACAGTCTTTCCTGAAGAAAAAACATGGATTGGACAGACAGGAACCATAACCTTTTACCTTGGCTAGTTTTTCTCCTCTGAAGTTTAAGGTCACTGCTTCTGTATTCCGAGGATTATGAACCTCTATGTGAACTTCATCGTTATCTTCATATTCTCGAATCAGTGCTGCTTTCAATCTGGCCATTTCATTCTGTTCTCCATGGACTAAAATCTACATAGAATAAATGTTAAAAGAATATATGGAAACATCATTCAGCTTAATCATGGTCCTTAAGTTGAATTAAATATATGAAATATATTTAATATATGAAATAGAGACATACTTGGAAGTTATGAAACTTTACTACTTTTAAGGACCTCCAGCCGATTCAACTTGTATACACATATTCATTCTGTTTGATCCTTATGTGGTACTATTTGAACAAAGAGTAAAGAAACTTCTTTTCTACTCCAGTCTTTGCCACTAATGAGATACACGCCTTTTCCATGTTTCACTGCTTCTATGTTCACAGTTGTAAAGGGCTGACTTCTGTAGTCTCTTCTAGTTTTAAATGCCTATGACTCTTGTACAAAACTATTGCTACCCTACTGTCTTAGAAAACACCCATGGTTCTCTTTTTTCTCTTTTTGTGAGATGGAGTCTTGCTCTGTCGCCCAGGCTGGAGGGTAGCAGTGGTGTGATCTCAGCTCACTGCAGCCTCTACCTCCTGAGTTCAAGCGATTCTCCTGCCTGAGCCTCCCGAGTAGCTGGCACTATAGGTACACGCCACTATGCCTGGCTAATTTTTTGTATTTTTAGTAGAGACGGGGTTTTACCATGTTGGTCAGGCTGGTCTCGAACTCTTGACACCCACCTTGGCCTCCCAAAGTGCTGGGATTACAGGCTTGAGCCACTGTGCCTGGCCTACCTCATATATTGATATATTTTTGGAGACAGGGTCTCACTCTGTTGCGCAGGCTGGAGTCCAGTGATGTGATCATGGCTCACTGCAGCCTCAACCTCCAGGGATCAAGCAATCCTCCTGCCTCAGCCTCCCACGTAGCTGGGACTACAGGCACACGCCACCATGCCCGGCTAATATTTGTATTTTTTGTAGAGACACGGTCTCACATATTGCCCAAGGTGGTCTTGAACTCCTGGGCTCAAGTGATCTGCCCATCTTGGCCTCCCAAAATGCTAGGATTATAGGCGTGAGCCACTGTACCTATCCTAATAAAATATTTCAGAACCAAATGGAACATTTTATTACTTTATATATTTCTTTATTTAAAGAGAGTCTTGCTCTGTTGCCCAGGTTGGAGTGCAGTGGCATAATCTTGGCTCACCGTGGCCTCAATCTCCCAGGCTTATACAATCCTCCCACCTTAGCCACCCAGGTAGCTGGGACTACAGGCATGAGCCACCATGCTTGGCTAGTTTTATTTTATTCTTGTAGAGACAAGGTCTCACTATGTTGTCTAGGCTGGTCTCAAACTTCTGGGCAGTCTTTCCACCTCAGCCTTGCAGAGTGGTACGATTACAGGCATGAGCCACTGTGCTCAGCCCCAAATGGAATATTTTAGAGGGTATTTACAACAACAGCATTAGCTACCAGTCCCTTTCCATTCACTTTTGTAACTTCTATCTTACAAGACAGATTGTTCTTTTTTTTTTGAGACAGTCTTACTCTGCCACCCAGGCTGGAGTGCAGTGTCGTGATCTTGGCTCACTGCAGCCTCTGCCTCGAGGGTTCAAGGGATTCTCATGCCTCAGCCTCCAAGTAGCTGGGATACAGGTGTGAACCACCATGCCTACCTAATTTTTATACTTTTTTTTTTTTTTTTTTTTGAGACCGAGTCTCGCTCCGTCGCCCAGGCTAGAGTCTAGTGGCGTGATCTCGGCTCACTGCAAGCTCCGCCTCCCAGGTTCACGCCATTCTCCTGCCTCGGCCTCCCGAGTAGCTGGGACTACAGGCACCTGCCACCACACCCGTCTAATTTTTTTGTATTTTTAGTAGAGACGGGGTTTCACCGTGTTAGCCAGGATGGTCTCCATCTCCTGACCTCGTGATCTGCTCGCCTTGGCCTCCCAAAATGCTGGGATTACAGGCATGAGCCACCGTGCCCTGCCTAATTTTTATACTTTTAGTAGAGATGGGGTTTCACTATGTTGGCCAGGCTGGTCTCGAACTCCTGGCCTCAAGTGATCCACCCACATCGGCCTCCCAAAGTGCTGGGACTGCAGCCCGGCCAAGATAGATTGTTCTTAGCCTCTCACATGTGGTAGATGGCTTGTGGCTGGGCATAGCCAGCACCAGCACGTGGCAGGGGCTTACTGCTTGCTGGGGAAGGGCCTGGGCCTGGCTGCCTGAACAGAATCCTGGTGCTGCTGCTTATTTAAGCTGTGTAACCTTGACCAAGTGATTTCACACCTCAGTTGTCTCATCTGCAGAACAGCTGTCGGTCATGAAGATTAAGCAAGTCAGTTCATATAAAACACATATACAGTGTCCGGCACATGGTAAATAATCAATGTTAGCTAGTATTCATTACTACCACCAACACTACTAGTATTGCAATTTTATCCTGCAGCTATACTTTTGCTGGAGCTGGTTATCACAAGAAAATGAGCATGAAGTTCAACCCAGGAACTTAAACTGTCAGCAGAAGTAGAACCAGGAGAGTGACAGGATGAAATGGGGCTGAGGATGAGGTGGTGACACCACACAAAAGAGCAATTCGGCTTTTCCTCCCTGGCTTGGAAATCTGGGGGAGTGTTCATGCACACAGACAATAAGAAACACCTGGGAGGAGCCTACTCTGTGACTAAACCCTACACACTGTGATGCTATAGACAGGAGAGTGATTTTTCTTGACCAAATAATCTGCTCATTAAGGGCCAGTGGCAAATACCTGTGAGGCCTATCATGCTAGAAAAAACTCAAAAACGAACAAAAGACTGCATGAAAAGGTGCTCAACATCATTAGTCATTAGAGAAATGAAAATAAAAACCACAACGAGATACCACTTCACATTTGCTGTAAAGTGACACAACCCGAGTGTCCACCCACAGGTGAATGGATAAACAACATGTGGTCTACATATAACGGACCATGACTTCGGCATGAAGTGCTGATACATGCCACAACATGATGAACCTTGAAAACATCATAGGCATTATGATTCCTCTTATATGAAATACCTAGAATAGTCAAATTCATAGAAACAGAAAGTAGATTTGAGATTACCAGGGTTGGCGGAAGGGAATGGGGAGTTACTGTGTAACGGTACAGAGTTTCTGCTTGGAGTGATGAAAAGCTGTGAAAATAGACAGTGGTGATGGTTGTACAACACTGTGAATATAATTAATGCCACTGGTTTGTACACTTAAAAATGGTTAAAACTGCAAATTTTATGTTAGATATTTTACCACAGTAAAACGTATTTAAAAAACAACAAGCAAGGCCAGGTGCAGTGGCTCATGCCTGTAATCCTAGCACTTTGGGAGGCCGAGGCGGGCAGATCACCTGAGGTCAGGAGTTTGAGAACAGCCTGGCCAACATGGTGAAAACCTGTCTCTACTACAAATACAAAAATTAGCTGGGCGTGGTGGCACGTGCCTGTAATCCCAGCTACCCGGAAGGCTGAGGCAGGAGAATTGCTTTAACCCAGGAGGCAGAAGCTGCAGTGAGCTGAGATTGGCGCCACTGCACTCCAGCCTAGGCAACAGAGCAAGACTTCATCCAAACAAACAAACAAACAAACAAACCAAAAAACACCCCAAACAACAAGCAAACAAACAAAACTAACAAAAGGCCATTTCTCCTGCTTTCCAATACATTTGGAAAGGGCACGTCATCTATTTTCTATGGACACATGCTTCATTAGTGTTCTTCTAATTAAAAATACACACTTTTTTCAGCTTACCCCTCCTTTCCAATTCCATCAAAATATCTAACTTATTTTTAATAAGTTACACGATACTTAAAAATATAAGTAAGTCGGCCGGGTGCAGTGGCTCGCGCCTGTAATCCCAGCACTTTGGGAGGCCGAGGCGGGTGTATCATGAAGTCAGGAGTTCAAGACCAGCCCGGCCAAGACGGTGAAACCCCATCTCTACTAAAAATACAAAAATTAGCCGGGTGTGGTGGTGGGCACCTGTAATCCCAGTTACTCAGGAGGCTGAAGCAGAGAGCTGCTTGAACCCGGGAGGCGGAGTTGCAGTCAGCCTGGGTGACAGAGCAAGACTCCGCCTCAAAAAAAAAAAAAATATATATATATATATATAATATATATATTAAGCATTTACTATGTGCCAGGCACCATATTAAGTGCTTTAGATATGTTCTTTCACTTCATCCTTACAATAACCTTATGAGCTATTATTCCTATTTACAAATGAGGTACAGAGAGGTTAAGTAACTTGCCAAGGGTTACATAGTAAGTAAGAGATGGAGCTGGCATTCCAAATGAGCAGTCATACTCCAAGCCTGGCTCTTAAATTATTGGAGAGGCAGCAGAAAATAACAGAAAAACATTAGGATTGGGGTTGGTAGGTCTGAGTCAGTCAGTTCTGGAGAAAGGGGGCAGCTTGCTGAAATCAAAGGGGAGTTGTAAAGGCCAAATCCGAGTGCATGTGAAAGGCTCTGCTCAGGGGGTGTCGCATTAGTAGGTGATGATGCCTGCTTTGTGAACTGCCTGCTGCACAGTTTCCTGGGTATGCACTTTTTTTCCCTTTAATACAATAAATGAAATTCATAGACTAACCACATGAGGCGGTTTCAAAGCACGAATAAATTCACTGGTTTGCTGGTAATCCGTGTGAGCTGAGAAAGAAATGTAATCAACAGACATTTTCAGTGGTAACTTCTGTCCAGACATAGTAGTGATTTCTTCAGGTTCAGACATGATGTGCTGTGGAAAATAAAGAAAAATAACAAAACAAACTACCCAGTTATAATCGTAAAGGTACATTTTCATTTTTTTCATGCAGTCATAAATTCATGTTAAATTTAGGACCTTACGCACAAAATCATTCTAATATAACTGACTCAGTAAATATCAAATACTCATGTTCTCAATCAAGCAAACATTTAATGAGAAAAGTAAACAAATTAACTAAAACTCATCTATCTGGAGTGCTGGCAGTGAGAATCATAACTCTTATGCTTAGAAAGACAAACCTGTATTCCCAACTATTCTTGTGCTCTCCAAAGTCATTTCCTAGATATGTGGATATATTTCTATTCTGAAAATCTTTGTTTTTTCAAATAGGGTCTCACTTTGTCACCCAGGCTGAAATGCAGTGTGCGATCTCAGCTCACTGCAGCCTCGACCTCCTGGGTTCAAGCAAGCCTCCTGCCTCAGTCCCCCAACTAGCTAGGACTACAGGCACGTGCCACCACACCTGGCTAATTTTTGTATTTTTTGTAGAGATGGGATTTCTCCATGTTGCCCAAGCTGGTCCCCAACTCCTGAGCTCAAGTGATCCACCTGCTGTGGCCTCCTGAAGTGCTAGGATTACAGATGTGAGGCACTGTGCCAGGCCTGGAAATTTTTTTTTTCTTTTTTTTTTGGAGATGGAGTCTTGCTCCGTCACCCAGATTGGAGTGCAGTGGCGCCAATCTCGGCTGACTGCAACCTCCGCCTCCAGTTTCAAGCAATTCTCCCTGCCTCAGCCTCCCGAGTAGCTGGGATTACAGGCATACGCCACCACGCCCAGCTAATTTTTTGTATTTTTAGTAGAGACGGGGTTTCGCCATGTTGGCCAGGCTGGTCTCGAACTCCTGACCTCAGGTGATCCGCCCGCCTTGGCCTCCCAAAGTACTGGGATTACAGGTGTGAGCCACTGCACCCAGCCTGGAAATCTATTTTAAATACAACATTGTCACTAAAGAACTTTATAGAATAAGGTAAAGTAATAAAGATTATCAAAGAATCATATCATATTTTTAAAAATAAAATAGAGGATGAGAATGTGATGCCTGGATGCTCAGAAACTGCCTCCCAAGTTCTGCATATATTTTCTACAATTTCTACATCCCTAAGAGCTGAAAATCAATGTTTCATAATAGTAGAAAGTGGTCAACCCAAACACATTCTACAGCTTTTTAAGATCATATGTATTAGTCAACCTCTTCTTCATGAGAGGACGGAGAGTATTCACGTGTTTGTCTCAAACAGGTTCCTGTCCATTCTTCTCTACTTGCAACCAGATGAGCATTTCTCAAACTTTAATGTGTATATCAATCACCTGGGACCTCATTATGCCATTCAGTGTCTGCATAATTCTACATCCTACGCACATCTCTAGCTACCTATTCCCGTCCTCATTTTTAAAAATCAAAACTTGTATTATTTGAAGAACTACTTCAGTGCAAAAACCTGTGAGGACCGTGCCACCTCCGTGATTCTGAATAGGAATAACACAACAGCCTATGACTGTAACTGACCTTGGCAAGTGTCCCTTCTACACAGTATCCCGCTATAATGACACCATTCCTCTTATCAGTACACCAGCTTTCAAATAATTCTCTGGATAAGCCACTTTGCATCATGCCTGGGGAGGCCATTACAACACTGGGACCAATGTCATCAAAATGATCCATGCTCTAAGAGAGAAAACAGAATGGGAAAAGTATGTTAGCTACCAGCAGCTGACAAAGCATTCTTTCTTTTTAAAGAATAACAAAAGGCTAAGAGATTAATCACATCACTGAAAGAGCCTTCACAAGATCTGTAAACATTTTAAGTTCAGTTGCCAAATTCCTAAACAGTTTAGGCTAGGAATGGTAGAAAAACCAAGTAATAAAAAGCGGTAAGTTCACCCCGATCTTCAAAACCTTCTGTTGGTAGCTAGAGGGCCATCAGAACCATCAGGACCATCTTCAGCGCCTAGCAGGCAGGCAGAAAAGTAAAAGGAAGAGTCAAATGGGTCTTGATCTACCCAAGACACAACTCTGAAAAAATATTCCCAAAGACTCACAATAGCTTTGCATGCTCCATGCATGTTTTGAGCTGGCCTGGAAATCAAAAGGTTTAACATTGTTCTAGGGAGAACTTGTCTACAATCCTTAAGCAGTTAACTTAAAATAAATACTTTATGAACAAAGCCTATTTACAACTGGAAGTCCACTTTTAAATTATTTCGGATATCAATTATTTTATTATGATTCAAGCATCGAGTTAAACAGTATTTTTTAAATTAAATAAAATCAGATTTTATTGAATGCTTCCAGAAAAGTATATAAAAATTTTCATATATAGAATTTGCAGCACTAATCAAAAAGATGATTTGGTTTGAGTGAGAAGAGAAACTTAAATACATAATACAAAATATTTTTCTCCTCAGAACTTTTTATGCCTACGGCAAAAGAGATGAGTATTATAAATACTGAGAACACATGGCTACTTGGGGCAAGTGGCAAAATCTGTTGAAGCAGAAAAAGAATGTCAGCTGCTGAAGTTTTGATTTTCTGCAGAAAAACGACACCTGTTGAGAAGCGGTAAGACTCCAGCAAGAGGAATTCAGCCAGAGTCACTGACAAGCACTGCCTACGATTTTTATTTTATTTTGATAGAGACAGGGTCTCACTATCTTGCCCAGGCCGGTCTCAAACTCCTGAGTTCTAGTGATCCTCCTGCCTTAGACTCCCAAAGTGCTAAATTACAGCTGTGAGCCATCACTCACGGCCTCGTACCTCCTACTACTAATGACTGATTTGGTTTTATCCATCCTTGTCTTTCTTCCACAAGCACTCACCTTGAGGTTACTAATGTGTTTGAAAACAAAGGGATTATTGATGTTGATCTGTTTGCGGATTTTGTCATTCATGGCATTTACATATGTCTGGTACACTGCCATACACTTCTTGGCCAAAGATGATGCATAGTATATTGGAATGTCATGTAGTTCTGGGTGATTCTGCCAGTACTCATCTAGAGAGATTTTGCAAGAAACAAACATCACTTTGTTAGATGGGGTAAACAGTTCAAATAACAAATGATACACACAGAACAAGAAATGATACACATACAACCAAGAAATAAAGCACACAACTATATTTTAAAGAGTTTAAGCAAAATTATCCTGGTTGTAACTAACTTAAATTTACAAAACCAAAACTTATTTCTAAATAGTGCATGACCTAAAAAGAATGCTATGATCATAGTCCAAAGATGTGGAGGCTTTTAAACATGACTCAGTATAAGTTTACACTGAAGTCTATAACTTACTACCATAATAAGACACTAAATAATACATTTTTATTTAAATGTATTAGAAAAGTGTACTAGAAAAAATTCTGTGATGGTTTTAAAAATGTATTATTAATATTTCAAACAGATTTATTGAGTGCTAATTACAAAAGAGAATTGCCAAGAGTTAACCGATTTTGAACACTTAAAAAAAAAGTATAGTCATATTATGCTATTATTGTTTGTTTTTGTTTGTGTTTTACACCCAGGCTGTCGACTAGCCTTGAGGGTAGTGGTATGATCATGGCTCATGGCAGCCTCAACCTCTCAGGTTCAAGTGATCCTTCCACCTCAGCCTTCTGAGCTGTGACTACAGGAGTGTGCTACCATACTTGGCTAATTTTTTTTTTTTGAGACTGGGTCTCATTATGTTTCCCAGGCTGGTCTCAAACTCTGGACTTAAGTGATCCTCCTGCCCAGCTTCCCAAAGTGCTGGGATTACAGGCATGAGTCACCACACTCAGCCATGCTTGTATTTTTAAAAACCTACTAACCAGTTTCTGATAATTAAAGAAAGCAGTGGGTAATATACCGTCAAAAGACTTATGTTAAGGGAAAAGCCCTCATTAAATCCCAAAATTTTATCAGGGTAGTATGGCTGAAAGACACCCTTTATTCTAATAGGTGCCTCTGCAGTTTGAAAATGTATTATATGCCTATTATATAATTTACATCTGTAATTTCTTTTTTTTTTTTTTTTGAGATGGAGTCTCACTCTGTCGCCCAGGCTGCAGTGCAGTGGCGCGATCTCCGCTCACTGCAAGTTCCGCCTCCCGGGTTCATGCCATTCTCCTGCCTCAACCTCCAGAGTAGCTGGGACTACAGGCGCTGGCCACCATGCCTGGCTAATTTTTTGTATTTTTAGTACAGACGGGGTTTCACCAATTTACATCTATAATTTCTAATTTTCAAAACAACTTACGAAGACTTATCACCATTTTAACTAGCAAACTAAGGGTAAAAAAAAAGGCTGATTATTGTGTGAATGTTATTCTTCCATTTGATGTATCAATGATAATTTTATATGAGGACAAAGACTTTCTGTCACATGCATTACAAATTTCCTGCTTTGTCTTCTAGTTTATCCCATTCATGATTTATTACTCTTATGATTTCTTAGATACCCTAAAGCGGACTACATCCCACAATCATGCCACCATTTCTTGGTTTGTTGTGCGTGTTTTTATGAATAAACTCTGAATATTAAAAAAAGTTAAATAATTTGCCCAAGGTCATATGGCTCTAGCCATATGATAGATTTCATCTGAAACACAGATAAGATTTGAAAGCAGCTGTTCTTTCTATTATACTACATTACAAGGGAGAATTGAAGGAAAAAGGGCAACCAGTTGCAAAGAACAGACGGTAGAATTGCCAGATAAAAATATCAAATACTCAGTTAAATTTGAATTTTAGGTGAACAACAAAAGATTTTTAGTATAAGAATATATACTAACGAGACCAGCCTGGCCAATGTGGTGAAACCTCGTCTCTACTAAAAATACAAAAATTAGCTAGGATCCCAGCTACTCAGGAGGCTGAGGCAGGAGAATAGCTTGAACCCGGGAGGCAGACGTTGTGGTGAGCCGAGATCGCGCCAAGCCGAGATAGCGCCACCACACTCCAGCCTGGGTGACAGGGTGAGACTGTCTCAAAAAAAAAAAAAAAAAAAGAATATATATTAAATATTTGGTACACTTATACTAAAACATTATTCATTATTTATCTGAACCTAAAATTTAATGAGTTGTCCTCTAGTTTTATTTGCTAAATCTGGCAACCCAATTTGATGGTGGCAACATTGTTTCAACTTCCTAACTTCTCTGTTCTTCATCTTACAGGTTACGAAGACTTTGATTTCAAGACTTCTAAGGACGAATTTGACTTGCAGTTAGGAAGGAGGACCAATCAAGATCAAAAGACTGAATTAGATTCGGATTTGGGAAATTCAGCTTCTAGAAGTCCTATCTATTACAGATTTCCTTTTCATCTGGGGTCATTTCTTCCAACTTTCCTTCTGTTTTCCTTTTCAGTGTGACAGGGATACTATTTTTTCTCCTCCTCACCAAGATGGCAGAACAGAGAGGATGAGCTAAGATGCAAGTGTTTCTAGTGCTTCGCACAGAGGTGACACTCATGCAAAGCACCCATTTTATTATTTGCTTTTTTTTGAGACAGGGTCTCATTGTGTCGCCCACCCTGGAGTGCAGTGGCACAATCTTGGCTCACTGCAACCTCTACCTCCCAGGCTCAAGTGATACTCCTACCTCAGTCTCCCAGGTAGCTGGGACAACAGGCGTGTATCACCACGTCCAGCTAATTCTTTGTATTTTTTGTAGAGACAGGGTCTTGCCTTGTTGCCCAGGCTGATCTTAAATTCCTGGGCTCAAGTGATCTTCCGCCCTTAGCCTCTCAAGGTGCTGGAATTAGGGATTACAGTCGTGAGCCACTATGCCTGGCTGTAAAGTACCTTCTTTTATTCTTCAATAAGAGTGCTCTTCCCAACTAGAATCACCGAATGTGAGGTAGAAGGGATCATGAAGTACAAATGTATGCTAAAAAGTAACAACCATTGTTTCTCTTATTACAAAAAATTATACATGCTCACTGAAGTACTTGTAAAATGGAGAAAAGCAGAAAACAAAAAATATCATCCATATCCTCACTATCCAGATTTAGTAGCTTTTCAGTCATTTGTGTGTGCATTTTTTACCTAACTAGGATCAGAGTACATATAGTTTTTTTTTTGTTGTTGTTTGTTTGTTTGTTTTGAGACAGTCTCCCTCTGTCACCGAGGCTGGAGTGCAGTGGTGCAATCTCGGCTCACTGCAACCTCTGCCTCCCAGGCTCAAGCAATTCTCATGCCCCAGCCTCCAGAAAAGCTGGAACTACAGGTGTGTGCCACCACACCTGGCTCATTTTTCTATTTTTGGTAGAGACGAGGTTTCACCATGATGGCCAGGCTGGTCTTGAACTCCTGGCCTCAAGTGATCTGCCCACCTCAGCCTCCCTAAGTGCTAGGATTACAGGCGTGAGCCACCACGTCCAGCCCAGAGTAAATATAGTTTTGAACTCTACTTTTTTGGTTGACTTAATATATTATGTGCAAAGTATGTAATTACTCATCTGTAACACAATTTTTTCCTACAATGCTATATTTACTCACATATTTCTTTGAAAATACTAAAATGATGAATACCTTTCCTGACAAAATTTTCTGTACATCTCATTTATTTCCCAGAAGCGGAACTGCTGGCCAAAGGGTACACATATTTTAAGACTTCTGATGGCAACCGGAAGGGGTCGCCAGTTCACATTCCCAACAGCAGTGCATGAGAGTTGCTGTTTTCCTGGGCTATTCCTAGATCCAAATCCCTATTATTATTATTATTATTATTTTTTGAGATGGAGTCTCGCTCTGTCGCCCAGGCTGGAGTGCAGTGGCGCAATCTCGGCTCACTACAACCTCCACCTCCCAGGTTCAAGCAATTCTCTGCCTCAGCCTCCTGAGTAGCTGGGATTACAGGCATCTGTCACTGTGCCCGGCTAATTTTTGTATTTTTAGTAGAGATGGGGTTTCACCATCTTGGTCAGGCTGGTCTTGAACTCCTGATCTCGTGATCTCCCCACCTCAGCCTCCCAAAGTGCTGGGATTACAGGCGTGAGCCACCGCGCCCGGCCCCAAATCTCTATTTTTAAATGAAGAAAACTGAAGTCCAGAACGGTGGAATGACTCATCCAAGACCACATTATTATCTTGATAAAATGACAAGATTTTGATCATCGCCTAAATACAAAGGAAATGGCATACCTAGAATCAAGAGCAGCTCCTGAGCCCTTCCAAGAGCAAAGACAGGAATGAGACCCCTGCCTCCTCTGTTTACAATATCGTGGACAGTGTTACAGAATCTTGCTTCTCGCTCTTCACGTTTCTCATGGATATGGGTCCCATAAGTAGATTCCTAAATAATACATTAGAAGTGTGAGACTAAGACCAATGATCCTCCAAGAATTCAAAAGTTAAACATCAATGAAATACTGAGGGGCTAAGCAATTCACTTCTCCATTAGCATGTCATTTACTCGAACATGTGTTGTCATAATAGTAATTGGGAAGAGCAAGCAAGAATGCTAGAATTCAGGCCCAGCGTGGTGGCTCACACCTGTAATCCCAGCACTTTGGGAAGCCAAGGTGGGTGGATCACCTGAGGTCAGCAGTTTGAGACCAGCCTGGCCAACATGGTGAAACCCTGTCTCTACTAAAAATACAAAAATAAGCTGGGCGTGGTGGTGGGCGCCTGTAATCCCAGCTACTCCGGAGGCTGAGGCAGGAGAGCTGTTTGAACCCAGGAGGAGGAGGTTGCAGTGAGCCGAGATCGCACCATTGCACTCCAGCCTGGGCGACAGAGCAAGACTCCATCTCAAAAAAATAAAATTTAACAACAACAACAAAAAGAGGCCGGGCATGGTGGCTCATGCCTGTAATCCCAGCATTTTGGAAGGCCGAGGCGGGTGGATCACCTGAGGTCAGGAGTCCAGTCTGACCAACAGGATGAAACCCCGTCTCTACTAAAAATACAAAAATTAGCTGGGCATGGTGGCGCATGCCTTATAATCCCAGCTAGTCAGGAGGCTGAGGCAGGAGAATCACTTGAACCTGGGAGGCAGTGGTTGCAGTGAGCCGAGATCATGCCATTGCAGTCGCTCACTCCAGAGTGAGACTCCATCTCAAAAAAAAAAAAAAAGAATGCTAGAATTCAAATCTAAGAACTTTTTATAAAATGAAATAGTCCAAAACTGTATCTTCTTCCCATGTCCTTTTTTAACCATTTTGCTTTCCATTAGGAAGAAAAAGGTTATTTCTCCCACCTCTGATAAGTCAAAGCTTTTAAAATAGAAACAGATGTTGTTTCTTATACTTCTGTTTAAGAATATCCTTAAAGTCTTACTAGGTATGGTCCACTGACCAGAAGATTGACATCCCTTGGGAGCTTATCAGAAGCGCAAAATCTCAGACCCCAGCCCAGATGTACTGAATCAGAATTTGTATCTTAGCAATATCATCAGATGATTATAAGCATATTAAAATTTGAAGCACTGCTCTAAAGTATGGTACTATGAAAATAGCTACTTTTTCTGAGGGTTCAAAAAATAAATCTTCCCTTAAATTAAGTTTATATGCTGGGCATACCATGAGCAGAGTCCAATCTAATCTGCTCACATGTTGCTTATGGACAGCAGTATGTACTGGCCCACATGCCTGGGCAGCTGGGGAACATGGTAGGTGGTGGAGGAGAAACAGACAACTCTTCCTCCTTGAACCACATACACCTGATGTTCTTATATACACCAAAAGCTTGCAAGATTTCTCTCCCAACCCCTGACTCTACAGTCAGCAACACACATCCCAAGCTGCCCCCAAAGAGCTTCTGTACACAGTTCATTTTTTTTGCTCCCCTGGGACTTGCAACCTAGTAGGCAGACATGACACACAAAGATAAACAAAACGATAAGTTAGCATGGACTAAGGGCCTGAGGATAGTCACCATGGCAAAGGCAGTGAGGTCACACCATTTTAAAATGACCCGTAAGATGTTCTTCTACATATTCTCATCTAGAAATATATATTTAGAAGACAGAGAGAGGGCATAGCCAGTAAAAATGATCCTGCCCAGAGACAGCCTGCTGATCCTGCCCAGAGGCAGCCTGGCATCTCTGATATTAGACTAGAGTTAATGCATTTAACAGCAAGAAAGTGAAACTGCACTACAAAAAGAAGCACCTGCCCCAATTTTTTTTTTTTTTGAGACTGAGTCTTGCTTTGTAGCCCAGGCTCGAGTGCAGCAGCGTGATCTTGGCTCACTGCAACCTCCACCTTCTGGGTTCAAGTGATTCTTGTGCCTCAGCCTCCCAGGTAACTGCACCACCACACCCAGCTAATTTTTGTATTTTTTTAGTAGAGATGGGTTTTCACTGTGTTGGCCAAGGTGGTCTCTAACTCCTGGCCTTAAGTGATCTGCCCACCTCAGCCTCCCAAAGCGCTAGGATTACAGGTGTGAGCCACCGTGCCCGGCCACCAGTTTTCTTATATTTTAAAAAAGGTAAGTTTATATCCAATAACATATTATGAAAGTGAGATCACAGTATTATTTTCCAAAAGAAAAAAAATCTGCTTACATTACATTGATTACAATATAGTATATTAATACTTACAATGATAAGAATATCAGGCTTAATATTAGGAATTTCAGCTGCCATTAAGTGCCTATCTTCTTGTCTTGAGAAATCACCAGTGTACAAAAGCTGTGAAAAAGATAAAACTAGAAAGTTAGGATTTGGGGAAGGCTTCATTTTGCTAGTGAATAGATTAAACTCATGAAATCCAAAAGTGCAGTTACAGTTTTTAAGTCTAAAACTGATGAAATTTACATGCAGTGCTTGTGTCCAATTCAAAATGTGTAGTTCAGTCAGTAAACGGTTCAGTGCTTCAATTATTTCCTCTAGTAAATGGGAATAATCTATTCCCAGTATCATCTCACAATGATAACCTATATAACATTAATCCACTTGAGAAGTGCTCTGAACTTCTTAGAGAAAAAGGGCATGCAGACAAGGAAAGGAGTGCACTGAGGTACATGGTCTAAAACCGGAGATAAAATCATAAGAGGGTCTGCATCAAATTCCAAGAGAATTCACATCTGCATTTGTGCTACTTATTTTTTGTGCCCTGGAGCAAACTGCAAGAATAAGTGATTTAGTGATATACTTTACAATTCAATGTCTAAAAGTTCCAAATGTATAAGCAGCTGTGAAAAATTTAGGACGTGACACTAGAGCATTGGTTCTCTGGCTGACGTTAGAATCACCTAGCAAACTCGAAAAGGAAAAGGCCAAGCTGCGCCTCCAGATTTTGATTCAACAGTTATTTTCAGCAGCTCCCTAAGTGAGTCTTATTTGCAGCCTGAGTTCAGAGCGGCTGCTCTGGAGTCTGGAAAGCCAGCGGCCCACCCACGTTGTCAGAAGTTCAAGGCTTCCCCAAAGATCTTTCCTAATTAACCCCTTTCACTCTTGCAGTCCACCCTGCTTAGGGGCTTACCTGTGAATTCTAAGACATCAGGGGGACATGAATATCAAATTGTGTTTTAATTTTAAACGAATGCAGCCACAAAGACACCTCTTCCCTAACCAGTTTTCTAAAGCAAACGGAATCCTATGGTGTCAGGGAATCACTTTTTGAGATGTTTATTTTACTCTTTTCTCAGTCTTTAAAAATTTTTTTTTCCTCAGTCTTGATAAAGAAAGTATTGTAATGGAGGTAGGAACTGCAATATTTAAAAGGAACAAGCGTTAACTGTATTTTTATCTTATGTTTCCGTGTTCTGACACTTTGCAAGTCTTAGGGAATTTTTTTTTTTAATAGTACTTGGTGGCACAAAGCTCTGTACTGATTTCTCTGGGGAGAAAAGCGCCACAGCCAGAGGGTACCTTCACGCCTGCGATCTCAATCATGAACATGGCGGCTCCTAGGACGTGACCTGCATGGTAACACCAAAACTTGATTCCCGCAACTTCCTTAACTTCATGAAAGTTGATAGTTTCAATTTTGTCCATGCTTTCTTCCAAATCTGTCTCGGTATACAGCATGTCGTCTGCTGATATGTTACTAAATTTTGAAAGATGCCAGCAAAAACAATTAAGAGTCAGATTTTTTAAAAAGCCTTTGAACACAAAGAAATTGTGGATAACATCTCCATGAAGATATTTCTTTAAAATATACTGTATGAATCATGTATTTAAAATTTCTCAGATATTTTGTGTATTTTTTTTTTACTCTATTGTGTGTATAGCTACAAAACTTGATTTTAAACAAACCACACAGGAAATTAAGACACTGAGCTCAAAGTACTCTCAATTTTCAATAATACATACAATAAATTAAGACAAAATACTCTTTAGGATAGTACTTCTCAAACTTTTTTCCCACCCCAACACTCCTGAAAGATATAACACACTCACATACATTGAACCATGGCAGATATTTCTCACATTAGGATGAGAAAAGATTTTTCTACAAAGTCTAGCACAACCTTTCTCCTGAAAATTATGTTAATGTACTTACAAAAAAGCAAGAGAGAACAGTGGTTAAGGACGCTGACTCTGGAGCCAGATTGTTTGGGTTCAAATCCTTGCTCTGTCTCTTACTGTGACGATTTTAGGCAAATAACCTAACCTCGCTGTGCCTCAGTTTCATCATCTATAAAATGGAATTTATAATAGAACCTACATCATGAGTTGGTGTGAAGATTAAATATATTTATCTCCCGGCTGGGTGCGGTGGCTCAACCCTGTAATCCCAGCACTCTGGGAGGCCAAGACAGACAGATCACCTGAGGTCAGGAGTTCAAGACCAGGCTGGCCAACATGGTAAAACCCCGTCTCTACTAAAAATACAAAAATTAGCCAGGCGTGGTGGTATGCACTGTGTGCCTGTAATCCTAGCTACTGGGGAGGCTGAGACATGAGAATTGCCTGAACCCGGGAGCAGAGGTTGCAGTGAGCTAAGATAGCGCCACTGCACTCCAGCCTGGTCAACAGCACAAGACTCCGTCTCAAAAAAAAAAGAAAAAAAAAAAGAAAAAAAAAATATGTATATTTATTTATCTTTGTGTGAAGTTAATATACATTAGGAATTTAGGATTGGGCCTAGTATGTGGTAAGCATTATTGAAGTGTTAACGAGTGTTACCACAATTAAGCATAACTCTTCCAATCCAGCCTAATGAAGTTTTAAAAGGACACAAAAAGCTATATAAAGACTTCAAGGCCAGGCCAGTGGCTCATGCCTGTAATCCCAGCACTCTGGGAGGCCAAGGCAGGAGGATCACTGGAGCCCAGGAGTTTGAGACTAGCCTGGGCAACATAAGACCCTATCTCTTCAAAAAACAAAAAACTCTGCTGGGTGTGGTGGCACACACCTGTAGTCTCAGCTGCTCAGGAGGCTGAGGTGGAAGGACTGCTTGAGCCCAGGTGGCTGAGGCTGCAGTGAGCTGTGATCACACCACTGCACTCCAGCCTGGATGACAGAGCAAGATCCTGTCTCAAAAAAACCTTCAAGGTCAGGAAGGTGCTAGAAACACAATAGGTTTCAATGACCTTGTTAATGAATGATGAAATTACTGATATCCTTATACATGAAAAGGGAGCACCTCATTTTAAAACACAAAATGGTCCATATCTTGAACCATACATGCCATATAGAGCCAAAGTCGTGTATAATCTAATAAAGTAATTTACCTAACTTTGACATAATCAGAAAGAAGCCATCTATAAATAGCTTTTGTGGCATGAGTCATAAATGTTCTTCCTTTGAAACTTGTCTTCTGTAGAAACCAGGGCAGAGCTCCACAGTGATCCAAATGGAAACTTAAAAAGAAAGAGGCTGCATTAATTCTTAAAATTATTATCCATCAGATACCATGTAATGAAACTGTTGCTTACTGTACAAAACAAGTTTTATATAAACAACTATGTGCTGATACTTTCAGAAAAACCAAGAGTAGGTATGTGTAGAAGGAAGAAGTAATGCATACAGTTCTAAAATGGAGGAAAGATGTTTAAAGTATTGTTTTTAAACAGCAAAAAACTTTATTAGTGAATTAGGGAGGAAGAAGAATATCCCAAGCCTACTCCTGGCAGCCAGAATTACAGCAAACATTTTAACAGAATAAAGTTGAAACATGGATATCTCCCTGAGGTCACTGTCTTGTCACATTTTTCTATATGAACTCTATTTAAAAATAGTTTCAATAAAGGTGAAATGGCGTTCTTATAGAAGAATGTGATAAAACAGTGACCTCAAGGAGATATCCTGGAAAAGGGCTTTCTTAGTCTCAAGTTTTACAATGATTCAAGTTCTGTACTATCTCCTTCTCACATACTCACTGAACTTATACATAGAGGTAGGTAAGTTTTTCATAGCAAACTTCTCTAGCCTGTGATGACATTACGGAGTGTTGGTTTAGACTCAGATGTCTGCAATATGCTTCCTAGCAGAAAACACTCTTTTAAAAAACCAAACTCTCAAAATCTAGTAAAGAATGATCTTGATAGTAAAAGTCCGTGAAAAAGTGTCATTAATAAAGGGAAAAACTTACTGACTAATTAATAGGAGATCAATCTCAGCTGGGTCAATTAAATCAATATAAGGAAGAGCATCCATTCCTTCTAGGCCAGGGTGGATCCCACAGTCGAGCTGAAAGAAACAGGAAAAGAGATCACAATCTCCTGCACATTTTATTAAAATTCATTCGGCAAATAGGCAATAATTCTAGTTCCATCACCCATATACTCAAGATGGACTCCAGGCACTAGCACTTGGAACATGATTCTTATTAAATGTGGCAAATATGCCATTAACAATTCTAACTTCCCAACAAATTTAAAATATAGCTCACATTTAGGGGTCACAGGATGCAAAGTACAAAACAGCTTCTTTCCAGCTACTTTTGGTCGTCATTCTAACAACGAATTAAATCTTTTTCAAAAACTTTGATATCAGATTAAAATTTTAAAAGTTTATAGATTTACTACTACCAGATCGACTCTCGTGAGAAGATAATAATTAGAAATGGGAAACTTACCTGATCAGGGTAATTTAAATATTTTAAGGCATTAGGGAACAAATTCTTAAGACTCAGTCATTAAAGTTACTTATTTTTATGGCGTTACTACCAAATTAACAAAACAGATGACTAAAAGGATGACTATGTCTGACCTATACATGTTCTTTTCAGATTGGGAGGAGTTGAGAAGAAAGAGGAATCAAAGGAATCTGAGACACAGAACTGACTTTCTAATGAGTACCTTAGAAACTATCTCCTCTAACCCCTCTACCTTTCAGGCTTAGAGAAGCAAAGTGACTTGGCCAAGGCCGGCAGCCCCAGTGGGACCTGGGGATCCAAGCTTCTAGGCCAAGGCTTGATCCCCACATGCTGGAGGCGGCTAGAGCTCTCAGTGTGTTCAGAGTGCTTGGGCCCTTGGGATCTTCCACTGGGGGTGGGGCAGTTAGGCTGGCTCAACCCTTCAGGAGTGGAAGAGGGACTTTGAAGAGGTAACAGTTCAACAGATCTAGCTGACAATTTTACAGTCATAGAATATATCTTCTTAATCAACTAAATTACTAAGTAGAAGTGTGTATTAGTTTTTCTCATTAACACTATACAGCATAGATTACATGTACTATAACATTTTTCTGGGAGCTAAAAAGATAACTAGTCTATGAGAAAAGACTAACACCCAATACAGACAGAGCCATACTATTAAACTGAGTACAAAAATAGTAATTACCATTATTTTTCTTCCTTTGAACTCGAGAATAATACATGATCTTCCTACTTCTTGCCCAGCTCCACTGTAAATATTCAAGGGGAGAAAAAGAAGGATTAAAAAAAATCAAAACCAAGTCCAATAAACTTACACTTTTTTACAATGTACACTACATGCCATCTGATGACAGCACCTCACTGAAAAATTCTGAGACGTAAGAGAGTTCTACAAAATCACAAAGACAGGGAAGAACAGTGTCCACATGAGAACAGATGAAAACTGATCCTTGGGAGTCCAGGGATCTTGCAGTTCTTAAAATTAAGAGAGAAGGCGGTACAGATCCAAGAAGCCCAAAGGTTTGGGCTTGATTTAAATTCAATTTTCTGAATTTTAGGATTAAATTATAATGTATTTAAAATGTAAACTAGCAGTTACGCAGATTATATAATAATACTTCTAGAATTAGCACTTAAGTAGAAAGCCATAAGCATTTCAACACTGTCATCTTCTTTAAGATCATAATGTGTATTTGCCAAATGGCTTAAATTTAAATGGCCGGGTGCGGTGGCTCACGCCTGTAATCCCAGCACTTTGGGAGGCCGAGGCAGGCAGATCACGAGATCAGGATATCGAGACCCATCCTGGCTAACACGGTGAAACCCCGTCTCTACTAAAAATACAAAAAATTAGCCAGGCGTGGTGGCGGACACCTGTAGTCCCAGCTACTCGGGAGGCTGAGGCAGGAGAATGGTGTGAACCCAGGAGGCGGAGCTTGCAGTGAGCTGAGATCGCGCCACTGCGCTCCAGCCTGGGCAACAGAGCGAGACTCTGCCTCAAAAAAAAAAAAAAAAAATTTTTTTTTTTAAAATACTTATTCATACTGTGAATTTCAATCACTTTTTCTTCTACTTTCTGTTATTTCAGCATATTTTATACCAACTACTTACATAATTTTTGTTTCTTCTTAATAATTTCAGCCATAATTTGCAATGGTCACAAGGCACACTTTAAGTTAAACCTCATCTTTCAAATCCCTCACCTTCTTTGATGCCTTTTCCCAACCATTCTAGCTCACAATCCACTCACTCACTCAACATTAAGCAGCTTCTATTTGCCAAGCACTGGATTAAGTGCCTAGGACATGGAAATGCCTTACAGGGACCCTGACCTCAAGGAACTCAGTCAGATGGACATGCAATGGATCTATCCCCAAACTGAGATCCTACCTCCAAACAGGTGTTGATACAGAAGATCAAACAACTGTGGATGAGAGCCGCCATAAATTCCTGGCCTTCCACTTTTTAAACATTTTTTATTTGTAATTATTGTGGATACCCTGGCCTTCCACTTTAACTGGCCCTCAATGTTGCCTGGCTGTTTTCTCCATTTCATTTCCATATCAACTATTTTCAAACTTTCTTCCCTTTCCCAAATTTTCCAACCTTCTATCCTCTTCTTCACTTGAGGCATGGGCCATCTTCTGCATCAAAAAAATAAACAGTCCATTTGTAAATTTCCTCAACTTCATGTTGGTACAATAATTAAGAATACATGTACCAACAGGGTACCAACCTGCCCACATCTGTCTCCTTCTATTTCTCCTCTATAGATAGAATAGACCTCTCTTTCCACAATGAAACTTTCCACCATTCTACTCTACGTACTCCCTCCCTCCTTCTGAGGAACTCAACACTGCTGTGTCATTGACATTTTCCTCACTGTCTGCTCTTTACCATCCAATCCAAATTTAAACATACTACAGCCATGTTCATCCCCAAATTAAAATCCCTTGACTCTAAGCTCCTTTAGTTCCCACTTTATTCTTTCCCCAGACCACCTCCCAGGGCAGTGGACCCTCTTGTACTTCCTCACCTTCTACTCGCTCCTCAATTCGCTATACTCTGGCTTTTACCAATCACTTTTCTGAAACTGTCCTTGCTGCTCAGTAGTCATTTCAGTCTTTTTTTTTTTTTTGAGACAAGGTCCCCCTATGTTGCCCAGTCTGGCCTTCAACTCCTGGGCTCAAGTGATCCTCCCGCCTCAGCCTCCCAAGTAGCTGGAACTATAGGTGTCAGTCCCTATCTTGTTCTCTTGGCAGCCGTTGTCACTCCTAAGGAGTACCTGCTCCTTCCTCAAGCACCTCTCCCTTGGCTTCTCTGACCTGATGCTCTCATCTTGTCTTGCTGGCTTTCCTGTTTCCTTCACATATTCAGCCACCTCTGCCTACCCTTTAAATGTTGATATTCCGAGGGTTTGCTCCTTGGCCAACTTCTCAATCTTCATTCTCATCTTTCTGACATGCTAAGGACTTCCAAGCCTGTATTTGTAACCCAGATTGTTCTTCTGAATTCTAGACCTTTAATACATACACGTGACACTAGGTATCTCTACTAGGATCTCTCCCGGGACTTCATATTCAAGATGCCAAACTAGTTTCCACCACATGCCCCGTACTTGCTCTACTTTCTTCCTGAAATGCTTTGTCTTCAGATATTGATGTGGTTGGCTCCTTTGTATCATTTGGGTCTCAGTTCCAACGTCACCTTCTCAGATGCTTTCCCTTGACTACCTCCTCTAATTTGCCCTTCACAGCAAGCCACAACCCAGCATCAGTTATCTTAATACAACTACATGAAGTTATTGTACCTACTTATGTCTTCTTTCAGGCTACTAAATGAAAGCTTCCTAAGAACAGAGGCATTGTCCATCTTATTCACTGCTGTATTGCTACAGTACCTGGCATGTAGCACATCACAAAAAATACTTATTGAATGAACAAAACTCCTCAATTTTGAACCTTGGAAAGATTATGCTAAATGAAAGATGCCAGAGACAAAAGAGTATGTATTGTATGATCACACTTACATGAAATGTCCAGAACAGGCAAATCTATAAAGAAGTAGATTAGTGGTTGCTTAGGGCTGGAGAGGTAGTGGGGATTGTCTATGACTGCTAATGAATACAAGGTATCTCTTGGGAGTGATGAAAATGTGCTGGAATTAGAGAGAGGTGATGGTTGTATAACTCTATGTTAAGAACGACTGAATTATACTCTTTAAATGAGTTGTATGGTATGTAAATTGTGAGTTGTATGGTATGTAAACTGTATCTCAATAAAGCTGTTACGAAACAACCAAATTCCCAAATTTACTCCAGAGTTGCCCCATCTCTTATACTCCTTGAGTGAATAACACTACCCTTTCCCAACTGCCAAACTTAGGAATCTGATCATAACATCCTCTCTGCCCTGCCTTCCCTCCCCACAACCACCCTTCCAGATACAGCTGATCAGCCACAAAATCCTGAAGATCTCATTTGCATACTCTCTCACACTCACATCACTCACTACAGGCTCTCGTCAGCTAGACTTAGAATCTTTCAATATCTCACTGAATCTGCTCTACTCAATCCATGCTTTTATTCATCCATGCTTTTATTCATCTGCTACACTGCTGCCAGGAGAGATTTTCCTAAAACATAATTCCCACAATATCCATGCTTGCTTAATAGCCTTCGCTGGCTCCCTGTAATTGACTTGATAAAGGTCCAAACTCCTGTGTATACGAGGTGCTTCCTAAACTGGACCTCAACTGCCTGTCGCTTCATCTGCTAACTCAACTCTTTAGCTACAGCCATGAGGAATCTGGCCACAAGCTGTGACCACTCTCACTTTCATATGTGCCACTTCCACTGCCTAGAACATCCTGGGCCCCCCAGTCTTTAACTCCTACTCATTCTTTAGGACTCAGCTCAGGCATCACATTTTTCAGGATCCACGAGGTATCCTTTTTTCCTCAATCTGTCAGAAATCCCTTTTCCATACTTTCACAGTGCTCAGTGCAATGCCTGCCTGCGTTCTTAGATTAGCTATTATTTACAAAGCACCTACCGCGATGTTCACTCTTCAAGTTTTATCTTATTTCCATATGAGAAAACGGGTTCAGTGAGATTGTTGTCCTACTAATTGGTCAAGTAGATAATGGACTTCAGGTCTGACTTCAAAGTAATAGTCTCCTATTATTCCAAAGTATCTCTCCAATATTTCCCACTGTGCACTGTAATTCTCTCCAAAAGAGCGAGAGCAATTAACTGGGCCCTCTGTTGCGTCTATATCCCCATGTGTGGTGCTTGACACTTGCTCAGTGTTTGCTCATCACAGGAAGACATGACAGGTGTGAACTAAGCAGAAGGAAACGGACTATGTCCCAAGCAGGTGCTCAATGAAGCCTTACTGAATGATTGTGTAAAGGAGATACTTTCTACCTTTTGGAAAGCGTATATTCATGTTGTGCCAACTAGTATCTAACAATAAACATGTTGTGGGTTCGAAATGCTCATCTGTAGGAATTCAAGTTCTCTACATTTGCATCTCCCCTTCAGCAGCATTCCCGACTGATGAGGATCGTGTCCACTGAAAGGCCACTCTCCTTATGGACAGTCGAGGGCTGAGTTTTTGTCCCTAACACCTCTGCACTTTCTCTTCTCCAGCTTTACACCTTCCTTATTCTACTAGGGCCTGAGCTGAGAAGATCGAAACTCACGGCAAGTCCCTAATATTTTCTAACTTCTGGCACATGTGAAGCCCTGGTGTTAAGAAACAGACTTAATTCTTCCCTGCACGGCTGTAGCCTCATTCAGGTCCTCCTCTCATCCTGTCGGTCATAAGCTTCACCGGCTCCCTCACAGCTTGCCCTGACGCGCAGAGATCCGTGCTTGTGCTAAGTGAAAACGCTTCTTAGCGTGTACGAAAGCGAGCGGTGGCCCCGTAAAACTTTTTTTTTTCCGACTCCAACATACCCTCCCCTGAAACTGATGAAAAAGCAAAATCCCGTTCACTCTATAGCAGGCCCCTTCCGATCAACGGTCCTCCAACCCCTCGAGCCTGAGAAGCCTGGCCCGCAAGCGCGGACCAAAGGCAGGCTGCCGGGGTAGGTGGGAGCGCGGGCGACGGAGGAGGCCAGTCTCCGGTTACCCCTCGCGCCCCTCACAGCCCGTGGCTTCATTCCCTCTCTCGCTGGTCCCTTACAGGGGTCGGATCAGCAGCTGGTCGCTCTCCTCAGCAGGAATCGCAGACATCCCGAAAGTGTGAGGGCGAAGCGGGGGTGAGGAACAGGTCGCCGGGGTCTTCCTAAATTGGAAGCACAGCCACCGGTAAATAAAAAAGGAAGAACCCCATTCACCAAGAGCACAACTTCCGTCACTCCGGAGCCCGCGGCACTAGACTCCTCCCCTCGACTTCCGGTCGGGGGACGCCGCTCGCGAGGCTTCCCACCACTTGGGGTCTTGGAACCGGGGGTAGGACGTCAGGACTGCGCCTGCGCATAGTCTTGGAGGCGCGGCCCGGCGGACGTGGGCAGGAGGGCTGGAAAAGCCGGCGCTGGAGCGGGAACGGGAGTAGCTGCCTGGGCGCCAAAGGCCGCGGCACTCCCACGCGGACCCCGAAGTCCGCAACCCGGGGATGGGCCCGCGGCTGCGAGGTGAGCGCCCAGCCCTCGTCCCGCTTGGGGCCGAGCTCGCGGAGGCCTGACGGGAACACGGTCCCGAGAGCGGCGCGGACGGCCAGGAAGGATGGGTGGGGCCGCGGGGCGGGCGGAGGAGGGATGCCTGGGCTCGGGCTTGGTTCCGGGCGGGGCCGCGCTCCCGGGGCGCGGGTGGAGGAGCTTGGAACCACGCAGATCGGGCGTGGGCTTGCGGACTGCAGCTTCCCGAGCCGCTGTCGCCCCGGAGGGGCGGCAAGGCGGGCGGCCGCGGGCCGTTTCCTTGCCTCTTCCTCTGCCCCGCTTCGGCCGCCTCCCGCCTCTCAGGGTCGGGGTTGTCTGTCCCCTTCGCTGTCACATCCTCCGCACCCAGCGCTTGGAAGGTGCTCCATCACGGTGACAGACAGGTGCCAAGCAGGCTGGCGTCTGGGAGGAACTTCGGAGCCGGCTCTCCCTAGGCCCCGAGCTTGGCCGCATCCGTCCTTACTCTGGTGACCCTGGGCAGGTCACTGACTCTTCGGGCGCTTTGGCATCCTCGTTTGAAAGGGGCTGTTATCCTGCAGCCTTGCTGGTCGGTGAGGGTGAGGGTGAGAGGGATCTGTGCACCTAGCACCGTGCATGGCACGTGGTAGGCGTTTGGTACATGGGAATCGCTGTTGGGGTGTCACCTCCCCAGAAAGTTCTCGGCTTCAGTAAGCGCGTCCCCTGCCAGGCGCCCTGGCAATGCAGAGGAGTCACCGAGCTCCGCCTTTGACCAGCGTGCAGCTGGGAGAGTGAGATCAGAGACCACAGCAGATCGTGGCGCTGTGATCAGGGGGTACACTCAAGCTGTGGGTCCCTTACCCCAGCCTTGAGATCCCAGGAAGGCCTGCAGCCTGAAACGGGCCTTGAAAGGTAAGAAGTAGCCAAGTGCCTGACAGGTGAAGGACGTCCCGGGCGGTGCAAAGCAGGGGCGCGTGGAGCATCGCGCTGAGAACCAGGAGCAGCTTTGCCTTGCTGAGATCAATGAACTGTGCCCGGGTTGTGGAGGATGGAAGTGGAAAGGTGATTAGGAGCTGGGTCCTGGAGGACCTGGCGTGTCGTGCTGAAGAACGTTGACTTTGGTCTCTGACTTTGGAGAACCAGTGAAAGATTTTCAGCAGGCTAGTGGCATTAGATTCATGTTTGAAAGAAATCATTTTAATCGTTTTGGCTGCAGTGTGGGGGTAGATTTAAAGTGTTAGGGAATCCAGTAGGACAAGGTCCCTTATCCACGAAATATCCTTGGGTTTGTGAATTCCTTAAATTCATGCCAAACTTTGTATGGATGTGCATTTTTATAGGGTGAGGATCCATCACATTCATCAGTTTCTAAAAAAATAGTGTCTGTGCCCATGGTTTAGGATGACGGGGGCCCTGGTGGAGAGCTGGCTCAGAGAGCTCTTCAGGTGGGGTATACAGTGGGTCTTGGTGCCAGATTGGATGTGGGGCCTGAAGGACAGCAAGGAAATCATGATTTTCTGGCTTCCTCCAGCAATAATAGAATCTCCTGACAGGGAGAGGAGAGGAGAGGAGCAGATCTGGAGGGGAGGATGATGGGTTCAGCTTGAGACATCTTTGCATTTGATGAGCCTGCGGAGCATCCAATCGCCAATCAGGATCATTGGCCTCATTTTGATGCATGAATAATTTTTTTTTTTTTTTTTTGAGACGGAGTCTCGCTCTTTCGTCCAGGCTGGAGTGCAGTGGCGCGATCTCGGCTCACTGCAAGCTCCGCCTCCCGGGTTCACGCCATTCTCCTGCCTCAGGCTCCTGAGTAGCTGGGACTACAGGCGCCCACCACCACGCACAGCCAATTTTTTGTATTTTTAGTAGAGACGGGGTTTCACCATGTTAGCCAGGATGGTCTCGATCTCCTGACCTCGTGATCCGCCCGACTTGGCCTCCCAAAGTGCTGGGATTACAGGCGTGAGCCACCCATGAATAATTTTGAGGCAAGAATGATTTGCTTGAGAACATGCATCAAAATTGCAGCAGATATCAAAGACTTTAATAAATGCTGCTTTTTCCTAAGCCGCTGGGTTGATGATGAAAAGAAAGCCTTAAGGAGTTGCTAAGGCATTGTCGTGTCATGATTTTCATATCAAGGGATTTGAGGAGACACTTCAGGATTCCACTGACAGTAGAATCACATTTTGTTTTTAAAATAAGTTTTGATTTAAAATTCAAATCATATTTAAAATTGTTACCTATATATAAATATGTATTTATATATACTTAAGTATCTGATGTTTAAATATGTTACACATCAACATTTTAACCCGTGAGCGCCATTAACATGGCACTTTATGCTGCTACGTTAACCTAGTTTCGTGCAGGCCTTGGAATAAGGCTCTCCTGCCATCTCTCACTGACAAGTGTCCTGTGCTGGTAAGGTTCCCCTTTGCAGCAATCACCCGCAGTCTTCTTCCAACACATCTCTCACTTTTTACCCTTATCCAGTGGAGTTAGTTCGCTATCTGGCAGCCAGGGTCATCGTTTAAAAAACAGAAGACACCTGATTGTGTCGCTAAACTGCTTTTTAAAAGCCTCCATTCCAGAAGATCACAGCAGATAAGCAAAAAATAAATAAAAAGCCTTCAGAGTATTCCTCTTAAACTAAAGTCCACTGTTACCGCGGCCTGCCTGGCCTTCTGTGGCACTTTGGGCCCATTGCTGTCCTCCTGCTCCCGGACAGCCTTGACTGTTCCCTCGGGCCCCTCTCCACCCGCACGGCATTGCCTCCAGGCTATTTATGGCTGCCCGCACTTCTTTCAGAAAAAGAGCTACAGCATCTTTTTCTGAAATACCCACCCCTTCCTTCCATTAGTCTGTGTCTCCTCAACTTGTGTTAGTTTTCCTCATAGCAGTGGTTTCCTAATAATATGTTTCATGTGTGTTTTTCTTGTTGGTCTGTCTACTCTCGCTAAGAACAGGCTCCCTGAGGTCAGGGGCTCTGTTTGGTTCACTGATGCATCCCCGACACCTGGTAGGTGCTCACTGACTATCCAGGAATGAATGAATAAATCAGATTTTCCTGGTACCCCACAAATAAAGCAAAAATATAGAAGTAAATTGGATGATGAGGCTGATTAAAAAGCTTGGGCTCAGTGGTCAGACTTGGGCAAGTGGCCTAATGTCGTCCCCTAGTAAGTGGACTTAGAGTGGGGTCTCCAAATACGGAGAATCTTTGGGTTGCAGCAGGAGCTTTCACTGACTGCTGCGTGAGTTGCTCGTTCTTTTTCCTTCATCAGGTGCGTAGTTTCTCTGAAAAGCATCACCCAGGTCAGAATGAAAGGAAACTCTCTGTGCAGACCGCTGTATGTGGGACCTTTGAAGACAGTCAAATAGTGTTCAATTCTATAGTAAGCAGATTTTCTTGTTCTCTCTGGAGAATACAGTTTTTGGTAAAAAATTGATCAGGTTATCTTATTCATAAATCGTCTTGAGAGGCAGGTCACAGTTCCCTCATCTGTAAAAGGCAGATTACAGCCCACCTTCTGTGAGCCCCTTGAGGGAGAGCTTAGAGCCCTGCAGAGTGTGTGGCATATGGTATGCCCTTAAAAAGCATCAGTAGAGCAAATGGATATGTCACAAGGTTATCATGAGGCTATGACAGTAGAACTGTCCCGGGAGTTCTGTGAGCTGTGCAGCTTCATGTAGGTTAGTTAATTTGCCAAGTATAGTATATGCTGTCCTTATGCAACTGGCAAGGATGAATCTTAGTTTCCAATGCATTTATTATTATTAATTTCAAAAAAAGAAATATGTAACACAGACTCTGGGAGGCAAGGTCATCTCCTTAACTACGCTTAATAGAGAGGGGAGGTGAGGTGCTGGCACCTGGGAATGTCTTTGTGTCAGCTTTTACTTAAAGGTATTTCAAAACTTCAAGAAAAATGCACATTTCTGAGAGGTGTGTATATCTTAGCCCTACCAAGTATAGAATGTGAAACTGAGAGGGTTACTGAATCTTAGTATCTCGACTGAAAAGCCAATGTGTCATAGTATATTTTGCTAAAATCTTGACTCAATTGAAGAGAAGTAAGGCCCTTAAAATTTTGAGAACTAGGTGACGTGTCTGAAAATTTTGAGAAAAGTGCTTTTCACACCTGTAGGACAAGAAGGTTTCTGCCTTTTTTGCTTATTGGGTTAACTTTCTATAATTTAATAGGAAAGAATGAAAAGGAATAGTATCCAAGGGAAAAGTTAATTGATGATTTTTATTTCTATTTTGCATAAAGTGATTTAATGTTGCATTTCCTGATGTAACTGTAACCAATATCAAAGTTGCTTTTCCTGGCTGGGCATGGTGGCTCACAGCTGTAATCCCAGCACTTTGGGAGGCCAAGGCGGGAGGATCGCCTGAGAGCAGGAGTTTGAGACCAGCCTGGCCAACATGGCAAGATCCTGTCTCTACAAAAAATGAAATTAGCTGGGTGTAGTGGCACATGCCTGTAGTCCCAGCTACTCGGGGAGGCTGAGGTGTGAGGTCAAGACTGCAGAGCCATGTTTGTGCCACTGCACTCCAGCCTGGGTAAGAGCAAGACTCTGTCTCTTAAAAAAAAAAAAAAAAAAGTTGCTTTTCCCGATGTAACTGTTACCAATATTTGTTTTTTCAGGGGATCTTCTCTGGATCAAGCAATGGTGGTGAAAAATGTTTCGCAAGGGCAAAAAACGACACAGTAGTAGCAGTTCCCAAAGTAGCGAAATCAGTACTAAGAGCAAGGTAGGGAAATGGAATTTGGAACAGAATCATAAAGCAGGGAGAGTTTTGTTTCTTCTAGCTGATATTGTATGGAGGATACTGACCGTGGGCAGATCTCCTGATAATCTTCAAACTAGTGTGTTTTAACATTTACTTTTTGCACTAGAGATGCATTCTATGCTTGGCTTCATTTTGTCTGTTCTGGTAGGTTTTCTGAAATTCTTAAATCCATTAAACTAGATGGGACATGACCTATGAATGGTTTCGTTGAAATAAGCACTGATTTAAAAAATTTTTAAATGATAGAAATTGCAGGCATTAAGGGGCTGGGCCTCTTGAATTCTAGGGTTTGTGGTGTGCATAATTACTTTTACTTAAGAGTGAGATTGGCAGATAGCTGTATACCAGAGAGTTTTTGAATGCTGTTGGAAGGTAAGCGTGGATTTAATTCATGCAAAACAAACCGTTGAGGAGCTATTCAACTGGCAACTTTTGTCTCAAGTAATAAAGTGATTTCATTTTGACTGACAGATAATTTTTCAATATAAGAGTATAAAGATAGCTGCATTATATTTGTTCTAGGTTTTTGACACCAATTTTGTTGGTGTTTAGAAGAATGGCAATTTTATTTCTACCTCCTGGACAATGGCACGTGAACACTCATTCATTCACCGAGTATTTGTTGAGCATGGCTGTGTGCCAAACTCTGTTTAAGGGGCATAAAATAGAGCAGTTAGGGAGAGGGAAGAAATTCCTGGCCTCAGAGCTTCCATTTCAGTTGGGGGAGAAAATAATGAATAAATAAGTAAAATATAGAGTTTCAGATGGTGGAAACTAACACGGGGGGAAGAAACTACAGGAATGGAGGGGGTGGGAGATTGGGAGAGGGGCAGTATTCAACAGTCTGGTAGAAAAGGTCTTATTTTCAGGCCGGGCACGGTGGCTCATGCCTGTAATCCCAGCACTTTGGGAGGCCAAGGCAGGCAGATCACCTGAGGTCAGGAGTTTGAGACCAACCTGGCCAACATGGTGAAACCCCATCTCTGCTAAAAATACAAAAATTAGCCTGGTGTGGTGGCACACACCTGTAGTCCCAGCTACTTGGGAGGCTGAGACAGGAGAGTTGCTTGAACCAGGAGTCGAAGGTTGCAGTGAGCTGAGATCACACCACTGGACTCCAGCCTGGGTGACAGAGCAAGATTCCGTCTCAAAAAAAAAAGAAAAGAAAAGGTCTTATTTATTTTTTTCTGCCCCTCCTCCCGAGAAAAGGCCTTGTTTTCTTGGTGGCATTTGAGCAGGGGCCTACAGGAGAAGTGGGGCCATGATAAGATCTGGAAGGATCGCAGTTTAGGGAGAGGAGAGAGCAAAGGCCCATGGGAGGAGTGAGCCTGTGTGTTTGGGGGACAGCAGGGAGACCAGCGTGGCCTGGGCGAGGCAGGTGCAGGTGTTGTGAAGACCTGGGCTTTTACTCTGAGAGTAAAGCAGGGGGCGCCTGGGGCCAGGGAGTGACAGAATATTATATAAGTTTTGTTGGGGGTCACTTTGGCCACTGTGAGCAGGGAAAGGGCAGGAGCAGAGAGACTGCCGGGGAGGATGTGGTAAGAACCTGAGAGATGATGGGGGCTTGGACGGGGTGTGAAGGAAGCGCTGAAACCTCAGGTTCTGCAGAGAGTTTGAGGTGGCACTCATGGGACCCATGGATCGATGATGATGGCTTGTGGAGTATGAGGAAAAGAGAGTTATCGAAGCTTAAACCCTTAACATACCAGGTGCTGTGGGAGGCAGAAAAAGTGATTCATTCCAGGTGTTTCTACCTGGATGCCAGATACCATTTGAGACATGATTGACACCCAGAGACAGTGAATAATTCAGAAAACATGAAGGTGCGTGAGGTAATGACAGATACTGCTTGAGGGATTCAGAGACTGGGGAGGTTGTAGGCCTAAAGTTGTGGAGGAAGTCGTATTAGTTGGAGTTCTCCAGAGAACCAGTAGGATGTGTTTATATCCTAGAGATTTTGATGTATTTTCAAGGTTTATTTTGAAGAATTGGCTGATGTGACTGTGGGGGCTGCAAGTCTGCAATCTGCAGGGCGGGCTGAAGACCCCTGGGAGTGGGAGTGGGAGTGGCAGCTTGAGCCCAAAGGCAGCCTGGAGGCAGCTGGAGGCAGACTCTTCTCCTTGGGAGCCTGAGTCATTTTCCTTTAAGGCCTTCACCTGCTTGGATGAGGCCCGCCCACACGGTGGAGGGTCCTCTGCTGTACTCCATGTCTGCTGGTGTAGACGTTAATCTCATTTAAAGAAACACCTTCACGGCAATGTCTAGACTTGTATTTGACCAAGTATCTGGGTACTTAGCCCAGAGAAGTTGATATATAAAATTAACCATCACAGAAGTCTTCCCAAAAAAAAGCAGGTAGTGAATGAGACCTTAAAATATACGGGTCAAATAGGCATAAATGAGGAAGGGGGTTAGACATCCCAGGCACAGGCAGGAAGCTGGAGGCTGAGTCGGGTCAATGAGTGAGTGAGTGGGATGGGATGGGATGCCGTGACTCAACAGCCTTTTCATGATTTTCCACCCTTGCGAATGCTCTAATTTTAAAGTTGTGTGTTCACTCAGTCCCAGGACCGGGGTGAGGCACAGCACAGAAGGAGGCGTCTCGCAGGGTCGCACAAGGCCCCCTCAGGAGATGCCTCCCTAGACCTTTCATCCCGGGTGCCTGCCGGGCCTCCCATGTGCCACATGTGCCACGCTGTTAAATAACAGCCACATGTGAATGAGACAAAGACACACGACTGCCACTCAGTTTCCAGTCAGGGCAGGGTAAGCTGGCTTATCTCAGCTGAGCTGGTGGCCTTGTAACCAGAAGCACAGAAAGCTGACATTGTAGGAGTCCTGTGCAGCCTTAGAATGGGGAAACGAACCATGTTCTTGGAAGTTTTTGAACTCCTGGAGCTGCTCAACACAGAACCTCCCTACTGCCACTTCCTCAGCCTTAAGCGTGGGGACCCTACAGGGAAATCTCATCTGTGTGGCCCAATGTCTTGTTTTATTTTTATTTTTGGAGACGGAGCCTCACTCTGTCGCCCAGGCTGGAGTGCAGTGGTGTGATCTCGGCTTACTGCAACCTCTGCCTGTGGGTTCAAGCGATTCTCCTGCCTCAGCCTGCCAAATAGCTGGGACTACAGGCATGTGCCACCAAGCCTGGCTAATTTTTGTATTGTTGTGTTTTTTTTTGTGTGTGTGTTTTTGTTTGTTTGTTTTGAGATGGAGTTTCACTCTTGTTGCCCAGGCTGGAGTGCAGTGGCGTGATCTTGGCTCACTGCAACCTCCACCTCCTGGGTTCAAGCTATTCTCCTGCCTCAGCCTCCCGAGTAGCTAGGATTATAAGTGCCCGCCACCATGCCCAGCTAATTTTTGTATTTTTGGTAGAGACGGGGTTTTACCATGTTGGCCAGGCTGGTCTCGAACTCCTGACCTCAGGTGATCCACCCACGTCAGCCTCCCAAAGTGCTGGGATTACAGGCGTGAGCCACCACACCCAGCCATATTTTTTTTTTTAAGTAGAGACGGGGTTTCACCATGTTGGCCAGGCTGGTTTCGAACTCCTGTCCTCAGGTGATCCACCCGCCTCAGCCTCCCAAAGTACTGAGATTACAGGTGTCAGCCACTGTGCCCGGCCAGAGACTATTATTTCTAAAGAAATTGGGAGTGTAGCTCTGAGGAACAACTCCCTTTACATGTGATTCTATTTTGCTCAACAGTTTTGTTGTTTTTTTGGTGGCAGTTCACATGATAGTCTGCTCTGTCCTGCCAGTTAGCCTCTGAATTCCTGCTGCAGGCCAGACACTAGTCAGAATAATTGCAGAAGCACTGGACCAGAGACCTAGAATTAGAGACCTAGGTTTGAGATTGGAGCCATTTACTAGATGTGACCTTGGATAAGTCACTAAAGTCTCAGTCTCCTTCCTCATTTAGTAAGCGGGGATCATGGTCCTTGCCTGGCTTTCTGCACAGGGTTTGTTTTGGGTTCAGTGGAACTCATGTGAAAGCAAGGCAGAGATGTTCGCAAGAATATTCATAGAAGGCATCTTGTAAGGAGGTGGCGGTAATGGCTTCGATTTAAATCGACTAAGAATATTGCCACCGCATTTATCCGATATTATGTCATGGGACGAACGAACAGTTGGGATTATGTGGTTTTTTTTTTGAAGTTTGTTACAGAATTTGTCTTAAGAAAAATCTGCACAGTCGATATGCCTGAATAATTGACATGGTTTTGTATGTGTCAGCTCAACTCTAATAAATGATGTGAATGGGTTAGAGGACTTTAGAGAAGACAGGGCTGCTTCAGTGGAGGTTTTTTACTTGTTTTTCTGTTTCTCAGTCTGTGGATTCTAGCCTTGGGGGTCTTTCACGATCCAGCACTGTGGCCAGCCTCGACACAGATTCCACCAAAAGCTCAGGTACATAAAAGGGTTGGATCATTGATTGTCTGCGCTTTTCATTGATGTTCACGTGGTTTTACTGGGGTAGCACAATGAGTTCTTCAGTATTTGTGGCTTTCTTCCTCTCCTTTGCCACTTTTGACAAGAGTTTAGAAGTGGACCAAGATTTGGCGGGACGTGGGCTGAGGGTGTGGTGTGATTGGGGGAAACCACATAGCCTTTGGAGATTGGCACAGGCACATGGGCAAAATGGAAGTTTCAAAATAGTTTTTTAAGAAATGGGGTGGCAATAAATACATACACCTACTATGTACCCACAAAAATTAAAAATAAAATGGAAAGAAATGGGGTGGCAGAAGATGAATTCCATTGGACTTATGTTGTCTATGGGGAATAGGGCAAATATCTTGGTGATTAAAGGGCTAAGGAGCCTTTCATTTACTCCAAGGAACCCAGAGATTCACCAGCTCATGACCACCACCAACACAAGTAATTAAGGGGAGGATCTGTCCCAGACCCTTGTAGATATTTATGCAGCTGCCCGAAATTAGTAGATCTTAGAAACAGGCTGGGTGCGTTGGCTCACGACTGTAATCCCAGCACTTCGGGGGTCCAAGGCAGGTGGATCACCTGAGGTCAGGAGTTTGAGACTAGCCTGGCCAACATGGTGAAACCCCATCTCTACTAAAAATACAAAAAATTAGCCGGGCGTGGTGGCGCATGCTTGTAATCCCAGCTACTTGGGAGGCTGAGGCAGGAGAATTGCTTGAAACCAGAGGCAGAGGTTGCAGTGAGCTGAGAATCGCACCACTGCACTCCAACCTGGGTGACAGAATAAGACTCCATCTCAAAAAAAAGAAAAAAAAAGAAATCAAGAGGTGGTTTCTAACCTTAGCTCCCTAAGTAGCTGGCGGCTAACTGGAAATATATTCATTTTCTTGTCTAAATTCCTCTTTCTCCCTTCAGGAACCTGTCCTAGTGAATCTGTAACAGAAAATGTTGGAGCATTAGGTCCATTGTCTTTCCTGCCAGATGCCTTTAAAATTATGAAAGTTGTGGACATCTTTTTGTTACATAACCTAAAAGTAATCATATAGTATTTCCTTAATATGGTTGAGGTTATAAGTCGTTTGTAGGAGTTTTTGTGTTGGCTGGATGTTGCGGCACACACAGCTCTTCAACCGTTGCTGTTACGTTAAGAGAATTTCTGCCTGGCATTATTCCATCGACATTAAAAAGACAAACTATGTGGTCTTTCTGATGGAACGATAGAGGAAGAGTAGGCTTCCTGAATGAGGAAAGCAAGCTAACATGGTAGGCCAGGCACAGTGGCTCATGCCTGTAATTCCAGCACTTTGGGAGGCCAAGATGGTAGGATCGCTTGAGCCCAGGAGTTCAAGACCAGCCTGGGCAACGTAGTGAGACCCTCTCTCTAAGGGGAAAAAAAATGGTGAAGAGGGAGAAAGAACCAAAAGTAAATACCATGCGTCATAAAGGTAATCATTATGTAGTAACCTTTTCTTTACTGTTTGTTTTGAAGGGAAGGTTAATATATTTATTCCTATTATTGAGACCTTTGTATACTATATTTAGTATACCATGAGTCACTGAGGAAAAGGTTAGTGAAATTTTAAGTTCTTCCCCATTACATAAAAATATTGTGTATTATAAAATTTGTAATTAGTGGTTATGTTCTAATGACAGTCTGGTTTTTATTTGGGAAGGGACTGAGGATACTCTGTAATGCAGATATTTCTTCTTAAGTCTTACCACTTTTCTTTCATCTTCAGGACAAAGCAACAATAATTCAGATACCTGTGCAGAATTTCGAATAAAATATGTTGGTGCCATTGAGAAACTGAAACTCTCCGAGGGAAAAGGCCTTGAAGGGCCATTAGACCTGATAAATTATATAGACGTTGCCCAGGTAAAAAAAAAAAATTCCGTAACTCTCTGGTTATGAGAGTCTGGGGAGCCAACTCATGGCTTTGGGGCAAAATGCTCACTCCTCGGGTCCACTGGGTGCCGCTCCGCTTGCTCTCGACTGAAGTCCCCGCATCACCACCGCACATGTGCGTGAGCGCTGAGCTGCATGGGAACACAGGCGCTGTTCCTCCCTTCAAACACGGTACTTTTTTTTTTTTTTTTTTTTTGAGACCAAGTTTCGCTTTTGTTGCCCAGGCTGGAGTACAGTGGTGCAATCTCGGCTCACTGTAATCTCCGCCTCCCGGCTTCAAGCAATTCTCCTGCCTCAGCCTCTCAAGTAGCTGGGATTACAGGCGCCCGCCACCATGCCCGGCTAATTTTGTATTTTCAGTAGAGACAGGGTTTTTCCATGTTGGTCAGGCTGGTCTTGAACTCCCGACCTCAGGTGATCTTCCCGCCTTGGCCTCCCAAAGTGCTGGTATTATAGGCGTGAGCCACTGTGGCCGGCCCACAGTACTTTTTAATACTTGTTTTTCTTTTTTTTTTTGAGATGGAGTCTCGGTCTGTCGCCCAGGCTGGAGTGCAGTGGTGCAATCTCGGCTCTCTGCAACCTCTGCCTTCCGGGTTTAAGCGATTCTCCTGCCTCAGCTTCCTGAGTAGCTGGGACTACAGGCGCATGCTGCCACGGCCCAGATAATTTTTTGTATTTTAGTAGAGATGGGGTTTCACTGTGTTGCCCAGGCTAGTTGTGAATTCCTGACCTCACCTGATCCACCTGCCTCGGCCTCCCAAAGCGCTGGGATTACAGGCCTGAGCCCTTGTGCCCGGCCTATTAATACTTTTTTATGGGGCTGATCAATCCTATTTAAATGAGGAGCTGGTTGCGGTGACTGGTTATATTCCATAGATTCTTCTTTTAAAATAATCTGGCAAAACCTTACCGTACCACCATCAGACCAGTTCTGTCTCTCAATAATCTAATTCATAATGATGTCCACCTAACATATCTGTTTATTCATGCAAGGTTTCCAACAAGAATTGAGATGAGGTGGGTTTCAAAAAGATAAAATCAAGAAGATAAAAAATCATCATCATGAAGGAAAATTAAGAATGAAAATTAAATCAAAAGTATAAGATATATAAACGTGAAATGTTATAAAATCTGTACCCTTGCCAATGGTGGAAGTACATGAGCCAAAAGAGTGAATTCGGTAATGAGAGAAAAAAAAAGAAAGTAAATTGCTTCTGGAGTTTCTAGAAAATGAAATTACATTTTTATGTGCGCATTAAAAGAGGGATATTAACTGCAATACCAAGATTCCTTAACTTCAGAGAGTGTTAAGAATGTGTACTCTCTTAAATCACAGAGAATGAGAATATGAAATACAGCGTGGCAGGGCATGGTGGCTCACGTCTGTAATCCCAGCATTTTGGGGGAGGCAGAGTAGGGGGATCACCTGAACCCAGGAGTTCAAAGCCAGCCTGGGCAACACAGTGAAACCTCATTTCTACAAAAAAAACAATTTTAATTGCTGAGTACAGTGGCTCATGCCTGTAATCCCAGCACTTTGGGAGGCCAAGGGGGGCAGATCACTTGAGGCCAAGAGTTCAAGACCAGCCTGGCCAATATGGCAAAACCCTGTCTCTACTAAAAATACAAAAATTAGCTGGGTGTGGTGGTGCATGCCTATAATCCCAGCTACTCGGGAGGCTGAGGTTGAACTGCTTGCTTGAACTCAGGAGGCAGAGGCTGCAGTGAGCCAAGATTGTGCCACTGCACTCCAGCCCTGGGTGACACAGTGAGACTGTCTCAAACAAAACAAAACACCAGCCTGGGCAAGACCCCCATCTCTACAAAACATTTTAAAAAATCAGCTGAGTGTGGTGTTATGCACTGGTAGTCCCAGATACTCAGAAGGCCAAGGCAGGGGGATTCCTTGAGCCCAGGAAGTCAAAGTTGCAGTGAGCCATCATTGTACCACTGCACTCCAGCCTGGGTGACAGAACAGTAAGACTGTCTCAAAAAAAACCTGAAATGAAGTTTCATATCTTTATGAAAGTAAAGGAAGATACTTCTGTCTGAAGGACATCAGTGAATCTAAATTGCCATTTAAGAGAGAACTCGGGCTGGGCGCGGTGGCTCAGGCCTATAATTCCAGCACTTTGGGAGGCCGAGGTGGGTGAATCATGAGGTCAGGAGATAGAGACCATCCTGGCTAACACGGTGAAACTCCATCTCTACTAAAAATACAAAAAAATTAGTTGGGTGTGGTGGCGCATGCCTGTAATCCCAGCTACTCGGGAGACTGAGGCAGGAGAATCGCTTGAACCCAGGAGGTGGAGGTTGCAGTGAGCCGAGATCGCGCCATTGCACTCCAGCCTGGGCAACAAGAGCAGAACTCCGTCTCAAAAAAAAAAAAAAAAAAAAGAACTCACGGTAGTTTGGACAAGTATAATTACTTTCCAGCATTTAGTTGGGAATATAAAGTCATTCCAACAAACTACATTAAGTCCTCACGTAACCTCATTGATTGGTTCTTGGAAAACCACCTAGATTAGTTCCTCCAAGTAACTCGTTTTTCAAGGTCATTTTGTTATAATGTTTTATGATGTTGATGAGAAAAAAAAATGGTTTTGTTATATGCGTGATTTCGCTTAAAGTTGTAGTTCCAAGAACGAGCCGCAACGTTCAGTGTGGTCTTAACCATAAAAGCTACAACCAGTCTAAGTGTTGTACTGAAAGATTAATAATTCTTCCCCTCAAAAATACACTAGCATTATTTTCATTCCTATAAGGACTACTAAATTTCTCATATCACCATAGAATTTTTGCTTGCTAAAATTCCAGTATTGACAATAGCTTGACTATTATCCCATACCGTGGTTCTTGGAATTGCTTTAAACCCACTGTGGGAAGCGATTGGCAAGCGGGTACTGTAACATTGTGAGGACCCAAGAAGTAAGGTATTGGGATGCAGCTTATTTACTGTAATGTCTTTAATGTGGGCGAGTGGTTCCACAAAACCATTGACAGTACAGAACATCCATAGGTTGCCAACAGCGTCTTACGTTAGGGAAGACGAAGTAGGTGGTATTCCGGTCTGGGAGCCGAGACCGGATCGTCCGCCAGGGAAGCTGTCAGGGATTATCTGCGGTTCCTGAGTAGCTGAAAACCCCAATTCATGTTTTTGTGAGTGGAGTAACTGCTCATCAGCAGCACTTGCCAGCCCGAAGCCCTGAGGCGTGGCATCACCAGACACGCCTTCCCATCTGGGCAGGATATGTGGGCTCTGCTTCCTGATCATCCCACACGCTAACACTGGTCTATGCTGTGGAAATGAAGATCTTCATTTTTCTCATGTAGGTATTTTAACATCAGCAGGTTTTGTGAGAAGCAGCTCAGTGTGTAATTAGGATTAACTCCAAGACAAACAATATGCATGAAAGGGATGGATGTGAATTTTGCTCAGAGTTGTGGGCTGTAAAAATGCGGCTGGGCACAGTGGCTCATGCCTGTAATGCCAGCACTTTGGGAGGCCAACTTGGGAGAGTTACCTGAGGCCAAGAAGAGTTCAAGACCAGCCTAAGGCAACATAGTGAGATCCCACCTCGATTTAAAAATAAATAAATTGGCCCACATGGTGGCTCATGCCTGTAATCCCTGCACTTTGGGAGGTTATGGTGGGTGGATCACTTAAGGTCAGGAGTTCGAGACCAGCCTGGCCAACATGATGAAACCCCATCTGTACTAAAAATACGAAAATTAGCCGGATGTGCTCACTTGAACCAAGGAGGCAGACGTTGCAACGAGCTGAGATCATGCCACTGCACTATAGCCTGGGCGACAGAGTGAGACTCTGTCTCAAAAATAAAAATAACCTTTTTGTAAATGGGGGGAAATGTTTCTTCTGCCTCTGGGAGAGAGACTCTTGCCTGGCTAATGTGTACCCCACATTCTTTAAAGGGTTTGGGCTTGCGATGGCCAGATACTCAAAGTGACTAGTCAGACTTAAGACTATTATGTAATTTTAATCTTTATCATGGAATTTATTTTTACTTTAAAGCAAGATGGAAAGTTGCCTTTTGTTCCTCCGGAGGAAGAATTTATTATGGGAGTTTCCAAGTATGGCATAAAAGTATCAACATCAGATCAATATGTAAGTAATATAATTTATTAAGAAAACTATGTTTTAGATAACAGGGAATTCAGGCCATTAAGAGCCCCCTTATAATTAGGGCCACTCCTGTTTGCAGAGTGATTGGTTTGTAAACATTCCTGGCAGTTGGTCTTAAACGTGACCAATTTCTTAAGGTGAATAGGGGCTTCCTTTTCTCTCCTGTGTTGGAAGGGCCCATGCAACCTGCCCCCCCCACCCCCAAACACACAGATGGCTCCGAATGCATTTTCAACTAAGGGCCCCTCATCAATTAAGAGCAGCTGTCAGCTTGGACGGTGGGCACAGACACTGGGATAGTCAGTTTAGATCACTGCACTCCTGGCTTGCTGGGATCTGAAGGCATTGCCCGAGACTGAGCATACAGGACATCCCTTGGGGTGAGAAACCTATGGATATGCTGTTTCAAGCCTCACTCTGCCTGGGAGGGTGTGTCATCAGGACTGACAAACATTTGAGAGTCCTGATCTCTCGGAATCTTTCCTGACTTCTGCAGGATGTTTTGCACAGGCATGCTCTCTACTTAATAATCCGGATGGTGTGTTACGATGACGGTCTGGGGGCGGGAAAAAGCTTACTGGCTCTGAAGACCACAGATGCAAGCAATGAGGAATACAGCCTGTGGGTTTATCAGTGCAACAGCCTGGTGAGACTTCGTTACTTTGGTTAGCTGCTTGCCCATCAAGTCGCAACACCCAGGGACTACTGTTTTTGAAGGCTGAAGAAATACAATCCATTATATATGGAATATCTTGGCCTGGGGATAGTGAATGAATATTAGGCCGGAGGTCAGCCGGCTGGCAAGACAGTGCAGGTTTGTGAAATATTTGTTAGGGCCAGTGGCAGCACTCGCTTGTGCCGGGATTTAAAAGGTAAACAAAGCAGCTGAGGAAAAATGTATCCTCCAGGGGCCGAAGGCTTCTTCCATTTCCGAACGTTGTTGCCCTCCTAGACTGCGTGATCAGCCTTTGCAGGCTGCAGTCGCTGTTTGCTTTCCTCTGAAGGAGGGCAGAAAGGGCCCACGTGCAGGGAAGCTCATAGTATGGGTTCCACTGACCCAGGCAGGCATGTGTGGTCGGCTTGCTTAGGAGAGGTCTTAAGAGGGTCAGGTGTGTGCCTCTGCTAGCCAAATTAAGTTCACGAAGAGACAGATGAATGTTGCTCTTACTCTATCTTTCATGTAATGTAGGAACAAGCACAAGCCATTTGCAAGGTTTTATCCACCGCTTTTGACTCTGTATTAACATCTGAGAAACCCTGAATCCTGCAATCAAGTAGAAGTCAACTTCATCTGAAAGTTCAGCTGTTTTCAAACTGCAATGCTGAAATGTTATGCAAATAATGAAGTTATCCCTTGCTCTAGATTTTCTGAAGAAAATGGATTGTGTAAAATGCTGATCATTTGTTTATTAAAATGTGTCCTATTACACAGTGAGTTAACTCTCAATGAAGTCATCTATTTTCTGGGCTAAAAAACTTCATTTGTCTTTTTCAACTTCTAATAAGCTTAACCTAAGTGTCACAGAAGCCTAGGTGTCACAGAGGTCCACTCAGTGACAAACACACACTGAAGGCCTGAGGAAGACGAGATGTCACAGAGGTCCACTCAGTGACAAACACACACTGAAGGCCTGAGGAAGACTAGATGTCACAGAGGTCCACTCAGTGACAAACACACACTGAAGGCCTGAGGAAGACGAGATGTCACAGAGGTCCACTCAGTGACAAACACACACTGAAGGCCTGAGGAAGACTAGATGTCACAGAGGTCCACTCAGTGACAAACACACACTGAAGGCCTGAGGAAGACGAGATGTCACAGAGGTCCACTCAGTGACAAACACACACTGAAGGCCTGAGGAAGACGAGATGTCACAGAGGTCCACTCAGTGACAAACACACACTGAAGGCCTGAGGAAGACTAGATGTCACAGAGGTCCACTCAGTGACAAACACACACTGAAGGCCTGAGGAAGACGAGATGTCACAGAGGTCCACTCAGTGACAAACACACACTGAAGGCCTGAGGAAGACGAGATGTCACAGAGGTCCACTCAGTGACACACACTGAAGGCCTGAGGAAGACTGAGGACATGGGCTCAGTGGTGGCTTCCCAGTCATGGTATCACTGGCATGGACCTCTGTCCGGCAGAGGTGTGGACTGGAGACCAGGATTCATGCTGGTCTGGAACAGTGACATTGCCAACTTAAGACACACAAAGCAGATTTTCAGAAGTGTCTGGTCAAGATAACATGCTGGCCAACCACAATTCCTAGAGTTAAGAGAACCTTAAAAGATTACCGCTCATGCTAAAAGTATGTAAAGATCCCATGTACAGTATGATAGTGTACTTTTTTTAAAGGACTGTCAATATACAAAACTTTAAAGATTAAAAACATTAAAAATAAAACCATGTCCATTTAAAAGTATTTTATTTTTTTCCAGTCAAATGACTAGTTAACAAGAAGAGTAAACTTATTAAACATGCTCTAATTATAAATCACTGCATTAAGGACAATGAAAATAATCAATTTCGGTTATACAATATATACAGTTGTGCTGCAACCAAAGTAATCAGGTGAATGAACTGAATATCATACATCTCAAAATAGCATCCTAAGCTGCATATTATGTTATCCACCCCTTAACAGATCACACAGTTACTCTTAGTCTGTGTACATGTTCTGAGCCATCATCCCAGATCTGATGGAGAATGGCATGCAAAATGCCAGAATCCTGCAGCTGCAGTTCATGAAACATAAACTTTAAATATAAATAGATATCTACAATGTTTTTCTTTCTCTTAGTTGCTTTTTTAATTTGCAAGGAGCAAATAACTAAGAAAGGATATTAGCAGGGTCGTTAATATAATTTCTCCTCTGGTAAGAGTACTATTAGTTACTGCACAATAGCACCAAATTGTAGACTGGAAAAATATTTCCTAGGTATTTATGTACCAGTGAACCTGACAGATTAGTTTGGGACTGGAGTTCTAATGTTGATATGAATCAACTTTATTCCTTATATAGCTGGCACCAGGTGGTCAAAAGGCTGACTATAAAATACAGATGCAGGAGGATTGTTAAAATAGACATAAGTGCACTGTGCAAAATACATCTGTTTACTTAAATCTATGAGAAAATTAAATGAAGGGTTCAAACAGAAATTAACAATTAGTGAAAACAGATGTAGTGCTTTAAAAAAAAACAAAAACAAAAAACTACAGATATAACACATTTTTACCCGGAACTTTGAAAGGTAAAAAGCGATTGCTATACAACATCATAAAACATTCCAGTTTGTTCTGTCTTCCTTTATAACAAAAACAAAAAGTACAATGCCAAAAAAAAAAAAAACTCTACACAGTCTTGCATAATAAAGACAAGCTGCTTCAATCAAATGCACCATCACAACAAATGCAGTTAACAGCATTGCTGCCTCACTTTCCAAGCCTATATGCAAATTTATTCCTTTACTTTTGTTAAAAGTCCAAGTGGGTATCATATGCCTATTTATTCTCAGAGTGCCAAAATTTCCAATATTCCTACTATGAATCTTACCCTCGCAATTACTAAATAGAGGTATGACAGTCAAGTTCATTAAACGAATGAGTTTTGGTTTTATAATAGACAACCTAATCCTCTACTACCACCCCAAGTAGCTTAAGAATGATATGATGGCCTGAAACAGTAAAAAGTGGGATGTTTGGGAGTATTACCTGGGACCTATATATTTCTGATATGTTCTTGATTATAAACAGATGGACAGATTCAATTTCAAGACAGTGTGACTACCATTCCTGTTGGAGTATTATAGAAATACAAGACACTAAACTGAGTAAACATTCTCCTGGGCTAGAAGGGAAGGCAGTGGTACACTCAGTAGGAAACAGCAAGTGATGTGTTAATACAGCATGGTCTGCGCCACAGAATTCTACTGTGTACAGTTGCTTTCTGTGTGACTCAGGAAGTTCAAGAAGGCAAATTCCAAAACACCTAAAGCATATAAACTAATTTAAAAGAACTGTTTTGCAATCCATCATCCTTAGTTTTTAACCAAATTCAGGAAATGCAGTTTTATATAACCTGGAACAGAATGAACTGTAGTTACCCTACGTTGTCATAAACCATCAGTAGTTTTGTTAAGTATGATTG